>NC_000003.12:53646363-53949393 GCF_000001405.40 Homo sapiens
TACATACATATGTATCCTGTTTTTTGTTTTTGTTTTTTAAATACATATGCTAGGATCATAAAACCTCATGCTGTAATAGCCTCTACATGTCTAGATCTATAGCTTTATTCCTTTCGGTTTTTTTCTTCTCTGCTTTCTAGTAGCACCTATGAGTGCCTTACATATGTCTGATGCTACAGTTAAAGACACAAAGAGAGGGCCCCTTTCAATAGAGAATCCAGGACTGCAGGGCACAGAAGGAATGGAAGGTGTCAGTGGGAGAGGGGGACTTCTGGCAGAGTATAAGCCAGAAAGCCTTCCCAAAGCCTTGGGGCACATGGGTGGAAGAGCAAAACAGAGAAGTGACTCTTACCTGGCTGCATCAAGCCTCTGTTCACCTTTTGACAGCAGCTTGGGAGCTCTGTGAGGACAGGGTTCTGGCTTTGCTGAGAAGGATGCAGGTGCTCGGGGATAGATGGATAGACAGATGGACAAGTATTCATGCCACAGCACTAATAAGAGGATTCTTAAAATAGGAAAGGAAAGTACCAAGTCTAATGAAGGATTTTGGCATCTCCCACCTCCTGCTAGTTGACAGTTTCTGTTTCTCAAGATTCTGTACAGCATTAACTGGTTTGGAGATTATTAACTAGTTTAGAGACTACTGATTTAGAGCCTCTCCTGTTGGTGAAATTTCACTGTTTAAAGAAGACACATCAGGTTTTAGAATTAGATTTCAGCCTTTGTTTCTCTAGTGGCTTGAGTTCTCGTGGGCGGGGTAGGGGGAGGGAGTGGGGGGACATCCGTCCATATACAGGGTAGTTTCTGGACGTTGTTTTCTAAAGGAAGGTTTGACTGGCCCTGCCTACTCAGGATCTCCTGCCAGGGAGAAGAAATCCCTGCTGGTGGGTGACTGAGTGCCACAGGTGTGACTCTGCCTGGCACACAGAGGGGGATGAGATGCAAGAATCATTTACTCTTTCCCTGTACCTGGGGAAGGGCTGTTAAGGTACAGCTCCTGCTCAGGCCTTTTATACCAGGGACGCCTCATTTCATGTATGGTTCTAGAGGGTTCCTGCTGGCCCCTTCTTCTGCCATCCCAGTCTTTCATCCTTGACAGTGCTTCTTCCTCTGTGCTTCCATCAGTCGTGGCCACAGACCTCAGTGTCCTCTATGTGTCACCTCTCACCTAGCTGTTTTGGCTGGGCCCACAGTCCCACCTTGCCTGTTAGGAACCTGACTTTCTTGTTGGCTTCCTTTTCAAATTGTTAATTCAACATTCTTTTCTCAAATGAACAATCCTTTTGTAAGGCGAATAATTATCCCACTTCTCCTGAACGACGTTTTGCAAGATTTAAAAATAATACTTCATTTGTTGAATGTGGAGGGATACCTGTTTCATAGGATTCCTTTTTAGTGGCAGGATTGAGGACCGGGATGACATTGGCTTCTAGACAAACTGGTCTGCCTGCTCTCCAGGCTGTGATTGTTCAGTTGGCATCATGGTAGAATCTCTGTAATAAAGAATTGCATTAAAGGAAGTTTGTATTTCTTATGAAGAATCCCATCAAATAATTCACTAAGGATTTTGGAAAGAGAAACCAAATTCTTTAAAAAGCAGGGAGAGGGCAAAGGAGAAGGAAAAAGAACGTTAAACAGTTCATTTATACTAATGGCCCTTGTGTTATTGTGGCAAAATTTCTTCTAAATAAAAGTCAGAGAGGAAAAACAAGCTTTGTTTGGGAGGTGTACTGTCTGTTCTCTGCCTTGTTTTTCTGCTCTGAAGTATAGTGTGCTGTCTTGACGTAGGTATGTAACTGCTATGAATATTGATGGCAGCAAAAGCTTTTTTTTTTCTCTCTGGCCTAGTAAATAAAGCAGCAAGGATAAAAAGGGATGAATTGTAAAATCAGTGTGCTGTTTTTAGCTTCTCTGGTTCCCTTAGAACTCTTAAGTCTCAAACATATTGACAATCTGCCTTTGGTGGTCAGGGTCTGATGTGAGCACTGTGGGTTGGCATTTTCAGGGATTTTTGCCTCTGGTTGAAGTAACAGAGTTCCTTTTTCTTTGAGCTTTCAGAGTTAATGTTATGGCTTCATTGAGGCCTTCCTGTATCTTTCCCTCTATCCAGTGGCAATGCTGGTCCCTGCTCCTCAGAATACCGCAGTGGCCTGAGTGTGTGATCGTTCCTCCAGCAGCCACGCCTCGCATGCCTCCCGAGCAAGCACTCCTCTGGGGGATATGGCAGGGAATGGGGCAACGGGGAATCTGGACAGTAAGCAAGGAAGGGCATCCTCGTAGCTCTGAGCGTGGCATTTCATGTAGCTGTATGAAGGGCATGGGGGAAGAAGGCATGGGGGCATGGGATGAGCCTGGCTAAGAACAGGACTGGTCTGAAGTCTAGAGGGGGCATGAGTATAGAGGTTGGAGATGAGCTAGGCTTTCTAAATTAAATTATAAACACACTGATGCTGGCTAACTCTCAAAACACACACACACACACACACACACACACACACAATTCGTTCACTAGACTGTTATAATGGTGTTCTGAGGAGCAAAGGGAGCTTTGGAGGGCAAGTGTTTAGAAATGACAGGAACCACAACAGCCCTGTCCTTGGAAGGAAGCCCTGTTATATGACCAGTGAAGAGTGGAGAATGGGGGCAAAGACTGGGATGCATGGCCATGGCTGCATGGTGGTCAAGAGGGAGGATACCTGTGGCACGACAAAGGGATGTTCTGCCTGGCACGGCCGGTGACAGAGGGGAAGCGATTCTGGCAGCAGACAGCCGGAGCCCAGGGGCAGCACAGGCAAGGCTTCCATTTAAATGCACAAGGGTGTTGGGGATACTGCAAGCAAACATTTAATAGGTGACGGTTCCTCAAAGGGTCAGGCTTATGGGAATCATCCTAAAATTTGTGTTTTTAAAAATGTTTCTGAATATAAAGTGTTCTCTTCAGAAACATAAAATTTATTTTCAAATACACATTTGCCTATTGCATAAAAATATATAATAGTGATAATATATAGCAAAGTGCTTTTTTTCCCCCTGGAATCCGTTGTGAAAAGGCAGGGGTGGCCTGATGGGAGGGCTGAAGATAGAGAATCGCTCTTGTCAGTTACTACTTTTGTGACTCTTGAGAAATTCTCTGTGTGTACATTCAAAACTTCCCCCTCCACACACCTCCCCCCCACACCAACAGACTAAATGACAGGTACCATAGTGGGGACATTTTTCTGGCTCCTGGTACAGTGCCTGTCATTTAGAAGTGGTGTTCACGTGTTTCCTGAGCCTATTTTATTTTGACCTCTTGCCCTAGGCATTTTAATGAGTGAATTTCATGACCTCCATTTCTCTAAGGTATTGGTAACTTTTCGGGTCCCACTGATATTAGTATAGGACTCTATAGTTCATATTGGAAAGTTACAGTTGCTGATGATACTTTGTTATTTAAGTAGCTTCATGCCGAGGAATGCCTCTTGCAAAGTTAATTACACACATCTCTGTTGGTCCATGTTTCTATTGAAACTGAAGCTGTATAAAGAAAACATTTGTAAAAGAGGAAGGAGTCAAAGTTTTTAGACTTGCTGATTGGTATGTTTTCCACAGCTCATGGAGTTGCATGGGTTGGAACTGGAAAGGTTCTACGAGTCATTTAGCCCGTGAGCAGCACCTGTGAGGTCTGTGGCAGTCAGATGGGCATGGCTGCTGGGATGGATACTAGAGGAAAGGTCAGAGGCTCTGCCTAGGTTTCCTGGGAAAGTGCATGATGACCTGTCACAAGTTCAGCCGGGAGAGGCGGCATGCCAATAAGCAGGCAGGGTGTTTGCCATCCTGAATTTACTTCCCTTATTGTGTGGATGCAAAAACTTATATCCAGAGGAGGAGAAGGACTTGTCCAAGGTTACCTTGCTACTCAGTGACAAAGCTGACTGTGACTTCGAACTCAGACATAAACCCAAGAGGAAGAGAGGGTCAAAACAGATGCATCTTCATTTTTTCCAGAGGATGAATTTCTTCTGTTCAAAGACACCATTGGAATCTTTGTTGTACCCTTGTGCTTTTCTGGGCCTGATTTGGCAACCTCAGGAGGAAAGCATGCTGCGTTTTGCAAATGTGTGCAAATAACAAACATGCCTGTTATGTCCTAGGCAGACTCATCACACGCATTGGGGCAGTTGGCAAAATGCAGTCATGCAGCCTGGAACGAAAAGTGTTGCACACGTAGTTGCTTATGAGAAATTCAGTGTTAGAATGTAAATGCCTTCCTGGCCCAGGGGCAGTGTAATTGTTCCATTTCTCATAATGAAACTTTGTTTGGAGGGAAATGCTTATATGTCTAAGGTGTTGATTCTAATCTCTGTTCCTTTTTCTGTCTCCTCTTCCTCCCCTGCCCCTGCTTTTTTGGTATGTTTCTTTGTTTTTCTTCACAGGAAAAAGTAGAATATGCCTTCCTGATTATTTTTACAGTCGAGACATTTTTGAAGATTATAGCGTATGGATTATTGCTACATCCTAATGCTTATGTTAGGAATGGATGGAATTTACTGGATTTTGTTATAGTAATAGTAGGGTAAGTCTCTTTTACTTTGGGGAAATGTTGATTTGGAAAATGGGAGGTGGAGGTTGGGGGGGGTGGTGGTAACAAAACAGTCTTTTTAGGGAATGTGGTTGCTCTTTTATGCCAGCTGTTGCACCAGAACCTCTCAGGAGTTCTTTTAAGGCTGGTGATGCTGCTGTCAGTCTCTGGGCAGATACTAGTTTGAAATTCTCTCGTTGTTACTCCCGTTTTTAGTAACATGTTATAGAAGGGAGTCTGAACTCCTAATATGAGAGGCTTTACCTAACACGGTCTTGGATCTCCAGAAATAGACCAACCCTGTTGGTGATTAGAGTCAAATGAGTAGAGCTTTTAATACTTAGTGCCAATGTTAAGTTAAAAAAAGTAAAAAGTAATAAAACCTTCATAGCAGTAAGGTACTCTGCTATTTAACATCCCTTGAGCAAAGCTATTAATTTTCTTTTTTTTTTTTTTTTTTTTTTGCTGACTTGCGGGAGAAACTCTGGCATACTACTGTTCCATTTTAAATAATGAAACAAGTGTCTGGATAATGTCACGTATCTGGCATAAAATGAAATAAGCTAGAAAATGCAGAGAAGCAGGTGTTCCACCAAAATCCTGTTGCAGGAAGAAGACATCAGTAGTTTTAGTGAAAGGAGAATGTTAAAATAAAAAATAGTGGCCTGTGTTATTTTAGTCCTTCCACACCTGGAAATGTTGCCAGGAAGAGAAAAATGAATCCATGTTACAGGAATGCTGGGTCTTTGGACCAAATACCCATGTAGGAAGATAAGATATATCCTTTTTCCCAGTCTTAGTTATGCTAGCTGTAAAGTGAGTTGCTCCTCAAATTATGTTTCTGTAAATAGCCTCTCTGTTTTCATCTTCATGACTTCAGTGAACTGCCTTTTGCAGTTGAGCAAGGTGATTTTTCTTGTGGATTATCCTTTTATCATGAATCTTTTGCCTTTTCATTGGAGACTAATTCTGCTGGGTATTGGGAGAGTGGAATTGGTTGTGGGCCTTCCTAGGTCCTTTCAACCTAGGAAGTTAATATGAGATCCTAATTGCCCAGTGGGACAATTAGACTTGTGGGAAACAAGTTAGCTTTTCAAACCGCCCCCGCCGCCAATACATTGTCATTTAAGGCATCATTGCAAAAGAAGTGTACCAAAATGAACAGGTAGCAGATATGTGCCGTACTTTCCTGTATTTGGTGGACTCTGTCGAGGAATGGCAAGCCGAAGCCTTGCAGGTATGTTGGTTCTGGGATAATCTGGCTGTGCCTCTTCTGCCACTGGACTTTTTGTTCAGCTAGGAATGGAGATGCTTAGCCCCATTTCTTGCGTCACCGTGCTATGATCACCTCATATTTCTGCCTGGAGACATTTTTCACACTACAGCACAGCACAAGGACAGGGAACCAAGTGGAGCATGGTGGTCTTATTGAGTTAAGGAGACAGACAAGAGTTTGGGGAGGCAGAATAGGGGAGGGGAGGGAGCTATTTAGAGAAAGAGCTTCATAAATATGCCTTAGAGTACTCTTCAGTTTTGGCTGAGGGCTAAGCTACGCCTACACGGAGTTGTGAGTCCATGAGGCCAGGAAAGACCACTACTAGGGAAAAGAGAAAGATCAGGGAGCTGTAAAATGAATAATAACCAGGGCTCACAAAGGACTGGAAGGCATTCAAATTCTGACTAATTAGGGTGGAAAGACCTCATTGAACACCCTGGACTGTCAGTAGAGACCCCACAGGGCCACTGGTAGTAGTGCTAAACTGGCTCTAGAGCAGGGGCTGGCAAACTGTGGCCAATGGGCTAAGTCCTAGCCCATCTAGCCTGCCACCTATTTTTATAAATAAAGTTTTATTGTAACATGGCCACACTCATTTGTTTACATAGTTCAGTTTGAGTAGTTTAGGTCTACAAAACCTAAAATATTTAAATATTTACTATTTGGCCTTTTACAGAAAAAGTTTGCCAATTGCTGCTCTAGAGTACAGAGACTACCTGAAATCCTTGCTTACAATGTTTGAAAAGAAGTCTGAAAAGAAGCAAACTAGGCTGGGCATGGTGGCTCATGCCTATAATCCCAGCACTTTGGGAGGCCGAGGTGGGTGGATCACCTGAGGTCGGGAGTTCAAGACCAGCATGGCCAACATGGTGAAACCCCCTGTCTACTAAAAATGCAAATATTATCTGGGTGTGGTGGCGCATGCCTGTAATCCCGGCTACATGGGAGGCTGAGGCAAGAGAATCGCTTGAACCTGGGAGGCAGGGGTTGCAGTGAGCCAAAACCATGCCACTGCACTCCAACCTGGGTGACAGAGTGAGACTCCATTTCAAAAAAAAAAGCAAACTGATATGCTAACTGAACTGCCTGCCAGAACATAACTCAACATTCTTTAAAGGAAGACAACAAAATCCAGACACTGAACATATGAAGAAATGTGACCCATAACCAGGAGGAAACTCCGTCAGTAGAAACAGATCCTGAAATGACAGAGATGATGGAATTAGAGAAGGACTTCACAAAGCTTTAAAAACTGCTGTTATAAATTTATGGACTTAAAGGGATACCTGATTATAGTAAGGAAAGATGGGACAATATAAAAAAAAACAAATGGAACTTTAAGAGATGAAAAATATATCCAAAATGAAAAATTCTCTGGTTTGGCTTAACCTCAGCTTAAACACTATAGAAGGAAAAAATATCAGGGAATTTGAACATATGGCAATAACATGAAGAATAATGATTGAGGAGAAAATGAATACTGCCTCTGTGGCCTGTGGGGGAATAACAAGTGGTCTAACATATATATATATTTGGAGCCTCAGAAGGAGAGGAGAGAAAGAGGAGACAGAAAAAAAATTTTGAAGAAACAGCTCCAGATTTTCCAAATGTGATGAAAAATGAAACTCACAAGAAGCTCAGCAAAGCCTGAGCAAAATAAACATGAAAAAAGCCACATCAAGCACATCATAATTGTAATCAAATTGTTAAAAACCAAAGATAAGGAGAAAACCTTAAAACAGAGAAAAGAAAATCTCAGACTATTTGTCAACAACTATGCAAGCCAGAAGACAATAGAGAGACATCTTTAAAGTACTGGGGAAAAATGTCAACCTAGGATTCTCACTCAGTAAAATATCTTTCAGAGTTAAAGTCAAAATCAAAATTTTTTCAGACATTCTAGAGTTTCAGAATTCATGACTAATAGACCTGTACCTCAATCAGTGTTAAAGACAGTTCCTCAGGGCTGAAGGAAAATGACACGAGGTAGAAAAGTGGATCTACACAGAAAGAAATGAAGAGTACCAGAAAGTGGCTCTACACAAAAAAGAATGAAGAGTACCAGAAAGGGTAAATACGTGGGTACATATACAGATATTTCTCCCCTCGTTTAAAAATTTCTTTAAAGGTAATTATTTAAAGCAAAAATAATAACAGTGTATTGTGGTGTCTATAGCTTCTATAGAAATAAAGTACATGACAATGGTAGCATGAAGAATAGGAACAGGGAAATAGCCATATGGTCTTGTGATGTACTTATACAGTAGTTGGAATGATTAAATATTATCTGAAGATAGACTGTGATACCTTTAAGATGTATATTGTAAACCCTAGAGTATGGATTGGTGAGCTACAACCTGTAGACCAAATCTAGTTTGAGCCTTTTTTTCCCCCACCATTGACAAAGTATTTTATTTACTGCCTACTTTGGCAAATAAAGCTTCATTGTAATTCAGCCACATTCAGTCATGCCTATGGCTATTTGGTATTATAATGGCAAAGTTGGGTAGTTGTGACAAACCCTATGGCCTGCAGATTCTAAAATATTTACTATTCGGCACTTTATAGAAAATGTTTACTGACACTTGCCTTAGAGAAGCCACTAAAAAAGAAAATCCCAGGTCTATCTAATAAGCCTATTGTAGAGATTAAATGGAATTTAAAAAAAACCCCTAAATCCAAAACAGGCAAGGAAGAAGAAAAAAGGAACAAAGGACAGGACAAATAGAAAACAAACGGCAAGTTGCTAGATTTAAACCTAGGTAAATCCTTATTAAAATCATTATCATGAAGAAAGGATAATGGCCTTTCTTTGTGTCCATGTGTTCTCATCATTTAGCTCCTACTTATAAGTGAGAACGTGTGGTATTTGGTTTTTTGTTCCTGCGTTAGTTTGCTAAGGATAATGGCCTCCAGCTCCATCCACGTGCCCACAAAAGAAATGATCTTGTCCTTTTTTATGACTGCATAGTATTCCTTGGTGTATGTGTATCACATTTTCTTTATCCAATCTGTATTGATGGGCATGTAGGTTGATTCCATGTCTTTGCTATTGTGAATAGTGCCACAGTGAACATTAACATGCATGTGTCTTTATGGTAGAATGGTTTATTTTTCTCTGGGTGTGTACCCAGTAATGGGATTTCTGGGTCAAGTGGTAGTTCTGTTGTTAGCTCTTTGAGGAATTGATACACTGCTTTCCACAATGGATGAACTAGTTCACACTCCCACCAACAGTGTATAAGCATTCCCTTTTCTCTGCAACCTCGTCAGCATCTGTTATTTTTTGACTTTTTAAGAGTAGCCATTTTAACTGGTGTGAAATGGTATCTCGTGGTTTTGATTTGCACTTCTCTAACGATCAGTAATATGAACTTTTTAAAATATGCTTCTTGACCACATGTATGTCTTTTGAATAGTATCTCTTCATGTCCTTTGCTGACTTTTTAATGGGATTTTTCTTTTTTTCTTGAGAAGTTGTTTGAGTTCCTTATAGATGTTGGATATTAGACCTTTGTCTCTCATTCTGTAGGTTGTCTTTTTACCCTGTTTCTTTTGTTGTGCAGAAGCTCTTAAGTTTAATTAGGCCCATATGTCAGGTTTTGCTTTTGTTGTGATTGCTTTTGGCATCTTAGTCATGAAATCCTTGCTCATTCCTATGTCCAGAATGGTATTGCCTAGGTTGTCTTCCAGGGTTTTTTATAGTTTTGGGTTTTACATTTAAGTCTTTAATCCATCTTGAGTTGATTTTTGTATATAGTATAAGAAAAGGGTCCAGTTTCAATCTTGTGCATATGGCTTGCCAGTTATCCCAGCATGGTTTATTGAATAGGGAGTCCTTTCCCCATTGCTTGTTTTTGTCACCTTTGTCGAAGATCAGATGGTCGTAGGTGTGTGGCCTTATTTCTGGGCTCTCTGCTATGTTCTGTTGGTCTGTGTGTCTGTTTTTGTATGAGCACCATGCTGTTTTGGTTACTGCAGCCCTGTATTATAATTTGAAGTCAAGTAGTGTGACACTTCCAGCTTTGTTGTTTTGCTTAGGATTGCCTTGGCCATCCAGGCTCCTTTTTTGTTCCATATGAATTAAAAAAATTTTTTTTCTAGTTATGTGAAGAATGTCATTGGTGGTTTGATAGGAATAACATTGAATCTGTAAATTGCTTTGGGCAGTATGGCTAATTAATTGATATTGAGTCTTCCTATTTGTGAGCATGGTATGTTTTTCCATTTGTTTGTGTCATGTCTGATTTCTTTGAGCAGTGTAAAACCATGAAATTTATAGTAGAAAATATTGGATAAAATCTTTATGACCTCAGTGTAGCCAGAGATGTCTCGGGACACAAAAAGCTCCAGCCATGAAACAGTAATTGAAAATGTTGACTTTATCAAAATTTAAAACTTTTCTTCAAAAGACAGTGTGAAGACAATGAAAAAGCAAGGCACAGATTGTGAAAAATATTCACAATACATACACTTGTATTCAGAATATATAAAGAACTCTTACAACCCAATAGTAAGAAGACAACCCAATAAACAAATAGGTAAAAGATTTGAACAGATCTTCACAAAAGAAGATATGTGAATCATCAACAAACATCTGAAAAGATGCTCAACATTGTTAGTAATTAGAGAAATGCAAATTAAAACTACAGTGACAGTACTGCATACCCACTAGTATTACTAAATGTAAAAAGACTGAACATACCAAGTCTTAACCAAAATATGGAACAACTGGAACTCTCATACACCACTTGTAGAAATGGAAAATGGTATAATCACTTTGGAAAAAATGCGCCCATTTCTTACAGTGTTAAACATAGACTTACCATATGACCATATTACCAGTTCTACTCTTAGGTGTTTATCCAAGAAAAATGAAAACACATGTCCCCAAAAAAACTTTATTCATAATAGAGAAAAACTGGAAGCAACCCATATATCCCTCAACGGGCGAATGGATAAACTCATTGTGATGTATTTGTGTAATGGGATATTACAGAACAACAAAAAGAAATGAACTGCTGATAAAACAACGTGGATGAGTGTCAGAAACATTATGGTGAGCAAAAGAAGATGAGCCAGGAGAACATACTATGTGATTCCATTTATATGAGTTCTAGAAAAAGAAAAAAAAAAACTCTACCGATAAACAGCCAATCACTGGATACTCAAGGCTGAGCTTCAAGGGAAGCTCTGTACAAGGCTGTGCAAAAGGGGCACAAGAGAATCATTTAAAATGTTGAAACCTTCCCTATCTTGATCATGGTGTTTGTTGCTTAGGCTTATGCATTTTTCAAAACCCATTGTACACTTTAAATGAGTGTGTTTTATTATAGATAAATTAAACTGCAATATAAAGTGATTTAAAATGCAAAAAAAAGGAAACTGAAGTAGAACTGGACTCTAAGAAAAACTTCAGAACATCAGATTATTTTTTATCTAAAATATGTATGAAATTGGAGTCAAAGAACAGAAGAAAGGTTTTAAAAAAGAAAAGGAAGAATTATGATGTCTTCATTTGAATCAAATTCCTACTCACTACAGTTTCCAACTACAGTCTGTATCTCAATCCACTGGATTTTTCCATTCCAACAGTGACCTATTGCTTTTGTCAAGATTCCCAATAGTCAAGACATTAAGAAAGTAATTGATATTTCTAAAATGTTAACTGTTAATGTGACCACAAGAGGACTCAGTGTGTCTGCCAGAGCTGAAGTTATTCCTTTAGAGAAAAGTTTGATCTAAGCCAACTCTTATCCCATGCCTCCAAATTTCAATAAAGATATATTTCAAGCATTCAGGCTCTATTACTTAAGCTTTTTTTGAAGAACGTGAAGGCTTGTATGTGACTCCTCATTCTGGTGCTTCTGACTTTAGTCAGTTTAGACAGCTCCTTGTCTTTTTTCTCCCACCTTGGGGTAAACTTTTAATAACAATCTAGAGTCAGTTACTCCTTTCTCATCCTGTCCTTATCTCTTCAGGCCCGTGGCACTTTTTTTTTTTTTGAGAGGCGTGGTGGTGAGGAACAGAATCACGGAATATTAGAGTGGAAAGGTCATTCTCTGAGTCGTTAAATCCAGTTTTGTCATTTTATAGAGAGGAGAACTGAGGCCCAGAGAAGGAGAGGGACTTTCCTAATATCTCATAACTCTTAGGAGTGGAAACCAGCCCCGGCCCCTTGCAGCCCTGCACTGTGTGGGAACACAGCCTGCTTCTCTCTCTGACTTGGCCTCTTTGGTGGCAAGAGAGAGACATTTTTCATGTGTTTTCAAGGACATTGCTGAAGAACAAGGAATAAAGGGACCATGATGTATATGTTGCAAAACATGGATACTTGAAAGCAGTCTTCAGTCACTACCTGCATAAATTACTTTGCTAACCCTTTGGGGTGAAAATTCCTGTGGCTTGCACATTTCAGAAGAGTTTGAGGTTTTCTTTCTTTCTTTTTCTTTGTTTTTCTGAAGCTATGAATTTGTTTTGGAGGAGAGACTTTTCACTTTAGCCTTGCTGCAGGGATTTACAGTAATCTTTTAAAAACTATGCTGAAGAGAGAGAAGCCTGTCATAAATTTGATCTATTTCCTCAGTCATAACTAGGGAGAGCTCACCATCTGAAGCTTTGTAAAGGTAGAGACCGGGCTTGTTTTCCCTCCTGGCTGGGTTCGTTGCTAATTGCTGTACTGTTATTAAAACAAAGGGCTGATCTATAAATGCCCCAGAACTACACAACTATACCCAATCAGGGCTGTAATCAGACCACCCGATGTTTTATGGACTCGGTGTCTTGGCAATCCAGAGGCACGCCAGTGGGGGCAGTTTCTGCTTTGTCTGCTCATTAAACTTTGGACACCTTTTCTTTGTTGCTGGGCCAGTCATTCCCACAATCTGATTGGCCAGAGTTGATGCTGTTTGAAATGGGCAAATTTTATACTTACTCTGAAAAACGAGCAATAATTCCAAAGAGTATTTGTTTAAAAGAGCAAAAGTCACTGTTAAATGAGCAGATTGCCTGAAAATAGATTTATCTGAACGTTCTGAGACTAGGAAAAAATTTATTGTGGCTGCCAGGTACAATATTATTCACATTTCAAGAGAGAGAATGATGATATTAATACCTTACCTTAGGTAACTGCCTTTAGCCTTTGCACAGCTCCTTAGTATCTGTGATTTACATCCTCCAAATATCCCTATGAAGGTGAAGGTTGGGGTGTGTGTGTTAGTGACTACATTGACTACATATAACATATTAAGATGTGAGACTTTGAAGTCATTCATTGATTGATTCATCAGATATTTTTGGAGTACTTCCTATGTGTCAGATACTGTAATAGGCACTAGACTAGAACAGACCACATGCACAAATGAGCAGAACAGACTAAAACTCCTTGCTGTTACAGAACCTGTGTTCTAGTGGGGTCCACATGCCTGTGTTTACATGTGTTGCTGCTAGTTGTGTGACCTTGGGCAAGCTACTTATTCCTATCGAGTTTGTTTTCTCGTGTGTAACATGGTGTTCATAATTGCTGCTGCATAACATTTTGTGAGAATTAATGTGACAATGTATGTGCAGTGCTTAGCACATAGCAAGTGCTCATGAATGGTAGCCACCAAGATGGCTGTTGTCATTTTAGTTTGCAGCAGTTCCACTTGTCATCATTGAGTTCCCAGGGAGTCCCCTCTTCTTTGGGAACAGACTTGCTCTCTGTTGCTCCATTGCGGTAAAAACAGATGAGGTTAATCCCTGTCCCAATCATTTTGGAGATGGCGTCGTTTGTATTCCAATTCCACAGCCCAGTTCTTGTCTTTGTCTTCCTTTTATTTAAGCAGCAGCCACACAGAATTAGCCCTTTTCAAAAATAAATAAGATTATCATCCTGTTTTGCGTCCCTGGGGTAACAGACTCTAACATTTCTTTCTCTTTCTCTTCTTTCAGATTGTTTAGTGTAATTTTGGAACAATTAACCAAAGAAACAGAAGGCGGGAACCACTCAAGCGGCAAATCTGGAGGCTTTGATGTCAAAGCCCTCCGTGCCTTTCGAGTGTTGCGACCACTTCGACTAGTGTCAGGAGTGCCCAGTAAGCACTTATTGTTTCCTAGAGTCAGGAGTGTGCTGGTTTTTTCTTCCAGGTGGGTTTCAGAATCACTGGTGCTTTGAGGTGAGTTGCTCTGTGCCAGCCAGGGGTCAGCAGATGACCATGGCCTCCTTCACAGTTGACAGGACACTTTGGCTTGCACTGTCACGTTGGATCCCCATGACAGAATGACAGGCAGTTATTGTCATTCTGATTTTGTGGACGAAAGAATCTTCTCTTGCAGAAAGACAAGGTGAGGTGTTGGGGTGAGACCTTGGGTTCAGGCCTTTAATTCCAGTCTATTTTTCCTCTCTGGCAACATGCTGCCATCCACGCCTCCACTCCCAGGCCTGCCCCTCTGAAAGTGGTGGGTTTGTGGATGAGGGTGTTGGAGTACTTAGCTGCGTGCCTTTTTTTTTTTCCCCAAATGGGGAGCATCAGAGGGATGGACTCCTGGAAACTCTGATTAGATCCTCTACTATCAGGAACTGTGCTACCCAGCTCTGGGGGAAGGGATGAATGCTTCTTACCTGGTGACAGGGCACAGGAGTACCTGCCTTGAAGGCTGTTGTGAGAACTGAGTGAGATAATGGAGGGAGAGCCCCTAACAGGATGTCTGGAGCACAGAGGCTCTCAGTGGGTGAGAGAGAGAGTTTTAGCCGTTAGGCCCTACCATACCACTCAGTGCCAGGCCCCAGTGTGCTTCTGGCTCCAGGCCCCCAGGCCAGGTTAAATCATACCTGAGTTGGAATAGATGCCCTGTCTGTGCCCTGGCCAACAGCTGCAGCCTCTTATCCTTCCATAAGGTGTTTGGGGTTGCCTCACTGGGCTCTGCCCCTGATAGGACTCCTGTGTTGGGGACTTCCATGGGTAGAAGTCCTAACACCTTTCTGAGGGCTGGTGCGTCTGAGCAAGAATATGGGATTGCAGGGTGTGCCTGTTTTTCACAACTCATAAAGCCATCAGAAGAACACAGATCACATTTTTTGCCTCTCCAGAAGTTCTTCATGAAATTTTTATTAAATTTGTTGGCACTTAGAATGCACCAAAAATCCTCTGGAAAAAAAAATTTCCAAATTTAACATTTTAAAATGTAGGAAGTGGTGTTTTATGTGTACTTGTTTTTCCAGATGGTTCATTTATTTTCATTGAAAAAGATCAGCACAAGTCAAAACCACAGAACTGTGTGGAATCAATTGAGAAAAACAGAAATACCTTGGAAATGACTGGCTCTGTTAAGTGTAACACGATTAAATGAGAAGTTCAGTGAGCAAACATGTTCTTCCAGATTTAGTTGTTATAGCTTAATCTAATTTCAAAGTAACCACGACAGCTTTTTCCCCCAAAGAGCAAATAACAGGACAGCCTGTCTATGGTATGTGTTGTGTGCAGACTTTGGGGGCTGTGGCTGTGTGCGTGTGTGCGTGCGAGCTTCTGGCCAGTGAAAAATCCAAGAACTCACATAGCATTGTGTCTGCTTCCTTGGCTAATGAGGTTTTTACTAAACTAGTGCAGTGCTCCTAGATATTGAGAATTAGTTTTAAACTGTATTTCTTCCTTTCCCCAACAGACATCACTGTTTGAAATTTGATAGGGAGATTTGTATGTAACTCTCCCCCAGGTCAGCAGGGAAAAATGTGAGTCTGAGTCTTGTATGAGGACTTTTGAGCTTATATTTTTAACCACCTAGGTAGGGAACATCCCAGTCTCTCATCAAACTCAAATAGGCTTTTGAAGAAAAGGATCAGAGGTTGTCGGATGTGCTGTTTCTAGTGCTGGTTGGCAGCCGTGGCCTGCTGATTTCTTCTCTAGTACTTGAAGTTGTTAAAAATGTCCAGGAATGTTTGACTGTTTACACTTATCTTGGAATTGTTTAGTCCCTGCTAAAGAGAATCCAGACTGTTCTGTAAGACATAATTTTGTGTGCATGTGTGTATGGAAATATATATTCATTCAGTGAAAGGTAAATTTATTTCACAAGGTGGTGAATCAGGCATTTGTGGAGTTCTTAAGCACCCACATTAAGAGACTGAGGGAGAATGGGCAGGAACCGAGAACCCACCCTGGAGACCAGGCCTTCTGACCCCTGTGTTGACGTCCCCCATTCTCTCCACAGCCCCGCGACCTCAGCACTACTGTGCTGCTCACTGTTTAACTTCTTACCTTCTCTTTCCCTGTCCTTCCGTGTTGGACAGGGAAACATTTATCAAAGTTCAAGACCATCAAAGTGGAAAAGAATCCTAAAGATCATCTGGTCTACCTGCATCTTTTAGACAAGGAAACTGAGGCCTGTTGGAGGTAGTGACTAGTGTAAGTTCTCACAGCTAGTGAGTAGCCAGACAGAACCAGACCCACGATCTCCACATTTCTGACCCGGTGTTCTTCCCACTTCTGCCTCCTTGACTAGAGTCCCATGAGATCCACTGAGATCTACCGTACATGTTGATTATGTACAAAGGAGCGGAATGCAATAAAGTATACATGTTCACAGTCGGATACAACTTTATCATCTCATAAATGTGACAAATCTGAAATACAGTAGTTACTCTAAATGTAAAAAATATTCACAAAGCTTACTGCCATGGAATTTAGAAGAGCTAACTGCTGGGGGTTAGTTTTGCATGGCCCATTGGTGTCTCAAGAAAACCAAAACAATGATAGAAACCTGGCCATGGGGATTGGAACGGGTGTCGTCTTTTCCTTTCCATGTGTTCCTTGTAGGAGGTAAAAATATTGAAAATCATCCTAATTGATCATTTTTGAAAAAACCATGTGGACATTTACATATCCAAAGATGTAGCACCCAGAGTTTTAGTTGTAATAGAGGTTGTAGCAAGGCAGGGTCGTGCTGAGTCTGAAATCCTCTTACTGCTCTTCCCTCACCATCCTCTCCCCTGCCTCCTCCTGTGCTGCTTATCACGGTAAAGATTTGTCATTATTGCTAAGTCTTCTCTTTGCTTGCTGTATTCTGGTTTCCGATGTAAGCATCTCAGCTTCTTGCATTCTTTCTTTCCTGACTATGTATTGGGAAAGTGAGATGATAGCAGAAGATGGAAAGTTTGAAGGTGGAGAGACAACAGGGAAGGACAGGGAAGGAGAAGGTAAGAAGGAAAAGAGTGAGCAGCACAGTCGTGCTGAGGTCGTGGGGCCATGGAGAGGATGGGGGATGCCAATGCAAGGTCAGGAGGCCTGGTCTCCAGGGCAGGTTCTGGATTCCTGCCCATTCTCCCTCAGTCTCTTGGTTCCTCACAACCAATCCTAATCCTGAGTGCTGCCCCCATCCTTCTTTTCATGACCTCTTTTTCTGTCCCTTGGCGGGTAGCCTTACCCACACTCTGGCACTGAGTATGACTCCATGGGTAGCTTCTATTAGGTTGGTGTGAACGTAATTGCGGTTTTTGCCATTGAAAGTAATGGGTCTGAGTCTGAGGATTTCAGACTCAGCAAGACCCTGTCTTCCTAAGACCTCCATGGCAGCAAAAGTTTTAAATGTAGGAAATAATCGTCTCTCTCTCTCTCTCTCTCTTTTTTTTGGAGACGAAGTCTTGCTCTGTCACCCAGACTGGAGTTGCAACCTCCACCTCCCAGGTTCAAGTGATTCCCCCACCTCAGTCTCCCGAGTAGCTGGGACTACAGGCGCACACCGCCACACCCAACTAATTTTTGTATTTTTGGTAGAGATGGGGTTTCATCATGTTGGCCAGGCTGGTCTCGAACTCCTGACCTCAAGTGATCCATCTGCCTCGGCCTCCCAAAGTGCTGGGATTACAGGCGTGAGCTACCTCACAAGGGCAGAAGTAATCATTTCTCATGTGCCTGTCTCTCAAGACCACATTTCAGCTTCAGGACACGTCTACCTTAATGTTACATAATACCAACATCATACTTAACAAGGCTCAAGTCAGTCTCAACCTCCCCCTTCCCCTCCCACCTCCCTCATTCCTGGAGAACCTCCCTTTGGAATGCTTAGTTTTGTTGGGGACACTGGGATTTTGCCTCAAGACCCTGGCTCAAATAACTGGTGTGCTCCATAGGTACCTTCCTCTCATTCTGACTCAGTTGCTGAGTTCTGGTCTCATCCTGATCTTCACCCTCACCTACCCCAGCATTCTTGAACTACCTCTCTGTGTGTCTGGCCTGCTGCTGTCCTGTTGGTCTTTCTAAAGCAGCTGCCTTTTGCTAGTGATCTAAAGTTTGGCTTCATGACCTGGATTCAACACCCACAACCCTGGCTGCAATCTACTTTTCTTTCGTGATTTTCTTTTCCACTAACCACCAATCAAGACTCACCACCCTCAAGCCCATACTGTGCTACTCTCCTCTGTGCTTTTGGTACTCTGTTCTTCTTCCCTGAAGTTGCCTCTCTCCCATGCCCACCTGTGGAAATCCACCCCACCTGGCCTTTGGGCTGTGCCCAGAGAGAAGCTGCCTCAGGACCCTTTCTTCACCCCATTCATCCCTACTTGTCACCTGCATGGACCTTGGGGGACTGAACAAAGGATGATGAACATGGGAATAAAGACAAAGACAAAAGAGTATATTTGGAAGAAGGGGTCAGGGGGCTCCTTGCTTCTAGTGAACAAGAGCCCTGAGCTTCAGAGCCTTTCACATTTTACTGGGTAAAGGAGATAGGGAGAGAGGGGAGTTGTTGTCGGTCAGCAGCTTGATTTACAGCAGACTTGCAAGACTGCATTCTTCTAACAACAGGCTCTAGATGTCCCAGTAGATAACCTCAATGAGCACGGTGCCAGGGAGTGATTGCCCTCAGCAAACCTGGCGGTAGGCACAGTCGTGAGTTTGCCCACATCCTGCATTCATGATAAACAGTTTGCTGTTTGATCATATAGCCTCCAGTGGAATGCTGAGTTGGTCACAATCCCTTTGGCCTTTTCAACTCCCAACACCTATTAATTTTAACTATTGGGATATTTATATAGCATCTATGTGCTACCCCAGGGTAGAGTTATTTGTGTTTAATTCTATGTCTCCTAGAATATAATTTTTTGAGGGAAAACATTTTACATAAACCGTCTTCATATTGCTCCAAAGCACCAAACCTTATGATTTCCACATGGTAGATGTTTAAGAGATTTTGTCAGATGGATGAAGAAATGCATAAATGAATGATGAACTTTGACATTGGGCAGTCCCCTCCCTAGGCCTTAGTTTTTCCCTCTGTCTAGTGAGGGAGTTTGACTAGATGATCCTTAAGGTTCCTTTTCAGTCTATCTCACATCCAGGCTTAATATTAATGAAAAGCTTTGAAATACCTCTTTGAATTTTATTACTATGTGTTCTAAGTAAAGGAGGCATGGTTAGGAATTATATATATGATTCATTGGAGTGCCTTCCTGGCTCACAAACTTATTTTTTTTTGTCTTTCCTAGGTTTACAAGTTGTCCTGAACTCCATTATAAAAGCCATGGTTCCCCTCCTTCACATAGCCCTTTTGGTATTATTTGTAATCATAATCTATGCTATTATAGGATTGGAACTTTTTATTGGAAAAATGCACAAAACATGTTTTTTTGCTGACTCAGGTGAGTAATGAGAATTGTAGCTAACTTAACTTTAAAATTTTTTTGTTTTCCCCAAAGCAACTTTCATGGTTTGGGGAAAATCTAAAACAAAATAGGAAAAAAAATGCCCAATATACCAGCACATTTACTGAGCCAGTTCTCAGTGTGAGCTATGTTCAGAATAGATGAGAATTCAGTCTCCCTTTCCACCCCGATTTCCTGTGTAATGTGTCCTGGCAAACAAGATAAGAGACCTCCAAAGTAAAAACATGAGGCAAACCAACAGCATTGTGCTATCTAAGCCTAAGGAGGATGCTGTAAGCGCAGGTGCAGAGGAAAAGAACCATGGATGCTGACAAGAGGAAATGGCAGATTCCGCTAAGGAGGGAGCATTTGAAGGGAACCTTGAAGGACAAGCAGGATCCTGAGGCAACGCAGATGGGGCGGTAGGGTGTCCCGGGCTCTGGCAAGGGTTCTCACCTTCCGCTGGCTTGGATTTCCTGATGTTTCTGTCCTGAGCGGTACAGCCTGTTTGCTCTGTTTGCAGATATCGTAGCTGAAGAGGACCCAGCTCCATGTGCGTTCTCAGGGAATGGACGCCAGTGTACTGCCAATGGCACGGAATGTAGGAGTGGCTGGGTTGGCCCGAACGGAGGCATCACCAACTTTGATAACTTTGCCTTTGCCATGCTTACTGTGTTTCAGTGCATCACCATGGAGGGCTGGACAGATGTGCTCTACTGGGTAAGTACCCTGGGGAGAGAGTTTATGGAGTGTTCTTTGCTTGGATAAGTGGGTTTTGTGAGCTAGAGCCACTGGAGAGGTGGCTGGAAAAGAAACCCTGAAGTCAGTTATTTGGGAAGGGAAGCAGATGCTGTCTTTACCAGCAGTCTTCATCATCCTGCTCCTCGAGGGCCTTAGTTTCAGTTGCAGGAAGCTGCTGCGCGATGTTGGCTTCTGGCTTTAGTCCTCTACTTCCCAGTGCTGCCTGAAGACCTGGTGCCAAGGGTGCCCAGTGGTCCCCTTTGGAGGAACTCCAGGAAGCCAGGGCTATCCTGATTCAACTCTTAAGAGAGCCAAAGGGTCACTTTCCAGGTAAGGAGGCTCCTGGACTGCCACAGGCTAAGGTTAATCATTTATACATCAAGGCAGGTTGCTCTACTAGATCCTAAAGGGAAGAAAGGGAATGTAAATCGGATCCCTTTCATGCTTTTCATAACTCAGTATAACCTTAAACCCAGTGTGAGTTTCTCCCATGATAATATTTCCCATTCTTTAGTATTACTATAAATCATCCCAGCACAAAACCTTAGCTGTCTTCCTTTCTATTTGAAGCTACAGACCTCTGGCAGAAAGGGTAGGAATGGCACGTAGACTTCCAGGGCTGGTGGACCCATCCAGCCTGCCATGAAAACAGTTGGACACTCTTTCAAGGCGAGGGTCTGATTCCTCTTGTTCCTGATAGAGCCAGAAAGATTTGCTGTATAAAAATAAGTGCTATAGCATTTTAACAGCCATTTCCCAGGGCTGAGTTTGTTAGAATGCAAATAAAGCTCACAGAAGTTTAGAAATTGTTTTTCACGGTATAAGAGTTGCTGGTAAAGACAGCTAACATGTAGATTTTGAGCCTAAATCCAAGTCCAAAGGGGAGTAACCAGGATTCCAATCATGAGTTGTTAAAAGGAAATTAGTAATAAAGTAGTTCTGAAATCAGCAGCTTTTAGACAGAAGGCCTGTAAATTGATAAGTAGCTTCTGGTAGTTTCTAAATTTTAGATACTTTTCAGGATTTCCTATACTCCATAACTTCAAAGAATGTAACATATAATGGTTATAAATAGGTTTTTGCTGCCCTTCAGCAGCTCACAGGATTGTAGATGTCCCTATATATTTAATATGAGGCAAAGAAGTTATATTTTTATCTTTAATCCCCAAAGTCAGTCTAGTTTGATCAGGTTTAAGCATCACCAACATGTTATATCTTGTTTTTCCTACTTCCCTTTCTTTTTCTGATTGTCATAGGAGTGTGAGTGTGTGTGTGTGTGTATGCATGTGTGTGTGTGTGTGTATGCACATCTGTTATTTATATTCATAAAACGTCTTTTCATAAAGAGGAAGGAGGAAGGAGATGATATTGGCTGAGCCAGGGGCATGGCTTCTGTATGCAGGAGGGCCCTCAGGTTAGGTGAAGCATTCATTTTTGCTATTATTTCCTAAATTGCAACTTCTAGTCAGATTAGTTGAGATCTCAATTCCAGTCTTCCCTTGAAGTTTTTCATAAATAGAAAAAGCATCATCAAAATAGCCCAAACTGATACTTCCCCTCCCCAAACAGTACATAAAACAACATTTTGATTTTTTTAAAAATCAAAATCTGTGACTCTTCTCAGCTTTGTTTTTCTCTCTATTGACATGGTGAATTGTCAGCTGCAGAGCCAACATGCCTTGACTGATGAAAAATTTTATACTTTATGTTATATTCCTTCACATCGATTCTCAGAATTTTCCTGTTGCCAAGCAAGTGTAAAACCTGGGAGTAGATGATTAAAGGAGAGGGAACTTCAGGCTCCTAGAAGCAAAAGTTTCCGCTTACTTTCCTGAGAAGGTTTAAATATCATCTAGGATGATATAATTACTATTTTTATTATTAATATGACAATCACGTGGTTAATACTTTGACAGTATAATTGCACTCTCCATAAATTACACAGCATCTTTATTCTGGTGGGGATCTCAAGCCATTCATAAACTTTATCCCAGTCTGTATCCCTTTATAGAAGGTCTGGGATCTTGAAGATGGAGACAGTGGCGTAGAGACCATGGAACATTCCCCGAGTTCTACAGCAAATGGTTGTGGTCCTTGATCTAGAACAGTGGTCTATAAACCTTTTCATAAGGGGGCAAATAGAAAATGTATTTGGCCTTGCAGGCTACATGGTCACCTCAGCAACTGTTCAGCCCTTCCACTATAGCTAGGAAGCAGCCATGGGCAATACATAAGCAAATGGATGTGGCTTTATTCTAATCAGACTTCATTTATGGACCCTGGAATTTGAATTTTGTATGATTTTTCTGTGTCATGAAATATTTTGCTTTTGATTTTTTCCCCCACCAACTATTTCAAATTGTAAAAATCATTTTTAGCTTGAGGCCATATAAAAGCATACAGCAAGCTAGATTTGGTCTGCAGGTCATGCTGTGGGACCCCCTGGCCTAGACTAGAACCCAGCACTCTTTCCTTGGCATTCTTCCACCTGTCAGCAGTTGATGAATCCTTCCAGAACACTAGGGGGCAGCTAAGTAATGTCTTCCCGACTGTTCTCTAAGATTTTACTCTCTGAAACACATCAGGATTGTTTTTAATTACCTGTTGATTGCATTTATTAGCTCATCATAGAGATAGGCAGGGGCCAAGGAACCAAGCCTTCCTAATATTTCATGGGCCACAGTCAGCTGGAAGCCACACCGCTGTGATACACAGCAGAACATCCCTGCCCAGCATGGTGCCTGGCACCGAGCAGGCACTCAATAAACACAAGGGATGGTCATCATCCTTCAAGTGTACCAGGCATATTGCCTCATTAGTGTAGATGTGCCATGTTTGAATATCTATTTTTATCCACAACTAGGGCATAAAGGGGACATCTTGGGAGATAAAAAGAGATTAGATTTTAAATATTGACTACAAGCACATTTCTGAATCCTTTAGGCACTTACATATGGTGGAC
The DNA here is from genome assembly GCF_000001405.40 of Homo sapiens. Taxonomy (NCBI): domain Eukaryota; kingdom Metazoa; phylum Chordata; class Mammalia; order Primates; family Hominidae; genus Homo; species Homo sapiens. Next base: position 53,669,519 of record NC_000003.12, read on the forward strand.
AAAGTCTTTGCGGGTCATTGTTTTGCATCTAGTCAAGTTTATATTCAGTCAGCGTTCTCAAGCTCATTTATGCCTTGCTTCTCACTAGTGTCTGGAAAATGTCTGGCAGGGTCTTGAGAAGGGAAGTAAAGGTGGGTCCAATATGTAGAAAGGCACACTTAGAACAGGACTATTTGGATGTGTGGGAAGTGGGATCATTAAGTTCTGGTGGAAAGAAACCTATGGTAGAGTTCTTTGATAAAGTGAGTTCCATAAATATAATTGAGCTGTTGTTTGACTCACATGTGAGTGTTTGTTGCTCACAGAGGCAGTAGGGTGTAGGGCAGGGAAAGAGTGTTTATTTAGCCTGGTTGTGTGACCTTGAGTAGTTCATGGAACCTCTCTGGGCTTCTCAAGATGCAGAAATAAACTTACATGATTTAATTTTTCCCTTCAACTTAGAGGAAATTTTTTTTCCTTCAATTCAAAGAAATTGTTTTTAAATGCAGGAAATAAAAAGTATTGGTTTCAGGAGACAGCTATCCAGATAAATAATTTCGGTGTCTTGTCTTAGCACCAAGCTCTTTTCTCAGTGCACACTCCTACGGAGGTGCTGGCTGTCAGACCTTCACGGGAAGTACTCATGGTCAAGCTGACAGTCTCCTTCATTCAGGGCACCTAGGAAATCTCTCTGTAACCAGCCGAGGGCTTGCCTTTTTCTTATTGCATGCTCTGGGGTGTTAAAACCAGTATACCAAGTTTCCAGAAGTGTTTTCAGCAGCTAGAAAAACAGCCTTGCATTGGTCTATAACTTGAGACATGAATATGCATTTCAACCTTTTATTTTTATTTTTTACATTTTTTTGAGACGGAGTTTTGCTCTGTTGCCCAGGCTGGAGTGCAATGGCGTGATCTTGGCTCACTGCAACCTCTGCCTCCGGGGTTCAAGCGATTCTCGTGCCTCAGCCTCCCAAGTAGCTGGGATTACAGGTCCTTGCTACCACGCCCAGCTAATTTTTGTATTTTTAGTAGAGACGGGTTTCACCATGTTGGCCAGGCTGGTCTCGAACTCCCAAACTCAGGGTGATCCACCTGCCTTGGCCTCCCAAAGTGTTGGGATTGCAGGCGTGAGCTGCTGCACCCGGCCCATTTCAGCCTTCTAAAAGAAGGAAAACTGAAGCTAAAAAGAAAATTATTTCCTGGGCACCAGATGACACCCCTTGATGACTTTGATATAAGTTTTTTAAAAATTAGTCTAAATTGAAGTCCTTCAGTGGAAGCCAGTTTCTTCATTGTTGATAAAGACCATACAGGCAAAATCCCAAGCAGTCTCTATTTTCACGTGGGTATTTTTGGGAACAGCTTGCATGTTCTGATTTTTCTTTTGTATATGGTAAGATCCAAGAAATGCTTGGCTCTGAAAAGGGACTTGGATTGAGAAGGGTTCAATGGGAGCAAGACCGTTCTCAGAGCCGAAGCTTGTCTCTCTTGCCCCACCTTCTGACTTAGAGATTTGGAATCTCCAGTGGACTGTATTCATCTCCAGCCTTCCCCTCCAGGCCTCAACTGTCATTCCAAGTGATACTTCTGATTTGAGCAAATGTGAATCTGATGAACACCTACTCCCAAGAAATTAAAAGGGTTTTAAATTTTTTAAAGGAAAATTTTCCCTCCCAAGTAGAGAAGACAGCTGTTACTAGAGCCATTCTCTGGAACACCAGACTGAGGCCTGAAGGAGGGTTGGTGAAGCAGATGGCTCAGCAGATGACGGTTGCTAGGGTCATGGAAGAGTGAGGTTTCCTGATGGGAGCCCTGGACCTGTCTGCCCTCCCGTCACCTTGTTGGGCACCTTCTCCCCTGCTGCATGCACCTCTGTTCCAACACAGAGGGAAACAAGCCCAGGTGGGGCTCTGTCTCAGGTGCTGACCCAGGCCAGGCACAGGCCACCACACCAGGCAGCCAGTTCCTTCTTCATATATGGGTTTTTCAGTAAGTTTAGTGGTATAGTTGCTCTGGATGAATTACCCTCTGCCTTCCTGCTGAAATTAGTTTATCCAACTTAATTAGATCAACAATTGCAGCCACAGCCCAGGCTCATTCATTACTCTAATTGCCAATGTAAGATGTGCAGACTGATATGAGTTCTATTAAGCACATCAATTTTCATGTGGCCAAACAGGTGTTTCATAAGGGATTTAATGCCCTCTCCCTAGACTTCAGCAACAGATGTTAGGTAATTTTTTTTAATGTTCACTTTCCCTATTTGGCTTCTCGAGGCAAACATTGTGAAATGCACGAGCCTCATTCTGTAAAGTTAAAACCTGGAGCCAGATCATATGCAGGAAAGCACATGCTTAACACCCTAAGGGCTTGCACCTGCAAGGCAAGAGCGATGGCTCTATCCAGACTGTTTGCAGTTCTCATTGGCTGAAAATTCTGGGTGTTGTGGCAGGGTCATACCTTGGGCCATCCATTCTGTCCCCTGACTGGTTCTTAACACCTCCTTCCTGGGAAAGGTGTTTTGCTGAATTTAACATTGACCTGTGCTGCTGGAAAGTTCCATCCAGCTGTGATCCTTAAAGCCCTGTTTGCTCTAGCTTCCTTTGGCCAGGTCTGCCAGGGAGACTGTGTCTGAATGTGCAGCATGAGCTTGTCCGGGAATAGGGGAATGGGGTTCCTCAGGCCACACCCTTTCACCTCTAAACCCAGTCAGCTCACAGCTGGAGCCAGTCTCCCAGGGGGGTCATCTAGATCAAAGCTAAGTGTGGAGAATAAGGGCTGCTTCTCCTTTCTGTGGGTGCAGCTAAGAAAAAGCCCATTCCCCAAAGAGCCCGTGGCTTGTGTCAGCTAGTTGACCTTGAAAAAATTTCTTTTTCACATTCATTTTGCTGCATTCATTTTGTTTGCACTCACAGGTTGCAGATAATCCAGATCTAAGGTGGGTTTGGTTTCCTTGGGTAGGTTGGTTTCCAGTAGAAGATTATTTTAGGAGTTTTTAAAAAGAGTTTATAGAGTCAGATGGTACAAGTTTGTCTCTATAATTAAGACTTTTCCACCATCACAAACTTTAAACACAAAGTCTAAAATCTTGGGCAGCATAGAAAATAGGTTCTAGCTAAGCAGGAGTTTTGTCCTCTACCAAGACCTTTCCTGAAAATCACTTATCAAGACAGTTTCCTGTAAGAAAAAGCCATATCCCAGCTGATTTTCCTTCCTGGGGCCAAAATCTGCTATTATTCGGCCTGAAAGCCTTGATGACTCTGTGTGTGTGTGTGTGTGTGTGTGTGTGTGTGTGTGTGTGTGTGTGTGTGTGTGTGTGTGTATGGATGCTTGTGTGTGTGTATGGGGAATATGTGATTAATGTGTGTTGGCTGCTGTTGTCTCTGATTTGGCTACTGTTGTTTCTGATTTAAATCTAAGTAAATGTTTAATTAAATGTATAGAATGCTGTCTCTAATGTGACCCTCTCTCCTTATTAAATCCTCTTATTAACCCACTCCTATGAGACCATCTTATTTCTTGCAGATGAATGATGCTATGGGATTTGAATTGCCCTGGGTGTATTTTGTCAGTCTCGTCATCTTTGGGTCATTTTTCGTACTAAATCTTGTACTTGGTGTATTGAGCGGGTAAGCTACACCTCTTTCATCTTGAAAGCAGAGTCCTGAGGACAGTTGCCAAGACCACACAAGCTTTGCTGGATGAGGGCCGCCAAGAGGGGTTGCCAGACATTTTATGTGTCCTCTGAGATGCTTTCTTTTCTGCTGAGGCTTCCCAAATCAAGCTGTTTCCTGGAACCTCACCAGGCTTCATGAAGGAGAACTATAGAACGATTATTGACCAGAAATTAATCAGCATTGTTGCTTGAGATTTAAACAATTTCCATAGCATGCCCTTTTTTTGTCTGTTCTAAAGTGAGATACATTTATAATTGCTTTATTTGTCTGGATCCAAATATAATGCAGATTAATTGTTATAAAACGATAGCAAAATGAGCTGGATTGGGTGGGCTTTTGGTAGTCCCCATTTGTAGATTTCAGCCGCTGAGCTTGTCCTTATTTGCAGAAAAAAAAAAAAAAAGGGAAGGACCTAGGCCCAGTCCCTGTCCTAGGAGCACTAACCTTCAGCAAAGCACTGAGAGGTTTGGCAGCTGCAACTGGGGCTCTGCTCTTTAGTAAATGGATAACTGATAACTGATCTCCTTACATTTTACAGGTAAATGATGCGATAGGATGGGAATGGCCATGGGTGTATTTTGTTAGTCTGATCATCCTTGGCTCATTTTTCGTCCTTAACCTGGTTCTTGGTGTCCTTAGTGGGTAAGCAGTCGGATCCGTGTTGCACCTTCTCCTGCTGCCACGTGTGAGGCAACTCTGCGTGTCTCCTAGCTGCTCCCTGACAGCTTCTCTGCATGTGTTTGGACTCTGATGTCCTCTCAGTGTGTTGCTTTTGGATTGAACTGTGATTCTTTCTGCCTGTATCTGTCTGTGAGATTCCGTGTTTCCAATGCTTGCCAAACACTGTTAATTTAATGAAAACGTTCCCCCAAAGCCAGTTGTGTTAGTATGTGAACGTGTAGAGGTGGATTACAAGTGAGTTAAAGGAATTCCAGCCTTGGTCTCCCCCAGGAAAGAGGCTTTTGTCCCTTGTCATTTTGTGTCTATTAGTACATAACTCCTTGTCGTTTTGTGTCTATTAGTACATAACCTGGCCCCTTTAGGTCACCACAGTGCATTATAAATACTTCCAGGGGAGTTTTAGATTTTACTGTGAAGGAGAAATAAGCCTCAAGCACATAAATACTGGACAGTTTCAAAATCTTCCTTAGATTGGGATTCTTTATTAGCTTGGTGTTCTAGTGCTGTCATTGTGAGAACTGTCCCTGTGATTCAGTTTTAACCGAAACTTACAGAATCCTTCTCTTAATGCAGAGTGATGATCGACTTTTGTGCACACATTTCCCATGGCCTTACAGAGACCCCGTCATTCAGTCACGATTTTTGAAGTTTGCTTGTTTATCACTTCCTCTCTATGGATTGACTCTCCATAAAGAGGGTGCAACAGATTCTGGCCTGGAAAGGGAACTCCTTATGTTGCAGGCTCTGCCTTGCCCGTAGCTGGAGATGCCATCCCAGAACCCTTGTGGGCAGCCCTGCATCCACACCGCCTCTCAGACACCCCCAGAAGGTGGGGTGCTACAGAGAAGGGAGCTGGGGGCTGTATGGCTCTCTCACAATCAGCTCCTTCATACAGCCATTGCCGGGTTGTGGGGGGCAGGCAGGATACCAGGAGGCCAAGAGGGGCCCACGTCTCCCAGAGGAGCCTCTGTCACTGCGCTGCGCCCAGGCACCCTCAGGAAGTAGTGTTGATGGATTTGATTCCAGGCAAGTTTATCTCCTCCTCACTCACTTTATCTTGCTCTTTCCGAGGCTGTATCTCGGGGAAGTGATGTCTTCATGTATGCTGAGTTAGTGAAAGGCTTTAATCGCATTTTTGGAAACACTGCCTTTTCCAGAGCAGAAAGCAGAGTGCGTTTATCCATCTCGGCTTCCTTTCTGCATCTTCCCCTAAACCTGCCCTGGATTGAATGTAGTCAGTTCCACACCAGGGACGCATACTGTCACAGGAAGTCCCTATGTAGAGTTGGCCCAGGGGCCAGTGCCCGCCAGAGAGAGGAGTGGGGGCTGAGCCTGGGATGGGGCCACATAACCCTCCCCTGCCTGAGCCGCCTCCTGTAGATGAGTGGCTCCTCAAGCCTCCGGCCCTTCCACCTCAACGTGAGAAGTGTCTCTCTCCTAGTAAACCTCAGTGGCCTTAGGCTAGGGTTGGACATGTGAGGGTGGTGTCTATTCCTGGAGAAATAACATCGCATTTGATTTTGCCACAGGAGCTTTCTATACAAGGTTAACAGCAATCCTGTTGTGAATTCCTTGGCGCCTCATGTCTCCTAAACCCAGCTAAACTGACGGAGGCCATGGAAACCACTAATTTTAACAGTGCCGGTGACATCCCTTATCTTTTAGCTTTCCCAGGCAGGAACCGTTGCCCCAGCAGACATGATGAAGTAGAGGCAGGAGCCAGATCGTGAGGTGCTTAAAAAAAGAAAAGAGAAAAAGATGGGCGGGGGGGCTTCCCACTATCACAAATGGGGATTAAACCTGCAACTCCGTGGGAGGTACCCAAAGCTGGAGGATAAAAAAGGTACACTCCTTCATGGAACAACCAGTTTACTGAAATATATTTTGGGGGGAAATAATTTTTTTAAAAAATATTTTTTCATCAAAACAAAACTTAGATCCCTGATGGAGGAGACTGGAAATGACACATGAAATTATAAAAGAAAACCCGAGACTTCTCTGCGATTTTTAACTGTCAGTGCGGGCTGTGCTCAAACCCCTAGAGGCTGCACATGACCTCCTCTCTACTCCCCCAGAAGGCCTCCGGTAGGGCTGGTTTGGGTAAAGGCAGAACCATGTCTGCAAAGCACAGCCTCGCAGCTTTGTTCCTGATTTGGCCAGTATTTCCTGAGATCCTGTAGAGTGCCCGGCTCTGGTCCAGAGGCGAGGGGTGCCAGGATGTCTCAGACACAGACAGCGGCCTTGTGCTTAGGCGTTCATTATCTCATGGGGTAGCCCATTTTGAAGCAGTGCAGAAGGGCACATATTCAGTAGAGGTGCAGACCCAGAGGCTCTGTGAGCTGCACTAGAGAGATGAGGAGGCATCTCCCCCGGCGACTGACGATGGGCTGGCATGCCTCCACCTCCGCCCCTCCGCCCCCTCGCCCTCCCAACCACCACCTTCCCTCTCTGCCTGCTACTCCCCTCTTACTTTCCCATTGATATTTTTGTTGTTGTTTAAGCAAATTATTATTATTTTTTTAAATTTTAGCCTCAAGAGTCTTCATAATTTTTTAAGGGAACACTAGAGGTACTGCAAAACCAGAAGGATATAAATGTTGAGAGGAAGACAATTTGTGTTGCATAGACCCTGAGGGACTGTCAGACCAACACAAATGTAATCCGCTAAGCACTGAATTAAAACGCCCTCATTTTAGAAAGGCTGGTCGAGACCATGTGATTGCCTTCTCACGAGGAAATGTTAGATGGTGCTGTATGTCTTCAAGTCTGTCAGCCATTTGGAAATACCTGTATCTGTTTTTGCTCCTTGGCTCCGTCATGTGTGTGGCCATGCCATCCTATTGTATTCTTGAACAGACTTTAATCTGCACATTGGATTTGGTGTTTATTTGTAAAGTGTTGTAACACTGATGCTTTGGGAAAATCTTTGGTTTTATAACAGTCTTTTTTCCCTCAAGGTAAGTATGAAGTTTATGAACTGTAAACCCTATGCAGCCATGCATGAATATAGATGAATACTTCCATCTCTGATCACAGTGCTCTGTGGGAGGGGCTGAGAATGTCTATGTCTAATGTTGCAATTTAACCTTAAGTTGTCATTGAGGATATGCTCCCATTATGACCAGGAATTGGAAAGAATGTCTTCTTTAAGTCTGCAATTCAGACATATTACACGTGGTCTTCTAGAAGTTTGGCAATTTTTCACTTTTCAAATTGTTAATTGAACTCCCTTTTGAGGTTTTCATCTTTAGAATCATGCTAGATTCCCAGGGGGACCATGGGGGTCATGGGTGGTAGGCTGGTTGGCTCTGCCTCCTTCTCCATTTCAGGGCCCACCTGCCACCAGCCATCCCTATGGTGGCAGTGTCTGAGCTTGCAAGATGGGGGACGCCCTAGGCTCCCAGGATGTGGCTCCAACCCCCAGGAAGGGGGCTGGAAGACTTGGGTTCCGTCCTGCTGGAGTCCCGCGTTCACTCTGGGACTTCACTGAGTTACCCTGAGCCTCGGTCTCTTTGTCCTTCAGGATATCAGCGACATCCTGTCTTGCCGTCTCCCACACAGGGTGGTTTTCAATCAGCTAATGACTGTAGAAGTGCTTCTAAAAATACATAAAGGGTTTTTCTAATTTAACATATCCTTATCTTAAATCCGTGGATATCCCCCACTCCCCTCACTGGGTTAGGTGGGAAGGGTGCAGGGTACTCTTTGGAAATTCTGGAGTGTAGCATTTTCTGGATTTCCCAGCAGGTGGCCACACTTTACACACACATCAACGTTGTACTCAATGTCACCCAAGAGGTGGCTCTGGAGAATGTGGAAGCACTGTGTCAGCTGCAAAGTATTACGCAGGTCTAAGTCATTGTTATTATATATTTGACAATGTTTTTTTGCACAAATTGAGGGGAACGGCATTTCTATTACATAGTGGTTAAGCACACCAGCTTTAGAATCAGACAACCAAGTCTTGAATGTTTGTTCTACCTTTTCCAGTTGTGAGATTTGGGGCAAGTTACTTACCTCTTTGAGCCTTACTTTCCTCATCTGTGAAATGGAGCTCATCACAGTAGCAGCTTCGTGAAGTTCAGTGAGGACTCAGTGAGCTGAAGAATGTAGAGGGCTTGGCCTATTGAAATTATGACAGTTCAGGAAGGGTGCATCTCTTCCTGGATTTGATGCAAGAAAAGAATCGAATCAATTCAGTCCTTTCAAACTAATTAATAATAGCTGGCCAAGATAGGTCTGTGTTAGTGAAAAGCCCAAGTTATATTTTTAAAATGTTTTATTATATATATAATGACATAAGCTACTGCTGACTAAAGGATATTACTACATAAACCCCCTCCTGGGCTTGCTTTAAAGAATAGATCAAAATCATTTATAATTCGCTTATGAATTCAAACCTTTGGTTTTGGCAACAACTTATGAAAAATATTTGAAATACTTTGTTAAGTAGATCTTGTATGTTGTTAGACAATAAATATTGTTATTAAACCCACTCTTATGACATAAAATTGAATGTAAACCCAGCCCAGGTCTATAAATTCAAAATCATACCAATTAATTTGTATTCTTGGTGTTCTAGTAAGTTCCAGATCCTACCAGATCACAGGTATCATTTTAAATCAATCCAATTTTGTATTACTATAGGCCTATTTATCTTTAGAAGTTTAAGGGAACATGGATGAAGCGAAGCATTATAGAAAACTGAAGGCAATTTTCAAACTAGTTTATGTTTTTGAATCTCGCCTCCTACATCCCATTCTGGCTAATTGGATACCAGGGGCCTAGACAAAGACTCAGGCATGGCTACTTTTAGGAAGCTTTGGTTTCCTAAGGCAAAGATTCATGGGATGGAGAATGTGAAGAGGGAAGGTGGTGCTGGTGCCGGTGTACTGTGGACTGACTATACCAGAATTTTACATAGTGGAATCAGGTTTGGTCCATTTAAATTCATACTAGTAATAGCCAGACAATCTCTGATTTCTTCTACTTGAATGGTGGCTCAAGAGGCAAAACACACCAATAGATAGTAGTTGTATTACTTGTGAATATTTTCTAAGTGGAGACATATCCTCTGGGAATAGGCATTCTTATACATTTTTCATGACTGAGATTAGATTTTTCTCTCATTTGGCCAGGCACAGTGGCTCACGCCTATAATCCCAGCACTTTCGGAGGCCGAGGCAGCTGGACCACCCGAGATCAGGAGTTTGAGACCAGCCTGACTAAGGCAGTGAAACCCTGTCTCTACTAAAAATACAAAAATTAGCCAGGCATGGTGGCGCATGCCTGTAATCCCAGCTACTTGGGAGGCTGAGGCAGGAGAATCACTTGAACCAGGGAGGTGGAGATTGCAGTGAGCCAAGACTGCACCATTGCATTCCAGCCTGGGTGACAAGAGCAAAACTCCATCTCAAAAAAAAAAAAAAAAAAAAAAAAAAAAAAAAAAAAAGACTTTTCTCTCATTCAACACTTTACCAGCATCTACTGACAGAAAATGGACAATTGAATTTCCTCCAATATATATACCTCTGATATGTCTGCTTTGTAAAAGAGTAGTGTAATTGCTTACAACATTGAAAAGGTTGTTATTGGGGTCCTGGGGTAGCCAGGATATCGGCATGATTTGTCACCATATTCAGAATAAAACTGTACTGCAATAGTGAGTTAATTCCATATCTTGGCCAACAGAGAATTTTTGGCCAGTGGCTACTAAGGCACACGGAAGTCCAGTCTAAAAGGGACAGGGGAGGACTCTTTGTAGATAGTTCTTATGATTAAAAAATAACTTCCTATGTGTTGTAGTGATGATTAAGCTGACAGAATGCTAAAGACACCCTTAATGATTACTTGTAGCAAAGTACTTCCCCACATTTAGCTGGATTTGTCTTTGGTTTGAAGAGGCTAATACGTGAAAGATTTGTTCACAGTTGGATGTCCCCTTTTCTGAACCATGAAGTAATATTGTGAATGGAGTTGAATGCTGAGGTTAGGGTGCCGGAAAGATTCAGGGTCCTTCGGTACCCTCACATGGCTTGGCTTTGGTAGAACAAGAAACTAAGCTCTGATTTGGCTTTAAATGAGAGTGCTAAATTTCCTTTTTCTAATAAAGAACCTAGCTAAACATTTATATATACTTTTGAACACTGAACTTTCTTGTTGCAGAGTTAACAGCTGTTGGGGGTAGCTGACAGCTGGATCCTGGTGCTGTTGGTACCATGGTACCTGAAGTGCACAGGCTGGTAGCCACACCTGACATTAACAAGTGAGTGGTAACCTCTCTGCCGCTGGCTTACAGCTACTGTTTCCATAGAAATGGCTGTCGGGATCAGTGGAAACGAGGTAAGTGAAAGTTTTCGCTGATCCTTGTTTCCATCAAGCTGACGTCTGTTTCCCTGGCAACAGCAGTGGACAGCAGCCAGGCGCTAGCAACAGATTCAGTAGAGCTCTCACTTGTCAGCTGTGGCTATCATCTGTTCCTGACCAAGTTCTTTTTTTTTTTTTAATAATGTACAGAAAGACCTCTGAGGACCCAGGAGGCACCTCTGGCCACATGTGCCCTCCTGGATGCTCGTTTTGCAGATGGAGAGCTGTGTGCTGAGTTGACTTCTCTGTCCGCAGTTCCCCCTCCACCTGTGCTCTGGGTTGTTGATGTGCAGGTTAGAAGAGGGAGGTTGTTGAGGGTATTAGTGTTGCAGGGGAGGCTGTTGAATCTGTTGATCCCAAATCCTAGGGGAAGAGAATTCATTACAGTGCTTTCATGCACAGACCCAGCTCTTTATAAAGCTGTTGCTACCTTAATAGTTGAAATTAAAGCCATAATTTTCCTGTGGTCCCTATTCAATTGGAGGCATTAACAATTGCCATTACTTTTACAATGAAAAGGATATTTAGGAGTTTAATAATTTGGCTTGTGAGAAACAAATTGATGATTGTCTCTAAGATGCTACTGTCAACATTATGCTTTTTTTCTCTTTTGTGTAATATTCTTTTACAGGATGGTAAAATTGCTTTTACAGAGATCAAATATTGGTATTGCAGGGCAGCTTGGTATACAAAGACCAGTAGATCTATAGTGTAGGGAACTCTTCCTTGTTAAAGTTCAACAGCTCCTTTTCTGGATTTCATTTTAATGTTTCAACAGATGGATGCACCCAAGCCCTAGCCCTAAGTATTCTCCACCCATATGAGACAGCATTGATGGTGCCACAGAGCAAAGGAGAGCCACTGTTCCTGCCCTGGTGTGTGAGATGAGAGGCATGGAATGAGGTGTTGGTTTTAAGCCCTTACTGATACCATTTATTAAAGAGATTTTCTCTGGAAAAAACAAAACAGCTTTGATATTCAGAGCTGTATTTTTGAGACTCAAATGAACATAAAGATCCACGGTCTTATGAGAACTTAGATCGGCTGCTAGAAGAGCATTGGAGAACCATGGAGTTTTGTCTTTGGAGGGCTTTCCGGATGACATTGTTCCACAGCTCTCTGGAAATAGGGCAACTGTGCTTGGCCTGCAGGCAGTTGAATTTGATATAACAGACGAATAAGAAGCAGAAAATCCTGCTGGATCCTTTTTTCTCCCTCTCTCTTAACTTCCTAAGAATGACTTATTCATTTAATGAATTTTTTTTCAGTTCCTACACAGTGGTAGATGTATGCCAAGTGCCCTGCTAGGCACTGGGGTTACAGTGGTGGAATGTAGGCACTGGGTAGGCACCAGGATTACAGTGGTGGGATGTAGGCACCAGGGTTACGGTGGTGGGATGTAGGCACCGTGTAGGCACTGCAGTGACAGTGTGGAATGAAATGGTTTCTTTCTTCGTGAAGCTTATATCTAATGATGGAGGCCAAAATGACAATTACAAACTCGTATAAATGCTTTGAAAGAAAGGTTCATGTGCTGTGAGAGGGTTTAACAGGCACAACTGCTGTCAGTTTATTGGGTAGGAGCATCCTGGAAGTGAAGAATGAGTAGTCCACATATCCAGGCAAGGTGGGACAAGAAGCTAGGGCAAGGGTATTCTAGTCAAGGGAAAACCCACAGAAAGGAGGTACAGTAGGAAGGAGCAGAGGATGCTGGAGGAACTGAATGAAGCTAGGGTGACAGGAACTGGGAGAGCTGGAGATGAAGTCAGATGAAAGGAAAGAGACTGGCCGGCAGAATCCAGGTCACGTAGGACCTTTAGACTATGTCACAGGTTTTGGTCATTAGCTGAAGGGTAAGAGAATGCATGGATGAATTTTAAGCAGGGAGTGATATTCAAATTTACATTTTCTAAAAATTATGCTGTATTCTCATATCCTCAACTTACCTTAAAATGCTTCAAAAAGATAAGATGATTAATAGATGGATAGGGGGATGCAGAGATAGGTGATAAAGAAAATGTAGCAGCTGGGTGCTGTGGCTTGCACCTGTAATCCGAGCAATTCAGAAGGGTGAGGTGGAAGGGTTGCTTGAGGCCGGGAGTTTGAAACCAGCCTGGGCGACATAGCGAGGCTTTGTCTCTGGTAAAAAAAAAAAAAAAAAAAAAAAAAAAAAAACAGAAGTCTTTTTAGCTGGGCAATGTGGTGTGTGCCTATAGTCCCAGCTACTCAGGAGGCTGAGACAGGAGGATCGCTTGAGCCTAGGAGTTTGAGGTTGCAGTGAGCTATGATCATGCTTCTGCACTCCAGCCTGGGGAGCAGAGTGAGACCCTGTCTTAAAAAAAAAAAAGAAGAAGAAGAAAAGGTAGCAGGTGTTAATTATGGAATCTAGGTGAGGTAGGCATATGGGTGTTCATTGTATAATTGTTTCTACTTTTATGGATGTTTGAAATTCTTCCTAATAAAATGTTGGGAAAATCTGCATATGAAAATCACTGTGGCTGCAGTAATATGAATAGATTGGATGGATACACAAATGGATGTAGAGAGACCAACTTAAGGCTCATATAATCTGCTTCCAGCCACAACATACTAGTGCTACCAGACTGGACCTTTCACCATAAACAACTACAAAAGACTGGGCAAAAAATAGGAAGCAACTATTTTCAGAAAATGGAAATAGGATATACAGGATTGCAATCCCTACGAGAAGGGAAACACATGAGGTAAACTCCGCAGTTGTCCTGGCTTTCTGCCTGGAGACAGTTTTAGAATTATGGCAGAGAGGGAGAGCCCAGCAGAGAACGATGGTCTATTTGCTGAGGGGTCAAAGAACAGTGTTCAGGGCTGCTAAGATAGCTGGGATTTTCAGGGCAGAGTATGGGTGAGAAGTATGCAGAGAAGGGGCTCCAGTACTCAGAGTGGAGGTTCTTTGAAATCTGACCATATACTAAGCTGCTTCTGTGCCAGGTGATACTTATTGAAGCCAGGCAGAGAACAGCTAGTAGAATGCTGTAAGTGGTTGGAAATCTCTCCGTGCTGGGAGGTATATGGTTCTGCTCAGCTGTAGTGGAAGGACCTAATTGAATACATTGGGTACTGAGACTTCAGAAACGCCAGGCTTTAGGGTTGGAGCTACTTTAGCCCTTGAGTAAGCCTACTGTAGACCTGACTTAAAAAGCATAGAAACAAGCTTCAAAAGGATCAGGGAAATGGCCAATAAATTAAACACCTGTCAAAAAGACAAAAATCAACACTCGTTAAAGGAAGAGACCAAAACTCAGATGTTCCCAGAATGTTTTTCCTCATGACCCAAAACTATAAGACATGAAAAGAAGCAGGAAAATATTCACGATCAAGGAGGGAAAAGTCGATAGAAACAAAAGATGACAGATGTTGCAATTAATAATCAAAGACTTTGAAGTCACTACTATGAGCCTGTTTAAGGAACTGAAGGAAAAGATGGACATAATAAAAGAATAGGTAAATCTCAGTAGGTAAATAGAAACAGTACAATATCTGAAAAAAGTAGACTGGACATTGCAGAAAAAGTTGATGAGGGCTTAGTGATCTCTAAAACAACAATAAGCAATCTGGTGTATATGAAATTGGAGTCACAGGAGAATAAAGAGATTGAGGAAGAAAAATTTTAAGATAAATAAAGCTGAACATGTTGCAAGTATTGAAAACTAAGTTAACAGATCCAAAAGGCCCAACAAACCTCAAGCAGGGGAAACACAAAGGGAACCACTGCTAAGCACATCAAATTTAGATGGCTGAAAGTAAAAGATCCAGAGAATTTTAACAGAAAGCAAATGGGAAAGGGCACATTACATACTAGGAGAAAATAATAAGAATATGCATTTACTTGTTTGCAGATATAGTGCAAGTTGTAGGGCAATGGGTGACATCTTCAAAGAGGTAAAAGGAAAAACGATTCTGTATGAAGCAAGAATACCCTTCACAAAAGAAGGAAGTAGAAAAACTTTCAGGTAAACAAAATCTAAGAATTGGTCACCAACAAATTTGCACTCTAAGAAATGTTAAAGGAGGTTCTTCAGGCTAGAAGAAAATAATACCAGATAGAAACGTTAAATGTCCGCTTTAAAAACGAGGAGCATGGCCGGGCACGGTGGCTTACACCTCTAATCCCAGCACTTTGGGAGGCTGAGGCAGGCAGATCACCTGAGGTGGGGAGTTTGAGACTAGCCTGACCAACATGGAGAAACCCCGTCTCTACTAAAAATACAAAAAATTAGCTGAGAGTGGTGGCGCATGCCTGTGGTCCCAGCTACTCTGGAGGCTGAGGCAGGAGAATCGCTTGAACCTGGGAGGTGGAGGTCGTGGTGAGCTGAGGTCACGCCACTGCACTCCAGCCTGGGCAACAAGAGTGAAACTCTGTCAAAAAAAAAAAAAAAAAAAAAAAGCATCAAAATGGCAAACAAAGATAAAAGATTTTTTCTCATTTCTAAATTTTCTAAAAGATAATTTAAAGTAAGCACAAGGTATTATGGGAACTGTAACAGGTCAAAGTAAATTATAGGATAACCATACACAGAAGATAGAAGGAAGTTAAATGGAGCTTCACTGTGATAAAGTTACTACATTTTGAAATAATATGAATTCATGGTAGACTGAGAACTTAAGGATGCATATGATAATCTCCAGAGTAATGACTTAAAAGGGGTACTAAAAAGCTAAAAGAAGAGATAAAATGGAATATTAAATAGTACTAAATTATCCAAAATAAGTCAGAAAAGGAAGAAAAAGGAACAAAGAACATATAGTACCAACAACGAGATGGTAGACAAACCCAGTAATATCAATAATTGCATTGGACGAAAATGTACACAACATTTTAGTTAAAAGATAGAAATTGTCAGACTAAATAAAAATTTAAGATGCTATAAAGACATGGATTAAAAATAAAAAATGGATGAACTGTACTAATCCACACAAGTTGGACTTTAGTATAAGGAACATTTCCAGAAATAGGGACATTTCAGAAATAGACATTTTATTCTCATAAAAAGGTCAATTCACTGAGAAGACACAATGATCCTAAATGTGTTGGCACCTAAATACAGCTTGAGAGTACATGAAGCAAAAGTTGTTAAAATTAAGTGGAGAAATTGATAAATCTAGAAACATAGATGAAAATTTGTATCATTCCTTCTCAATAATTACTAGGTTAAAAACAGCAAATATAGATAATATCTAGATTATATTTAGATTGGTTAATAAATTCAGCCAACTTGACCTAATTGATATTTATAAAATACTGTGTTCAATAATTGCGGAATACACATTCTTTTCAGAGCACGTGGAACATTCACCGACATAGACCATATCTTGGCCATGAAAGTCTCATTACCTCTCGATTGAAATTTTACAAAGTATCTTTGTTCTAATGGCAGTAGATTTAAAACAGAAGCCAATAACAGGCTGTTTATAAACCTTCCCAAATGTTTGGAAATTAAATAACCTATAACTCAAAAAATAATAAAAATTAGAAAATACTTTGAAACTGATAAAATCCAACTGGGAAATTGTATGATCCGTTGAATGCAGTGCTTGGAGGGACATTTATAGCTATATCAGTAAGGAAGAAAGGTTTAAACTCAGTAGTTCTACATTTCCATCTACTAATCTAGAAAAAGAAGACCAAATAAGTCCAAGGTAAGTAGAAAAAAGAATAACAGAAGTAAATAAAATAGAAAACACAAATTATAAAGTTATTTAGAAAGCGTAATAAAAATTGATAAATCTCTAACAAAACTAATCAAAAAAGGAAAAAGAGCAAATTACCAGTTTTATAAATGAAAGAGGAGATACCACAGATATTACAGACATTAAAATAATAAGAGAATAAACTTGGTAACTTAGGAGAAACAGGCAAATTCCTTGAAATACACAGCCTACCAAGAAATAAATTGGGAGAGTCCTATATTTGCCTTTTTAAATGGAATTCAGAATCGCAAACAGAATCGCAAACAGAATCTTCTCTCAATCTTCTCTCAAAGAAAATTAGAAGCCTAGATGAGGTCAAAAGTGAATTATGTCAGCCGATTTAGAAAAAAATTATACCATCCCTAGAAATTCTTTCAGGTAGTAAAGTTGGAGGGAGCATTTCCCAACTCATGAGGCCAAAATCTCAATACCAAAACTTTACAAAGACATAATAAGCACAGTGTCCTTCATTAATTTGGACACAAAAATTCTCAAATATTAGCAAATAGAATATAGCAGGATGAAAGGAATAATATCTCATGGCCAAGTGGGATTTATGCCAGAAATAAGTTGATTCACCATTGGAAAATCAAATAATTTACCATATTAATAGAATGAAAGAGGAAATCATACGATCACCTCAGTAAATGCAGACATTACTAACAATATTCTATAATGATTTCTAATAACTCTCAGCAAACTAAGAATATGCAAAAACTTCCTCAGCCTGAAAAAAAAACTATAGCTGACAACATACTTATTGGTGAAAGACTCAATCTTTTCTTCTTAAGATTAGGAACAAAGTAACCATTTTTCTATCTTCTTTTATTCAATGTTTTATTGAAAGTCTGAAGGTAAGACAAAGAGATAAAAGGCAGAAAGATTGGAAAGAAAGAAAAAACTATTTCTATTTACAGACATAATTGTCTACATAGAAAGTCCCAATAATTGAACCAAAAACCTGCTAGAATTAATAAATGAGTATAGCAGGGTGACAGGATACAAAGTCAGTATACAAAATTCCATTTTATTCCTGTATACAAGCTGCAGGTGTTGAAAATGAAATTTTAAAAAATTACCATCAAAAATTATTTACAATAGCATTCCTAATAGGAATGAATATAAGAAAAGATATGGAAGACCTCTACACTGAAAACTACAAAACACTGATTAGTAAAATTACAATGATCTAAATAAATGAAGATATACCATGCCCATGGATTGAAAGACTCAATATTGTTAAGATGTCCATTTTTCTCTATGCATTGAATGTTGTCCCATTTATAAATCTCAATAGCCTTTCTTTTAGAAACTGACAAGCTTATTCTAAAACTAATATATAATTGCAAATGACCTCTAATGAAAACAATCATAAAAAATAAAGAAGGAGGGCTTATACTGCTGATTTCAAAATTTACTGTAAAGCTGTAATAAATACAATGTTTGACATAAAGATAGATGACTAGAATAACTGAATGGAATAACAAATTCAGAAATTCCTTTATATGTTCAATTGCTTTTTGATAAAGGTGCTAGATAATTCAGTGGAGAAAGGATACTCTTTTTAGTTAAAAAAAAAAAAATAAGCTGGAGAAACTGGGTATCTGCAAAAAGTGTGATGCTCAGGTCATACCAGACACAAACATTAAACTTGAAATCGATCATAGATCTAATTAAAAAGCTAAACATATAAATATTTTCTAAATAGATTTCTGCTCTTCAAAGACTAGAAATTTAAAGGGAAACCACACTGGGAGAAAATACAACACTTACATCTGTGTATCTAGAATATGTGAAGAACTCTTAACAACTAGATAATAGATGAGCAACTCAAAAATTGGCAAAACATACTTTACACAAGAATGTATATGAGTAGCCAGTAAGTACACATTAAAGATGTTCTATGTCATAAACCATCAGGGAAGTACAAGTTAAGAAACTGCTACATAGATAGTACAATAGCTAAAATCAAAAAGACTATTTCCAAGTGTCACCAAGAGTACAGAGCAACTGATATGCTCATACATTGTTTATAGAAACATAAAATGATACAACTACTTTAGCAAAGTTTGTCAGTATCTCATAAAGTTAAACATATACTCACCATATGGCCAAGCAATTCCATTTCTAGTATTTGCCCAAGAGAAATGAAAATCTATGTCTACAAAATGACTAGTACATGAGCACTCATAGAGCCTTATTCATAGTAGCCCCTGTGGGGCTGTTGGAAGCTTCAGTCTCCACAGACTCGGCCTTGGGTGGAGGTCCGCCCAGCTGGGGTGAGGCAGTGATCTGGCTGCGAGCTGTGCCACCCTGGCCTGTGGGGTCTCTGCTGGCTGAGGGATTACTGGTTTCTCTGTTGTAGTGAGGGGAGCACAAAGGCAGGGGTCAGAAGTGCTGGCCCGTGTGCTTGCTCTGTACTTACAGAGGCATGACTTCTTTGGTCAGTATACTTCACGTTTCCAAATCAAGGCTTTTTCTTCCTAAAATTGGAGCGCCCCATCTCTGACTTTTCTCACAGAGCCATCCTAATAACCAAGGAGAGAAATGGATGGGAAGGGCCTGGATAAACGGGAAGACCTTTCCAAGTATGTGGGAGCTCCACACTGGCCTGGTTGTGTCCTCCTCCTCGGAGGTCATTTCTGTGAGCTGGAAAAGTCATCTCATTTGCAGTCTGGATGTTTATCTGCACTTCTCTCCAGGGCCTCACATCCTTCCAAGACCTGGAGCGGCACTTGGCGCATTAGCCTGATTTCTCTAAGTCTGACTGTCATGAGTTTGGTTTTGGGTTCAGGGATAAAACATTAATCCACAGTGAACCCATCATTCCTTCGAATTTCTGCTTTAAAATAAATCTTGGTTTAAGTTGCCTGCTGGCAGTTTTGGGCCTCTGAGTCTTGGAGACCCTTGCTGTGTCTGAAGGATTTTAAGTCAGTGGGTGAGAGTACACCACCTGCTGAGAGGTGTACTGTCCCCAGAGGCCCACCTGTCCTTAAATCATGGACTATTACTTACAAACAGGCCCACAGACACATGCCAAGAATTCCAGGGCCCAGTGTAGATTCCAGCAGCTGCACTCTGTCCCCCTTTGGCTATCAGTCAAGGATGTTTCAGCGTCAAACCTGTACCTATCAGTATGCCCTAGGAGCACAGCAGAGGGTTGGCAAGTCAGAGGGCCTCACCCAAGGAAGCTGGGCTCCAGTTGGGCATTGAAGGATGGACAGGATTCGTTAGGATGGTAAAGAAAGGAAGCAAGTTGTCAGGAGAGTGGGACCTGGTGCCTCCTGCCTGTCGGAACCAGTGAGTGCAATGGTGAGGCTGCCAGGGTGCTCCGTGCTGG
The DNA here is from genome assembly GCF_000001405.40 of Homo sapiens. Classification (NCBI taxonomy): domain Eukaryota; kingdom Metazoa; phylum Chordata; class Mammalia; order Primates; family Hominidae; genus Homo; species Homo sapiens. Next base: position 53,689,289 of record NC_000003.12, read on the forward strand.
CTGGTGAGCAGTGGGCAGAGCAGATGTGCAGTTGGGAATACCCACTGAGAGAGGCAGGGTTTTTTTTTTTTTCTTTAAGCTGCGGGAGCTGTCAGAGTGTTTGAAATAAGGTGATGGTTGACAGCTGTGCCTGGAAGGTAAAGCTGCCACCTCCCAGAGTGCAGTGGAGTTAGGAGAGCCTGGGGGCTGGGGGCTGGGGGCTGCAGGGATGGGGTCTGCATGGAGGTGCAGAGGTGGAGATGGAAGTGAAGGTATAGATGTGGGAGTTTGTTGTGGCTCGTGCCTCTCAGATAAGAAGAGGTCTCTGGATTTTGATTGTCAAGTCTGGGGATGTGGATTGTATGAGAGAATTTTTCTTTTTTCTTTTCTTTTTAAAAATATTTTTTATAGAGACAGGTCTTGCTCTGTCACCCAGGCAGCAGTGCAATGGTGCGATTGTAGCTCATTGCAGCCTCAAATTTCTGGGCTCAAGCAATCCTCCCACTTCACCCTCCCAAGTAGCTGGGACTACAGGCATATGCCACCATGCCCAGCTAATTTTAAAACTATTTTTTGTAGAAACAGGATCTCTCTATGTTGCCTGGCTGGTCTCAGGTTCTGGCCTCAAGCTATCCTCCTGCCTTGGCTTCTCAAAGCCCTGGAATTACAGGTATGAGCCACTGCACCCGGCTAGATTTTTTTTTAATTGCTTATAATCCTGTGCTTTATTCAGTTTATTTTAATCATCTCCACTACTTTGATGAGGTAAGTGTTCTTTGCCTCAGTTTACAGATGAGGAAATCAAGACTCAGGGAGGTTTATCAATTTTCTCAAAATTTACACAGCTAGTAAGTAGTTAAACTAGGAATTAAATCTAGATCTGTCTGTCTCCAGAGCCCAAGCTGCTTTTCTCGTCAGTTGGAAGCTGGTTCTAAGTCTGGTGAGAGGAAACCCGCTGTGGGACCCTGTCTTCCCAGCCTGGGTCTGTGCTCGTACATCCTCAGCTGCTGTATTCTCAAAGCTCTATGCTTTGTCGTTTTTGTTTTTGTTTTCTCTTCCTGAAATTAATTACCCAATGCTGAGTGGAACAATGGGATACAGAGGCTTCAGAGAAATTGGTTTAGTTTTCCTCTTGAATCTGCTTTTGGACAAGTCTCATTTGAGCTCAGGTGGTCCTTTTGGGTCCTGTTGCTGGAGGGTGGATCTCTCAGTCTCTGAGCCCAGCCCTGGGGTGTGGTGCTCTGCCCCTTGTTCTCCGTCAGCCAAGTCTGGGTGCTCTGGGAAGGTACTTCCCACCCACCGTGCCTTTCAGTGGGCACTCCCCCTGCGGGGGGATCTTCTCTATCCCTCTCCTCTCTAGATGCAGCTCACAGGGTGGTTTCCGTGGCCTGCGAGTGGGATTTGGGCTGAATTTCCTACAGTGACTGCTTTAGGGATATGCCAGTAGGGGGTTCAATTTCAGCCCCTTCCTTGGGTCCACAGTGCTCCTCCACAGTGGGAACCCCTAGCAGCTCTGAACAGCAGATCCAGCCTCGAGCTTATTCTGGCAGTGTAACCAGGCCCTTCACACAGCAAACTGTAGTGACATGTCAGTAGCACATGCCCTGCGGTTGCTGGTGCCTTCAAAAGTGTTCATTTTAGGTGGTTCTGCCACCCTCCCAAGCCAGACTTCATGTGCACATCTTCCTTATTTTTTCTTGAAAAACTGGAATCTGACAAGTCTAGCAGAGTGTGTTTATGAAGTGACTTCTTAAGTAGCAGTATTTGAAACCTGTCATGAAGATATGTGATGATATTGGTTTGGCTCATGTGATTAAGTGATCTGTTTCGTTCAGAGAGAGTGATGGCAGAAAAGAGAGCCCATGGTTTTGAAGAATACCTCTTTTTTTTTTTTTGGGGGGGAGATGGAGTCTTGCTCTTGGAGTACAATGGCGCGATCTCAGCTCACTGCAACTTCCGCCTCCTGGGTTCAAGAGATTCTCCTGCCTCAGCCTCCCAAGTAGTTGGGATTACAGGTGCACACCACTACGCCTGGCTAATTTTTGTATTTTTAGTAGAAATGGGGTTTCCCTATGTTGGCCAGGCTGGTGTTGAGCTCCTGACCTCAGGTGATCTGCCCGTCTCGGCCTCCCAATTGAAGAATACCTCTTAAAACATGTTTAAGTTTTAAAAAGATTGAAACAAAGTCTGTAACTTTTAGCATGCAACCTTCATGGATTCTCATCATTGGGAAAAATTTTCTACTGGAAGCATTGGCATGTCTTTTGTAGCCATGGAAACTAACCCTTCAAAGAGAGAGAAGCTCTTCTATCCTCAAACAAGGAGATACAGTGAAAGGAAGGCATATTTCATACTCAGATGCCTGAAATACTTTATTTCTGTGTGAGTGTGTGTGTGTGTATATATGTAATATATATATTGCAGATATATATTACATATATAATATATATATTACATATATAATATATATATTACATATATAATATATATTACATATAATATATATATTATATCTATAATATATATATTACATATATAATATATATTATATATTATATCTATAATATATATTACATATATAATATATAATATATATTATATATATTACATATAATATATATTATATATATTACATATATTATATATAATATATATTATATATATTATATATATATTTTAAGGCTTATACAAGACTCCTGCTTGTTTTTGTTTATCAATGGCACGATGGGTGTAGTTTTAGGTGATTGAAGTTACATATGCACTGTGGCCAAATACACCCAGTACAAAGCCCAAAGTTGCATGTCTTTGATCCTCATTAGTGTAAAGTCCATGTTTGTGAAAGCAATTATTTAGGTGATTTTTATCGAGCAACTACTAATGGCCGGGGTTTGTGATAAGGAACCAGTATACAAAGATAAGACAGACACAGCCCCTCCTTAACAGAGTTTACAGTCTGGTAAGTTAAAGAAAATAGTGAAAAACCAATTGCAGGACTGTGAAGTAAATTCTGCAAAAGCGGAGTTCTAATCTGGAGGACTCTAAGGTAGAGAAAAGTCTTTATGTCTTGAGCCAGCCGAGTGGGATAGTATCTGGAAGAGCAGGAGGGGTTATGCAGGCAACAGCATGCACAGTGGCCTGGTGTTGAAAGAGCTCCATGCCTTGGAGGAACTGAGTGAACTTTAGGATGTCTAGAGTACACAGTTCAAGGGGGAAGAGGTCAGAAAGGAGGCAGGAGAGATCTGACATGACCAGATAGGTGGTGCATTCCTTCACTCCATCCCTACCGCACTCTCCTGCTCAGGGTAAGTGCCACATGTAAACAGTTAGGTTTGGTCTGTGCAGGGTGGCCCAGCTGCTAATTCCTGTGTTCTGTTCATGGTGGATAACTCAACCTAGTCATTAAAAGCTAGGAAACACCGACTCTGAAAATGATTCATCTTCCCAAAAGATGAAAACTGTTTTAAACATCATCACCGTCTTTTATGTCAATGAAAGCATCAACAACCCTGGCTGGGCACAGTGGCTCACGCCTGTTTTCCCAGCACTATGGGAGGCTGAGGCGGGTGGATCCCTTGAGGCCAGAAGTTTGAGACTGCCCTGGCCAGCATAGAGAAACCCTGTCTACTAAAAATATTAAAAAATTAGCTGGACATGGTGGCGCACACCTGTAATTCCAGCTGCTTGGGAGGCTGAGGCACAAGAATTGCTTGAACCCAGGAGGTGGAGGGCATGCCACTGCACTCCAGCCTGGGCAGCCGAGCCCAGACCCTGTCTCAAAACTAAAAGTAAAAATAGAAATGTGATTGTCAAATGTTTTTCTTCAACATATTTTACTGTGTAAACAAGGGACCCCCATTTTCTCGTCCTTTTTGCCCACCAGCGGTTCCCATGCATTTCTTGGCAGCTGTGTTTCATGACTGCTGCTGGAGAATGCTGTCCCAGGCCAGCTGTCTTCCCCCCACAGACATTACCTGCAAAGGAGCAGGTCTTATTTATGGGGTGCTGTATTCCTAATCCCTCCCCACCCCACTCTGCCTATTGGTCTCATGCAGAGAGAACATCCTTTGGCTATCACCAGCTTTTCATGGTTGAGGGAAAAATGGAACAAATACAATGCTTTTGATGAACTATGAGCTGAGCCAGTGCCAATGATTAAAAATTTTTTAAATTGTGAAACATCACACATTGCTGTTATTTTTTTTTTTTTTTTTTACAAAATTCCTAGTTTCCTTGAACAGAAACTGAACCTTTATGCTTTCCAAGAAGTTATATTTAAACAAAAAAGTTCTTTGAATCAAACTACATTTGCATTCTGTTTCATTTCCTTCATGTCTATGTAGAGGAAATAATTTAGGTCTAAAGAAGGCTGGACTCCCCTGATAAAAATCAGTGGGTTACTTCTTCAACTTCCCCCTTCTCTTTGCCTTTATAAGTGTTGCCTTTGTTTTTTTCTGAATTTCTGAGCCTTCTGTTTTACTAAAAATCTGAGTCCCTAGTGATTTTCGTGGCAGTTTTCAATGGAGGTTATGTTGTTTTTTGCTTTGTTTCGAGGGTTTTTTGTTTTGTTTTGTTTTTTGCATGTGTATGTAAATATCAAAGTGTTTTGTTTGTTTAAATTTTATGTGGGTCTAATTAAAACAGATAGCATTGCAACACAAGAAAAAAAAATCCTGTATCTAAATCAAGATGACTTCCAGTGGCCCATTTATTTTATGGGACGTTTAAGAAATAAAAGTTCCCACAGCAAACTGCGTGTCCTCTTGCATCTGCGGCAGTCCCATTCCACCTGCACCTCTGTTTGTGTGTGATGGCTGGCTGCAGCCTGGGCGTGCTGTCTCCAGTAGTGTTGGCTGAGCCAGGGGTCCAGGAGATCAGGATGTCAGGGCCTGTAAATCCTGGGGCATGTGAGTGTCTGGTGGCCTCTCTGCAGAACATGAGGCGTGTGCCCAGCCCGTGGGGGCTCCACTGGGGCTCCTTAGATGGAGGCTGGCTGGGTCTGGGGCAAGGGGTTCTCTCCCTGGAGTGGTGCTTACTGAGTGGGAGTGAGGGACAGCAGGTGGAGAGATGAGCGGAAAGGGGGCTGTCACCTTTCTCTGTCCTGAGTTGGGGCTCTTGGGGAAAATCAGAGTGCAGTAGTGAGCAGAGCTGGGCTTTATGCCCTGTCCTCCCTCCCTGGTCCTGATTCATGACCTCCCCGTGAGCCACAGCCCCACGGAAGGGACGTAGGATTTGGAGCCTGGTTAGTAACGCTGTTGTTCTGTTGACTGGGCATATGATGTGGGCCAGCAACAATGCCTCGTTGAGCCTCCGTGTTGGCCTTTGTGAAATGGATGTGAAAATCCTCCTCCTGCCTCTTCCACTGAGGTTGTGAGCAGCCCAGGGGGCAGTGAATGTAAAGACATTTGGAGGACTCTAGGAACAATCTAAATAAATGAGGGGCTTTTTTCTGTTATTGTTAGAGAAGGGGACATGGCAGAGACTCAGGCTGTTTTGCCAAAACCCAGGTCGCTTTCCCCAGCTGTGCAGGCTCGTATTCTGCTGAAGCTGCTGTTGGTTATTCCTGGGACCCTGGGCGATGCAGTCACAGGTGAAGGACCCTGGGCGATGCAGTCACAGTGGGGTGGGCTCAGGCTGTGCTTGTTTCAGAGACGATTTTGGCTTGTTCTGCTGTGTTTGTCTATTCCATCTAAAGGTCTTTTGGGGGCTGGATGAGTATGGGGCGCATACCATTGTTCTGTCGTCAGAGCGCCCTGCAGCCATTTCTCGTGAACTCACTCAGCACTTATGCTTCTTGGGTGTCAATGCCACCAAACTACTTGGCTGCCAGGTCCAAGAGCGTGCCAGGCTGTTGCCCAGGGAAAGAAATGGGCAACAAAAAATGGACTAAGTCACAGCAGTCAGGTCCCCGTGGAGGAGGTGCTGGGGAGGCTGGAGTCGCAGCAGCAGCTGAAAGGTCTTTAGAACGTGCTGTGATCTGGTGTCGCTGCCGAGTCATTAGTCCATCTCTACTGAGGATCCCTGTCTGGGGAAGTTGCTGCATCCCAGGGCAACTGTGCTGAAATCAGTTGTCTTATTTCAAAACTTGTGCCTGTGCCCCGAGACCCTCAGCAGGCATCCTTCTTCCTTCATATGGCAGCCCTTCAGATACTGGGGACCAGCCTCTCTTCTCCATCCCTCCTCCTGCCCCGCCCAGCCCGTCCTTCTTCCCTGAACAGGTGGACAAGAAATGTTCATGTGGCAGATGGGGTGTCACGGGGCCCTGACAAGGAAGGTCCACATGAGGGGAGATGATTACACTGGTGTGCTAGACCCAGGGGACTGGTGTGGAAAGGGCAGAGGTGACAGTGACCGTAGCATGGTGGTGGTTGGGGGTCAGTGACAGGCGTCATAGGTGTTTTTCCAAATAGTCGTGTAAGAAAGTTGGGGCTTCATGAGAAGTGTGTTTTTGACCACATTGGTATTGATGTTAAATCCAACCCATCACCCAGTGCTTACTGAATGTCTCTGGTCTTCCTCAGCACCATTTTCTTCTTATTTTCATTTTCTGTTCACGCATAACACCTGTGAAAGCTGATAGGAGTCCTATCAAATTTCTGTCTGTTCCTCCTTGCCTACAGAGAAGCAATCCAGGTTCCTTAGTTTTGTATTTAAGCCCCTTTCTGGACTGACAGGAAGCCTGTTTTCGTTAGTTTTTTTGTTTGTTTGATTGTTTTTGAGACAAGGTCTCTGTCTGTCACCCAGGCTGCAGTGCAGTGGTACAGTCACAGCTCACTGCAACCTCAACCTCCCAGGCTCGGGTGATCCTCCTGCCTCAGCCTCCTGAGTAGCTGAGACCACAGGTGCATGCCATTGCACTTGGCTAACTTAAAAAAAATTATTTTGTAGAGATGGGGTCTCACTCTGTTGCCCATGCTGGTCTCGAACTCCTGGCCTCAAGCAATCCTCCCACCATCACCTCCCAAAATGTTGGTATTTCAGGCGTGAGCCTCTGTGTCTGGCCTTGTAGCCTGGTTTTGATCCTCATCCTCCTGGTGTCTACCTTCTCCTTCCTCTGCTCCTGCTTTTCCTTCCAGGCATCGTGTTGAGGTGCTTAGGGTAGATTCAGCAGCTGCATGGCCTTGTGTGCCCACGTGCTGTGAGCCTCAGTGTCTATACAAGAGGGTGATAGCAGCCCCTGCCTCCCCATAGTCACTCACCAGCGGGGATGGGGTAAGGTGTTGCTCTGGGCTCTGGTTAGGTTGCAAGGCTGAGGGGGCCACCCAGGGTAGGGGACACATGTATTCATGTTTTGGTGCTCAATGAGTAGAGTTTTCTGGTGAATTAGAGGCAGGCAGAATGCATTTGGATGGGGTAAGCCAGAGAATGTGTCACCAAAAGCATGAGACTTGAGCTTGGTCTTGAAAGGTGCACTGGATTCAAAGATGGGAGAAGGCTGCCCAGGTGGATGGAATTCTGTAGACAAAAGCTCACAGGGTTGCGGAATTGAGAAGAGTGTGGCCAGAGTATAAGGTGTGCATTTATAGGATGGGTGAATAAGGCTGGAATAGCACTTGGGAGAAGGCTGGAAGGCCTTGAGTGGCAGGCAGAAGCATCTGACCTTCATCCTTGAGGGAGGCAACAAGGAGCTGTGAGACATTCTGAGTAGGATGCCACCAGGGGGAAGTCTGGGTCTGCAGCGACCTGGAGCAGAGAGGGAAGCAAGCTCTGATGAAATGCTCTGGCCGCAGCTCCTGTGGCTGCCCAGGGAATGGGTGTGTGCAGACAGGCCTGCATAAGACACTTCACAGCTGTCCTGTTAGGCTGTTAGGGAGATTCCTTACTGAGTAATTGCTTCTCAACCAGGAGATAAAAGGGAATATCTTAATGACCTAGAGACAGAAGATCTACCACATGAGGCCTGAACACAATAAGGGAAAATGGCGAGCTGGCCGTGGAGGCTGCTCCAGATGATATGTCTAGTTTTGGGCACACTCATTTCATGCTTCTGGGCGATCCCAGCAATTGTGGGCTTTCTGTCCTATAGGGACATTTTCTGGCCTCCTGAAGGAGTAGGAGTAGGGCTTGTTTTGTTGGATACAATTTTTTGTACATAGCCTTCCTGCATGCCTATATGAAGTGGCGCCAAGGGGAAATAGAGACATGGGAAGAAATACATGAGAAATGGACAGACAACATTGTCCGTTCCTGCCTGCAAGGAGCTTACAGTCTAGCTGGTAAGCTGAAATGAATATGTAATAGCATGAATTTGAATTTGGTTAGTAGTGGAGTTATATCTTCTAAGCATTCAAATTTTTTTCTATTTGGAAATAATTTCAAATATATAGAACAACCCCAAGAATAGAAATAGCACAGTGAATAATCCATGTACCCCTTACCCCAGTTCACCTAATATTAAATTTTACCTCATTTACTTTTTCATTTGTTATCTATCCATAAGACATGTGGACTGATTTTTAAAAATATTTTATAATTTATTACTGTCCTTAGTTATTTCAGTGCTCAAATTTCCTAAGATTTGGCTAGTAGGAGCTACTTCTCTAGCTCCTGTATCCTTATGACATATCTCCATAATGTGTTTTGGTTTGTTTTTGTTTTTTGAGCACTTCCTTATTTTCTTCATCTTGTACCTACCCTACCCTTGCCCTGGAATCACCCAGTTCTCCAAAGTCCCCTGGTTCCTTTTAATGGGGAATGTTATTAGAGACCAAGATGTGGGTACCAGGTGTGCTTGTACCTGCCAGAGCATCTTTGCTTCTAAGTCCTTTCAACAGGCAGACCTAGGAAATATATGCATTTCCGTACACATATTCATACACATACTTACATTGATACATACACATACTCACATATCAGCCTCTTTTAAAAATCAGACATTGGAAATCAGACTTTAAAATAAACATCTTTTAGAAATCATCAGTTCACACCTATACCTTCAATTCCAGCCTGTCCCCAGAGGGTTCTTCTCTGTTCCGTGTTTCTGTGTCCCTCCTTCCACAGCGAGAACTCTGGCTCCCAGCAGCATTAGCACATGTACTCACTGGCTAAATCCTGTAATATGTCTAAGATAGTTTCAGAATGGTCTCATCCACATCACTGCAAAAAACAAAGCTACTGAAAAGAGTTCAGCATTTGTTTGTAGTTCATCCCTCACTCCAATCCTACCCAAGACTGAGAGTATGTCGTCAAATATTCATGAGCTATTTGAATTAGTTTTGTCTTTCTCCTTCAGTCTGGTTATGGTATTCATTTGAATTACAGATTTGTTTGTTTCAAATCACTTTCAGTTTAGGGGTATTTTCCCTTCATCTCATCCTTACTGACTTAATTTTTAAAAATTTAAGGTGAAGAACATTAACATGGTTCCCAAAGTCAAAACTATAGAAAAAGGTATACTTAAGAGTGTCACTCCAACCTTGATTCCTTTGGCCTAATTCATTCCCATCCCTTGTTTTCTGCTCTTTCTTTTAGATACACCTGAGAGAAATATGCTCCTTTTATTTCCCAGTTTTTCGTGTGTAAAGGGTAGCACACTTTATTGCTTTTTTTTTTTTTTTCATCCAGGCACTTCTTATTTATCTTTTGATCAGACACACCATAACCAAAATTCTGGTTTGGAACAAGAAGACTCCTAGCATATAACAGTTGTTGGATTTTTAGTCACTTGCAAAAGTCTGTTGGTTTCTACCAATAGCTTTATTAAATAAGCTTTGTAAAACAATCTCTTAGTAATAGGATTCTTAGAATATGATGAATTCTTATGCAAAGTGGAGTAACTTTTTTCCCATCATTGCAAAGTTTGATAGAAGGTGCCTCGGACTTGAGGTGTGATTTTCAGGATCAGAGGGTCAGTTGTGATGGGAATGGGTTATTCTCAACTGAGCAGATAGTGTACAGGATTGGCAGTGGGTTTGCCAGCTCATTGCGATCACTCTGAGCCTTGGGACCCATGTGTCCTTCTATGTGTCTCCCAATCCTAACGGGTTTGTGGCAGCTTAGAGCCCATTCACAGCTAGTGCTAATTTTTCTCCCTTTGATAATTTGAGAAAGCTCTTCCATTTGCCTTTTGAATGTCTCTCTTATGTCTGGATTCAACAACTATTATACATTTGAACTTCACGTTGATACCACTCTTTGTGTTTTCAAAGCCTTACTGAATGTCTTGCTTAATTCCTGTGAAACAGCGGAACAGGTATTGTTGTGTCTGTTTGGAAGTGAGGAAACTGAAGCTCAGAACACAGCAGTGACAGAGCTAGGACTAGAAGCCAGGTCTTCAGACGAAGAGCCCAGAGTGGTGTAGGAGGGCCAAGGATTTATCTGGGTTTATCACAGGGACTCTACCTCCCTGCCCCCTTCCTCCATCCTGCCCTGTGGCCAACAGATTTCTACTGTATAAACCTCACCTCTGTCCACATCAATAAATAATACCTTCCTGCTAAATATTCAGCCATTCAGAACTGTCTAAAATCAGTTCAGAGGGTCTATATCAGCAGCTTTGTTATATGAGCTTTTGTGATAGTGACCATCATTGTGAGTGGGCCATAAACCAGGACTTGGCAGGGTTTTTTACTCCTAGGAATTTTAGTCAGAGTAGAGTTTTACTTATGCCTGCTTACCTGTGTCCCAGCAGTGGAAAATGTACAACAGTGATGCAGCTTGTTAGAAATGGGATTTTTATATTTGTAATGTTAAAAAGGCATAAAATATTACAAAAGAAAATTAGGAAGATAGTAAAAGAGTTACCCTGAGAAGCTTAAGGACGTTCATTTTATAATGTATGTAATTATACATTATAAAATGTATATAATTATATAATTTAAAAATAAAATATAATTATATAATTATAATACATTATAAAATGTATATAATGTATGTAATTATGCATTATAAAATGAATGTCCTTAAGCTTCTCAGGGTAACTCTTTTACTATCTTCATAATTTTTTTCCCAAGAACCCATATATGATATGGACCCAAAGTAAGAATACCTTGTTTGTATGTAACCATCTGAATTTAGTATTCTAAGTTCGGAATCAAAACATGCAAACAGATTTGTACTAGGATACTTTTCTGGTGAATAATAGAACTGAAGGTCCACTTTTCTTTGAGATGTATTTAAGAAAACAGATTATATAATTCATTTTCCTGCAGATACATGACATGCCAAGCCCTCTTACTGTTGCTCAGGGATGTGATTCTGGATTGAGTTGTGATTTTTTCAGAGTTCAGAGAATCATTTGGTGAATTTACCTAGAGCTGAGTTATGTATTTCCCATGTGTCAGGAAACCCCGGAGGCCTAGAAACCCCAAACCATTCTCAGGGTGTGGTACATGTGAATGGCGAGACACTGGAGTCCTTACTTCTTTGAGACAGCAGGTGTTCTTTGGGCTGGGAGGTCAGAGCACGTGTCTGGGCTCAGATCGGCTCCTGCTCACTCTCTAGATCCACAAAGCCTGGCCTCCTTCCTTATTCACAGGGGGTGGAGTGGAGACTGACAGCCCTAACAGGACCAAGGATAGGTTCCAGGGAGTCTGGAAAGTGGGGTGATTTAGAAGCTATGAGAGGGATCCTTTCTTTTTCTTTTCTTTTTTTTTTCCTTTCTTTCTTTCTTTTTTATTTTTATTTTTATTTTTTTTGAGATGGAGTCTTGCTCCGTTGCCCAGGCTGGAGTGCAATGGTGCAATCTCAGCCCGCCGCAACCTCTGTCTGAGTGGGATTCTTTCTAATTGTGGGCAGAGGGTGGCACTTGGTGAGGATTCCAGTTTCTTATCTGAAGTATTAGTGTCACTGGGTGTGCAAGCATCTGTTCAGCCCCTCGACAGCCTAGAGTTAAGAGACGGGTGTGAATATGGGGTTAGTTTTGTTGTTGTTGTTATTATTATTATTATTATTTTGGAGACAGCGTCTTGCTCTGTTGCCCAGGCTGGAATGCAGTGGCATGAACTTGGCTCACTGCAACCTCTGCCTCCCAGGTTCAAGCAATTCTCTTGCCTCAGCCTCCTGAGTAACTGGGACTGCACCACCATGCCCAGCTAATTCTTTTTATTTTAGTAGAGATGGGGTTTCACCATGTTGACCAGGCTGGTCTCAAACTCCTGACCTCATGATCCACCCACCTTGGCTTCCCAAAGTGCTGGGATTACAGGCGTGAGCCACCGTGCCTGGCTGGGGTTAGCTTTATGAAAGCAGGTCACTTCCCCATTCGTGGGTTGGGTTGGGTTGAGTTGGGTTGGGTTGGCTTATCGAGGTAGGACCCTGAAAGAGACATGCTGGCTTTGACTCGGAACAAAGGCAAGAAGGCAGACAGAAGTAACCTGTGTCAGAATCTCAAGGTCTGTGTGCAGAAACTGCATTGCTGTAACCTCACCTGCTTCCTTGGCAGCTTTTTACTAAGTCTCTAACTCACATATCTTGGCTCCTATAACAACTCACGGTTGGAGATGCAGATGGTTCCTCATATATAAAAATTGGGTAATCGTCCACCTGACTCTCAGGCTTGCCTGAGTATGTGGGGTTTTGTATATATGCATAGTCAGAGGCTTGCACACATGGTGGAAAGTAGCATAAACACCCCACAATTGGGAACATTTACCTGTCTGCCAGATCTTTTCCAGGGCAGGTGTTCCTATAAATGGGCAGAAAATCATATGCCTCTTCCCCTCCTGCAGGGAAGACTTTTGGGGAAGACCATGACAAGTAGCAGGGGTTAAGAAAAACAGTAATGCTTCATCAGTGCTCGAGTTCCCATCTGGGAAGGGAGAACTGGGTTGTGGAGGGGGTGGGGACTGCCCTGACTCCATGCACTGCTCTGGCCCGAACCTGCAGGTGATGGGTAGAGGAGCCTAGTGTGGGCACCAGCAAGGACTGCTGCCTGCTCAGAGCTCTTGGTTTGGACAAAAGGGGTAGCACACAATATTAATGCAAAGTTTGTCCAAAAGCATTGAAGAAGTTCTAAACTTGGTACTCTTTGACCACAGCTTGGCCCATTTGGGTCCCTCCTCTTTGAGGAGGCTCTGGGGAAAGTGGGGCGTCTCTGAGTTCAGGCCCCTTGTTGGGGGGTGTCAGAGGCCTGCCATGACAGCACATGGTGTTTTGGGCCTAGGCCCCTTGAGATCGCTGTCATCGAGGGGAGTTCATTTTCTAAGAAATGATGCATGTGTGTTGGTGTGGGCTCTGCGACTCTGACCCCCATAGTCTTGCTTTGGAAGACACTGTCTTCTGTCCTGTCCAAGTGTGTGGCTCCATTGCTGTGCTCATGTGACTATACTCAGTGCTGTGTGTCCTGCCCACAAGACTGTTGTGCAGTAGGGCAGTGGCTCAGGATGCAGGTCCCCAAGGATGTCCTGATATGTGCTTGTCCTCTTTGCCTCCTTCAGAGAATTCTCAAAGGAAAGAGAGAAGGCAAAAGCACGGGGAGATTTCCAGAAGCTCCGGGAGAAGCAGCAGCTGGAGGAGGATCTAAAGGGCTACTTGGATTGGATCACCCAAGCTGAGGACATCGATCCGGAGAATGAGGAAGAAGGAGGAGAGGAAGGCAAACGAAATAGTATGTAGCGCCTTTCCTGCCCCTGGCTAGACAGACCCAGTGTGCGGTTCAGACGCCTAGCAGTAGGCCTTCCTCGACTCTGACCCAGGCTGTGAGTGGGACAGCCTCCTCCCAGCCATCTGGTCCCTTCTGCCTGCACACATCACGGAGAGAACAGGTGCATTGGTGCTGACTCTGGATTTCTGCCTGAGGTTTGGGGTTTAGAGTTGTATTTGGTAAGGTGGCTTTATAGCCAAGGAAGGTCAAACGGACCCACTGTTGGCCTGGGAAATTCAGTAAGCGCATTTCTGTGCGGGCACAGGGGTGATGAGACACATATTCTTGTACCACAGGAGAAGAAGCTGTGGTTTCCCTCACCTCAGAGTGAACAGTGTTATTGGACAAGAATTTGAAGTGCAGGGTTCCTCTTGACTCTTACTCTTAGGCCACCTGACATGGCTCCTACATGTGCTATTCATATGAAGCCATATGCTTAGCCCATCAGGGGCTGGGAGGAAACCGGCTCACCATTCTAGGCAGGTGTTAAGGGGCACGTGAGTCAGTGACAGCTGCTTTGCTGTCACCCATCGACACCCCACACTGTGACACTAAGCACCCTAGAGCACCTTCTGCAGGAGGCAAGGCCTGAGAACTCAGTCCATCACTGACATTAATTGCCATTGTCAACCACGGTGTCTCTTTCACTGCATACTTTTCCCACAGATGCGCTCTTATTCTCTCTGGGGCCCTTTGTGCCTCGGGTCAGAGTGGAAACTGGAATCCAGCAATGCATTTGACTGAGATGTCTGTGACTTGCTTCAAATCTAGAAGAGTTGGATAGGAAGGACCAAGAACGTACTTCAAGTGCACATGTCCATTGAGAGGCCTGGGGACCCGAGGCCGGCCCTACGTTGTAGAAGATGGCCGAGCAAGTCCCTGCTTGAGCAGAGCGCCTTGGATGTTTTGCTCTCAGCAAGGCCTGTTGCTGGGTACAGGGGAAACCCAGAGCTGGAGAGGATGTGGAGTGCTGCCTCCTAGGGAGAGACAGGCCTGTCACACTAAATGCAGCCCTGGGGAGCAGAGCTGCAGGGCACACATAGAGGGCAGGCACCGCCGACGAGGGATCGAGGACAGGGCTGGAGGGAGCATTTGGCCTGGGCCCTGAAGGATGGATGGATTGCAGGTGTGACCATTCAGTGTCAGAAGAAGCACCCTGACCCAGGGGACTAGCGTGAGGGAGGCGTGGAGGTGGACAAAGGCCAGGTTTCAGGGAGGAAGCAGTGGGCCCTTCAGCTGGAGCACAGAGGGTATGAAGGTCGGGGTGAGCTGCCATAGGAAGGGTGGGTGAGGTGCAATTGTGCCTCTTCTGGAGGTTGTGGAGTGTGTAAGTGGGGGCTGAGAGACCCCTGGTGGAGAGGCTTCTTGACTGAGAGGGCCCTTACCTTTCTTCAAGCCTGGGCTCTGTGCCTCCATGGGGAGGGAGTGTGTTCCGTGATCTCAGATGCCCTGGCTGGTGCAAACCAGTGTGCTGACTGGGAGTGGGCAGGGTCAGGCCTCTCTTCTCTCCCTCCCTGCTTCTTGCCAGGCTCAGGAAGGGGCCAGGACTTTAGCACCTGAGGATCAGAAGACTGAGGGAGGGTTTCTAGAGCTAACTGTTTGCTGAATGCAAGTTCAGAGTTTATAAATAGACATTCATGTGAGTCTCAGACTCAGCGATGTGCCTATGAAGTGATCAGATGTAAGAGTGTCTGCCTGTCCTCTGCACAGCTCTCCCCTTGGCAGTTGAGCCAACGTGAACCCCATGGCTTTCGTGGAGCTTCTGCACCTGCAGTATGGCAACAGGCCATGTAGGTGCAGCTTGGAGATGCCTGCACCGCTCTTTTCCCCTTCACTTGCAAACTGTAACTCAGATGCTGACCTGCCCCATCTCCCCTAAACCCAACATGTTATTTGTAAACGAGAGGAGGTATGGCCCCTTTTTCTCAGCAGAGTGTCTTTCTTTGCTAGTTTAGCTGTGTCCCCCAGGGAGCTGAGTGAGGCCTTCTTACAGGCCAGTGGCCTTTCCTCTGTTTATTTCTCCTCCTCTAGAAGTAGACAAGGTTTCGTGTTCTAGTGTTGCTAACATTAGTCGTGGTAGAGTTGTTTATAGGGCCTATGATTTGAGGATTAAGGGTTTTCATTGGATTTAAGGTGATATCTTGAGGGTTAACCATTTTATCTCAGCCCAGCATTTCCTATGACCTATCACTGTAAAAACCTGATGATGACAGAAATCAATGACTCTGCCTTTCAGAGAACTTGCCATGAGGGGAAGATGGAGAAGGAGTGGCTTAGTGTGAGAAGCTGATCCCATTGTTAAGGCCCAGCACTCTGCTGTGTGAGCCCAGGAGGGCGCGATGATTCTGGCTGGTGGGAGTGGGCAGGCTGGGGCGATGTGAGGAAGGCTCCGTGGGAGGAGCAGCCCTGGGCGGCAGAGGTTGGGGGTGGGGGCTTTTTCAAGCTGGGGAAATGGCACAAACAAGGTGTGCGAAGTGACAAATATTCAGGGCCCTTAAGTGCATTGCTCAGTAATATAATCTAGGAAAGAAACAAAACCTGTTTAAAAGCCTTGTAGATCTTCAGAATTCACTCTCACTGGGGCTCCCAAGCCCATAAAGCTGCAATGTGTCTTGGGAACATCAGCAGTATTGTTTCTGCTATGCACCGTGATGTGTGACTCAAAATGATTAACTAGCTTAACGTTTGATCCAGAATAGCAAATATTTCTGTGGTGCGCCCTTGTTCTTTATGGAGCTCGTTTTGCCAGGTGCTGGGGTTTCCTGTGGAGTGAGGCTCACAGTGCTTCCCGAGTCATCAGATTTCCAGAGCCTTGCTGATGAGGGTTTTAAATAAAGACAGAAATCTTGGCTGTGGAGGCCATGATGGGATTTAGCTGACTTGAGAGCACCAAGTCTCCTCCTCCTCTGAGGAGAGAACCTCTCTGATCACAGACCTCAGCAGCCCAGACCCTCTGGAGGAGACAGCACTGTTGAGGTTTCCCTGGGGCCTCCTGTGGCTGCCAGCCATTTTCTTCCTGTCACAGCCAGAAAACCACACAAGGAGAGGGTTTCAGTGAGGCCCACATGGTCCTCCTCACCAAATAAACAGTCCTGGATTCACCACATGCACATGCCAGGTCTGGGGCTGTCTCTGTGCATCTGATTAGCAGGCAGTAGAAATGTGGGTGTTGCCAGTGTTACGGTGTCTGCATCCTCCCTGGGGGTGTGAGATCACCCCACGTGCCTTCCACTCCAACCCTGCTCCTCTGTTACCTCTTGAGAGGAGGATGGCGCAGGGCCCGGGCTCCTGACTTTGTCCATAATGGCTAAGGATGCTAATTCAACTGAGAGCCCTTTTCAGCTGGGTCCTGGATGTGAGTTGAGCAGTTTCCTCCCAGACCTTGAGGATTGAAGTGACAGTGTGAGAAGAAATGCTTCCTGATAGCCGAGCCTCAGCCTAGATGAGCAGAAGTGGGTGTAGGAAGTCATTAATAACAGCAGATGTCTGTGAGCTCACAGGAGGCAAAGGCTTGGGCTGGAGGGCATCTTGATGCCCCTTCTCCGGATGTGGCTGCAATGGAGTTTTGTGACTTGGAATTTGGACTTTAGTATTAGGCAAATTACTCAACCTCTCTGGACCCCACTTTCCTTGTCTGCAAGAAGGGGATAAAGATATATCTCCCCATGGGGCTGTTGTGACAATTGAACGTTCTGTGACTGCTAGGAGTAGTCATAGTTGTAGTATGTGCTGCTGCTGTTTTCATCAGACACCAGTAAAAGTTGACCTCAACAGAATTTTAGGGGTATAAATTTAGGGGGTACAAATACCGTTCTGTGACATGGACATATTACATAGCGGTGAAGTCTGGGCTTTTAGTGTAACCATCACCCGAAAAGTGTACATTATACCCAGTAAGTAATTTCTCATCCCTCATGCCTCTTCCACCCTCCCACCCTTCTGTGTCTCCAATGCCTATTATTCCATCCACACCCTATGTCCATGTGTACACATTATTTAGCTTCTGCTTATCAGTGAGAATATGCAGTATTTGACTTTCCTAAACATAATATTTTTGAAGGTTCTCCTAGACCGCTAACCAGCCTCAGGGTGGGGCCTCCCTCTTAGGACCATTGCCCTGTGCTTTTCTGTTCAGAAACTATAAAGTTCTGAAGTATTGATGGAAAACAAATCTGTTAACTAGGTCACTTTCGAGATAGGGCAGCACAGCTTTCAGGCTCTTGAAGTCCATTTCTAGTTTGGCGGTGCTTGCTGTCAGGGAACAGATGTCAAATCAAGTACTTGGAGATGCGCTCACATTATCTTTTCTCTCTGATCTGCTAAATGTCACTGCATGCGTCTGCGATGCCCAACACTGGCTGTACGTTATAATCACCTGGGGAGCTTGGATGCTTCTTGATGCCATACTCCACCCTCTAAGACTCTTGATTAATCTTGGGGTGGGAGCCAGGGGTGGCTCTTTTTCATTAAGGTTCCCTGGGGATTCTAATGTGAAGCTAGGGTTCAGAACTCCTGAGTCCAGGATGCTATCAGTGGCTGAATATCACACTGTTCCAGGCATTCACTTGAAAGAAGAGGAGAGGCAATCAGGCCTCTAACTGAGCTGTCTGGTGACTGGTGACAGGTAGCTCCAGCTTTGTGCATTCATAGAATATTTAAAATGTCAATTTCATAAATTTGCTATTAGAAAGCTGGTGTTACACAATTAACTGAATGGACAAAATTCCCTTTGAAGTGAGTTCCTGAGCATTTGGTAAATTTTCAAGGATAATTTATTTAACTTTTTGCTGAGCTTCAAGTTTCTTAAGAAACCCTGCCAAATCTCAAAGTGATTTTTTTAGACATATGCAGCTGCTTCTGAGTTAACAATGGAGTTTTGCTAGGACCATTAAAATCTGGAAGCCTAAAATTCTATTTTAAACTCTTCTCATTGTCAGTGATTAGTCTTAAAAAAAAAAAGCATTAAAAATGAAATCATTTTAAAGGGAGCTCATTCTAAAATTCTGGCCAGAAAAGCAGGGCAATTTTATTGTAGGAACTATTAATGATTAATAATTCCTCTAAGTAAAGATATTTGATGCCCAAAGAAAGGGAGGGGCATACCTGAAACTTCATCTCTGACCACAAGGGCAGCCTCTCTGTCTTCTGCTTCTTCAGTGGTCCTGGAGGCTATGGGCACTGCCCCTGCCTGCCCGGGGACTCTGCCACCCTGGGGCTTGGTGGAGCAGGTTGCCCTAGCTGCCTCTCTTTTGCATGTGCTACCTAGTTGCCTCTTACTGCAATGTTTGCTTTGGGGGTGGACAGAAAACCAGGACGTTATAGCTGGTTGCAAGCATAAGGCATAGCAATTTGCTGGTCCTGTTTTGAAAGACTGTGTTTTGAAATTTTGATTTACAAAACTGCTTTCATCACCATTGAACTACCTCAAGGCACAAGTTCAAAATGGAAGATACTCAAGTAAAAGCTGTAAAGCAAACAGCAGCAGTTAGAGTGGCATACGGTAAATATGCGTCCAGGTCAAGAGCCCTCACTGGAGAGGCAGCTGGAAGTGCTTTCACTGGGAAGTGGGAGGGCTGACTCAGGGGCTGGCCCTAGGGTCAGTGGCTGGACACTGTCTCCATTGGGGTGGCACTGGGAGTAGTTGTCTGGACAGGCAGACTCTCTCCACAGGGGTGATAGAAAGCAGTGGTAATTTCTAAAAGTGCCTGCATGTCTGCCATCACCTTCAGCCTCCTAAGAGCTGATGGGAGCTGGACTCAGGGACTGTTGCCCCACTGTGGAGACAAGGAGTGGGTACTCCAGCCAAGTTTGCAGTCTCAAATCAGGGTTGTTTTATTTGTTTTTAATACATTTTAATTATGGAAGTAATATTTGCCTACATAAAAAATTCATGTAATTTCAAAGTATATAAAGTAAGAAAAAAATTCTCTCTTCCTTCTCCTTAAAGAGAGGCAGACTTAGAAGTTTGGGGCCTCTACTTCCCCACCTCACTGCACATAATACATGACACAGACCGCATGCATATAGCTTCCACCCTAAGATGCCCAACACAGGTATTTTTCACTGAACCATGTACCACAGATATTTCCCATGTTTTTAAAGCAAAATGTTGGCTCTTTTCAATAAATTGCCATTATAAAAACTGCTACAATGGACTATGCACTCTACAGCACGTGGACCTCTACTTTATAGAGGTCTCTCCACCATGAGACCATCAGCTCCATGGGTGCAGCAGGAATAGGGTCTGTTTCTGCCCTCTGTTGTGTGGCTGCACCCAGCACAGTGCTTGTCCCATACATGAGCATGCCATTACTTCCTTCTTGAATGAAAGAACATAGAGTAATAATAACTAGCATTTGTCAGGTGCTTTCTGTGTGTGAGACACTGTTCCAAAGGCTGTGGGTGAATACATTCATTCTTCTTCACACAACTCTGTGAGACAGGAACTTGACAGATGGGGAAACTAAAGCACAAAGCAGTTCAGTAGCTTCCCAAGGCCATGTGACTTACGTGGCAAAGCTGGGATTTGAACCCAAGCTCTGCCACAGTCTGCAGGCTAACTATCATTAACCCCTGCAAACACATGCCCCTGTGTCTGCGTGCTCGTGTTCATGGTTTTGTGGGAGAGGATACAAGAAAAGGGTCTGCTGTGTCAGAAAGGATGCACATTTTAGGAACGTGAGTATTCTGCCTACCCATAGTGTGCAGGTGTCTGTGCTGCCCATGCCCTTGCTTACTCCAGCATTCCTGCTGCTGTCTCACACTGCTTCGCACAACCCTCCCCTAGAGCACAGGGTCCGTACTCTAAAGACTAGCTGGCTTAGAGTGATCATGGAATCATGGGGCTGCAAGGGGTTAAAGATCCTAGAGTCATTTCTCTCGTGACCTGGTGGTCATGGGAGAGTCGTAGTGATGACAGTAGTGGTGGTTGATTGTGCCTTGCCAAAGCTGGGCACATTGCTTTTATTACTGTCTCCACTGTTCACCTCTTACAACAACCTTACGCAGTACAGGTCCAATTATTATTGACATCTTACAGGTGTGGAGGAAACTAAGGCTTCACAGTATCAGGTAACCTGTCCACAGTCTTCTGACATGGAAGTGACAGGGCTGGGGTTAGACCTGGCCTGTCAGAGTCCAGAGCCCACCTTTTGAACTCCCACCTGTCCTGTCCCATATGGTAGTGCTGTTTGGAATCACATATCCAGTCTGTACAGGGCTCCTGACTCCCCCTAAAGTGCCTTTTCCTTAATACCCTACTTAGATGGGAAGCCAAACCCTGGAAACCTTTATCTAGCATGGGTTAGCTGGTTGTTGATTTAGAACAGGTTCTTAAAGACAGGTGTTTGTGTAATAGCTGTGGAAAGGGCACTTCCTCTCCGCTGTTCTGATGCTGAGCTGGATTCCTAGCAGGAGGGGTCTGGGGCAGGCGGGCGTCCATTGCGTGAGGCAACCTGGCTGGCAGGGCTGGCCGCGTGGGGCCCTGGTTTGGCTGCTGTTGCTGCCCTCTGCTGCTTCATAATGAAATTGCCTGTGTTCAACCTGAAGGGGTCACAGTGGCCGACTTGCTTAAAGAGGATAAGAAGAAAAAGAAGTTTTGCTGCTTTCGGCAACGCAGGGCTAAAGATCATGGTAAATTGCTGAGACTGAGCTTTCTTTTTCCGCAACATCTCTGATACCTTTTCCTTGCACATAGGCATTGTGTGAAGTGCATGTGCCGTGTGGTGTGTTCAGAAGATGCCTATATTTTAATTGCTTGATTTCTTTCTTCTTGTCTTTTTCCAAAATAATGTGCCCTTACCAAGATAGCATTGCAGTTTTCTTTTTGTTTGAACTGTACCTTATAAAGAAGCAGCTGAACCAACTCAAAAAATGTACTTGATTCGGCATGAATATTCTTAGACTGGAAGGCAGACTTTTAAAATACTTTTCCCCAAATGATTTTTTTAAATTTAAACCGTTTAGAAATTCCAATAATGTTATTTGATTGATTTTTTTTTCTCCAGGCTACATGTTTCAAATTGCTTCTCTGTCTTTTAGTCTCTGGCTACTTTGCCCAGGACTATGCCAAAGCTAGTAGTGGCAGCTTTAAGAATGAAATTAGCTGGATGCAGTGGCTCACACCTGTAATTCCAGCACTTTAGGAAGCCGAGGCAGGAGGATCACTTGAAGCCAGGAGTTTGAGACTAGCCTGGGCAACAAAGTGAGACCCTGTGTCTACCAAAAATTGTAAACAAAGAAGCAAACAAAAAAATCAGGTGTGGTGGTGCATGCCTATAGTCCCCAGCTACTTGGGAGGCTGAGGCAAGAGGATTGCATAAGCCCAGGAGTTCGAGGCTGCAGTCAGCGATATTGCGCCATTACACTCCAGCCTGGGTAACAGAGTGCGATCTCTGTCTCTTAAAAAATCAAAATAAATAAAAATAGACTTCAGGGATGCAAAGATTTGGGGGCACTTGCCTTTGAAAGTGAGAATGGGCTCGTGTGGGAAAGTTATATTTCCAGATATGTCCTAAAATGATGCTAAACATACCCTTCCTCAGAATCCCTGGAGTAGCTGTCAGGCCCATCCCCAGGCAGACAGTTAGGTGAGCAGCTGGCTCCCTGCCTTGCTCTGCCCAAGTCATGGCAGTGGTTCGACAGCAGCACAAAGCTTTGCCTATGCACACCAGCACAGTCGACCCAGTTCTGCCACCAGGATCGGCCCTGGTCACCTGACTCTGGGGAAAGTCTGTTTAAGGAGATTCAGACAGCAGGGACGTGAAGCCAACAACTAAGGGAACAGAGGGGACACACTGTACTCTTTTCTTTGAAGTGGCCTCTGGCCCCATGGGAATGCTGAGCTGAGAGGTTATGGGACGCAGATGGGAACAACCCGTGGATATCTGAAGAGGGTTATATTAGAGTCTAGGTCTCATCAGAAGGCCTAAAAGTGAAAAGGAATTAAGAGATTATCAGATATAAGCCCTTGTCATTCAGCACGTTGTGGACCCCAAAGGAGGGAGAAGAGGAGGTGGAACTTGCCTGAGGTGGGACAGTGAGTTAGGGGCAGAGTTGGGGCTGCCTTTTTTATCTGTAGCATTCACGGAAGGTTTATGAACAGGAGGCTGGGCTTGATGCAGCACCTGAAGGTGTCTGCAAGAAGAATGGCCTTCAGCTAAGCAGGAAATAGTGTCATGGACATAAGAAAAAACATCTTTAAAGACTGACATAGGAATATAGCTCTGGAGAGGTTACCAAAAGGAGATAAATGATTTCTGTCCCCAGAAAAGAAAACACCCCTCCTTGGTTCTGCCTTGCTGAATGCAGGCTTGGGCCTTGTGATTCTTTAAGGATTCTTGTGCCTTCTCCATTGTCTTTCTGAGATCTGCAGGGAGAGGAAGCAGGCTGACACATTTAAGGAACTTTATTTTGAGTGGGAATGGCTTTTTATTGACTGAAATACCTGGGGACTCAGGAAGGACTCCGACCCTGCTGGCACCAGGTGGGGCACGAGCCCTCATATGGATGCTGGGCTGCCCCTGTCCCTGAACACGCGGAGATAGTTATTGTCTGGGCATAATTCTTGCTTGAGACATGGAAACCTTGGTCTGGCCTTGACCTCCATTCTCCAAGAAGAGCCTGGCTTCTTTACAGCAGCAAGAGGCTGTTACTCTGTGGTGGCCTAATGTGTCTCTACTAGCATGTGCATGTGCCTTTAGGGGGTGTGTGGGCTTCTTCTGGATTTGGCAGGCCTGTACGTCATGGTACTGCTCATGTTTGTCATGAAAATAAGATGAAAACATGAGGTCTAGGTGTCAGGTACCCTGTCCCCTAGGAAGGCAGCCACAACTCAGCCACTGCTCAGTTGTCCAGCCTCACCCCCTACCCTTACCTTTGAAAAGAATGAGAAGCTTTAGGCTGCTTGGAGGTGGAAGGAAATGCTAAAATAAATTCCTGAGTGTGCAAAAAAGTCTGTCCTGTGGAGAACAGAGGAGTGAGGCTCTGAGGCCAAAGACATCTGTGAATGAGGCTACTAATGGGACAGGTTCTAGACGAGGCTGGAGGGCTCTGGGCTCAGTTTGATGTGTGGCAAGCCTTCCCTTCGGGGTGCCTTGACTGGAGGACTGAGGCTCTCCTGTGACGCCCTGAGGCCTCTGGGGAGCTACTGCTTCCTGTGCTGCACCCCATTCTCTGGGACATTCTACATGCAGAGCACTTGGACTCAGTTCTCCAGTGCAGGCTGCTGGCTGGACCCCTGGCTTCCCTCCTGAGGGTGGTGGGCAGGGGCTCACTTCTTGTGCCCTCCCCTCCTTGCAGAGCTGGGGGAATGCAAGGGAAACCCCCTGGTTGTTGGTAGTAAAACCAGCCAGCATGTGGGCGTTTCTGCCTTCCTGCAGTTATAGCAGGTCAGAGGTAAATGGATCTTAGAGATGATACTGTCCTACAACTCATCTTACAGATCTGGTAGCCAAGCATAGGGGAAAAGAGGCACTTGTCCCATTGTCACCTGATGATAAGCACCAGGCTTTCCTGACATTTCTTCCATCATTTTTGACCTCATCAGCCTCCATCACTGAAGGTTGATCTGAGATTTTGCTATACCTGTTAATGGTGAACATAATTTTGAGGCTGCCTGCTTAGGACCCACACATAGACTCATTTGCTCTGTGTGTATGTGTGTGTGTGTGTGTGTGTGTGTGTGTGTGTGTGTGTGTGAGAGATTTGCCTCCAAATTCACAAGCCTGACACATTTGGCTGAGACGAATGTCGTCCTTCAGCATGAGAGTAGATGGATAAATGTCTACACCTTGGTGAAAATGCTAGTTGTGCTTACCTGAGAAGCAGCAGATTTCCCTGGTTTACTGTGTGTGGCATTGCCCATGATAACATCTGGCCCAGTGCAAGATCTTAAAGAGAAGCACCATGACCCACATCCACAGAGTGCTCCAAGTAGGGGCCTGGCCCGGCTGCCCATGCTGCAAAGGCCTTGGAAACTCTAATTACAGTCTGGGACATGCAGGGCTGCTGTCTGCCACCATCCTCTCACCCCCAGTGGCACCCAGGCCCCCCGCCACCAATCTCAGTGCACCACACTGTAAGCCTAAGGGTCTGCCCTGGAGCTCTTCCCAGAGATCCCAATGCCTGGAATAGATTGCAAAATATAGGCCTTGAGCTTCTCCAGATTTTCAGCAGGCAAATTGCAGTGCCAGCATCCTCTCACAGGTCACAGGCTTTCCTAATGCTTGGTTTTTCCCAGACTCACTGAAAGTAGTTTTTAAATTTATATAAAAAATAAACTTCTCTAACAAAGCTCTAACATTCCAGTTTCCTGAAATGTGTCAGGGAAGAGGCTTCACAGCTTGTTCATGTGCAGATGGCCCCTGGTGCTTATTTCTACAGTAGGGGACTGGCACTTGTCGGCAATGTGGGGAGGTCTGAGGGGTCTGCCTGCACCTCTAATAAGGCCTAGCCACTTGTCAGCAATTAACACTGAATCCCTGCTGAAGGGGACAAGGCCATCACCTAAATGGGGCAGTCACAATGCTATGGAAGCCAGTTAGGAGAAGCCCATGTATTCGGGTAATTTGCCCATGGCTTTACCTTCATGAGTTTGTATGACTCTTTCTGTCTGGATTTTTATAAAAGCCCAGTCGTCACCATTGCAGCCTGATTTTTGTGCTGTCGTCGGTCACTGAGCTGATATCCTGTAAGTGATCTGGTTATATGCCAGATTTTGAGTGGTTAATAAAGGTCATCAGAATAGTAAACCAGCACTGGTAGATAATAGACTCGTTTGGCTTTTTGGAACTTGTTGATTTGTGGAATTTTAAGTACATAACACCAAAATGTATACCAGTGAAACCACAGTACATACTTGAAAAGAATGGTGAGTGGAAGTTAGGAGAGATTTCTCAGTGTCAGCTGTGTGTCCCAAGGCATTTTGGCGAGTTCTGTCCTCTGAGAAATCAAGAGTTTGCTCACGTATTCTCAGAAGCCCCTTCTGGTTCTAACAGTCTATGATTCTTTTCTTTATTTTTTAAAAACATAGATGAGATCCTATTGGGGCTAAAGGAAGGGAAAGTCATATTAATTTTTTAACATTAAAAAAATGAATGCCTAATGCAAGTGAAGGGTAAAATGCTTTATTTTTAATAAATGAGGTCTTTGTTATACCCACTGAGCCTGATCTTTTCAAATATTTTTGGAAAAGGATAAGTGTGATATTTCTTCTGGAAATATTTTGGAAAAGGATCCTGTGATAGGGAGTAAGTGGCTGGAGAAGGTAGGCTGCCAGGGCCCTGGTCAGAGTGCGTTTCCTCTGCCCAGATTTAGGGGCTGGATCAAGGGCTGTTTCCAGGACCAAATGAGGTCTCCAATTTCTAGCGTAGGCACTGTCCTCTTTCTTTCCGTCTGCCTCTGCTCATCCTCAGCCCTGGCAACATCTTTTTGGGATATATTTATTTATTATGTGCCTGTGGCTCTTTAGGTGTCAAACAACTATGACAGGAGAAGTTGCTATGCCTACAGTAGGCAAAGTTAGACAATAACTCAGCTAAAGACAGAGAAAATACAAACCAAGAATGATGGCCAAAGCTGATTCAGAGGTATGGAAGATGGCTCACACTAGATGCGTCTGTGCAATGATGAAAGTGGCCAGGGCAAAATGACACTGGATTGGTCGCTTTGCTTCCAGGGAGCTCCAGGAGAGCTTTTCTGAGATGATGGAGTTAACATGTGTGGGCCTCACTGATCATCCAGCCCTGGGGACCCAGCACTCCGCATGCCTCATCTCATTCTTACCCTTTTACAGGTGAGGCAATGGAGATGTACAGAAGTCAGGTCACAAACGCGGGGTTAAACTTAGATCTGGCCAACCTGTGCACCTGCTCTCAGCCACTATCCCAACCCAGCTGAAGGACAGAATCAGCTCAGAGAGCAGGAGGACCCTGCCTCACCCTCAGTGGAGCCCTGGCACAGTGCTGTGAGACTATCTTCCCCTCTTTGTTGCTGTTTGGGGAGTTCGATTTTACTTCTTGTCTTTCCCCACAGTTAGTCTAGGGAGCAACTAGAACATTTCATACACTAATAGTTGGCAGGGGGCCAGAAATGCTAACTGATGACCCCATTCCCATAGAAAATATGTAATTTATCTGTTTCAATCAGATTGTTTTTAAAATGAAGCTTTAGAATTGAAATGCTGCAACTGTACCGATATCAGCATGAGACATGACTCCAGAGATTAAAAAGCCACAAAGACTTAGTCTTTTCAGAAGTTTGCTCTTTTGAAAATAATGACTAATGTTCCTACATGATCAATATTAGAACTATGAGATAGCAAACTGTTAAAGATGGAAATGACCCTCAAGATTGTGGAGTTCACACCACCATTTTAGAGACAGGAAAGTGAAGCCTGGAGAGAGGTGATCCATTGCCCAGGAGACTCAGAAAACAGGACCAGGCCTGTGGGTTCCCCACATCATACTGCCCTCAACTCCTGGTCCCCTCAGTCACTGCAGTAACCACCACGGAAAATGCCGCACAGAGTTAACTCATGATCAGATGTGAAAAGGGTCTCCCACTGTGATTTTCTTTGTTGGATTTAACAACCTCCTCACCTTTCTGCTGAATCAGAGTGAGGAACAGTCGAGGAGAATTGCATGAGTAGCTTCTTGTGTGTCTGTGTGTGTTAATGGAGTTTTTTTTTTTAAGGTTTTTCCATGATTAGAGTCGTATTTTTTGTTTGTTTTTGTCCAGTTTTTTTTGTTTGTTTGTTTCTGCATGAAATAATGAAAAAGTAAATCAAGGTTTGTAATTGGTTTCTTCTCACTTAGGAAAGAAGAAAATTATTCTATGAGAGTACCAGCAATGTAACATGAGTCTATAATTTTACTCACTTGGTCTTAACTTTTGACACCCTTGCCTCAGTGTTCCTGGGCATGGCGTGGAGGCTCCCATGCAGGCAGGCTCAGTTTCTCGGGCACTCACAAGCGGAACGGATCAGGGATCTTCTTTGGTATCCTCAAGAAACTTCTCAGACCACTGGGTTCCTTGAGCCAGGTTCCACCTCTATCCCTGCTGTTACCTTTATGAAGTCTGCTATGAGCAAGGCGGGCCGAACACAGCCCCCTACGCGAGCTGCCTGATCCAGCTCCTTTCCCCCTGAGCCTGGGCTGGGCCTCAGAATCTTCGCCATAGCGCTTCCAGCCCACTACCAGTATTTGCAGATGAAACTTGAGGCATCCTTGCTAAGGGGAGCCACACGGGCAGAGCCCATGGGCCAAGCTTTCCTGAAGACATCGTAAGGTCTGTAAAAACAGTCACTACAGTTCAAAGCCATGCCTCAGGAAAAAGGAAGTACACGTGGATTCTCTTCCGTGACTTCCTCTTTTACCTCTGCACCCCGGCAGAATTAATCCTTCTTTACTCTGGAACCTCCTGCACAGACCCCTGAGGTAGCTCTCTTCACAGCTGATGGAAGTGAGCTGGGGGCTGCCTGTCCCTCACCCCTATTCCAGGTGGGTGCAGTGCTGTGTGCCCTCTTTTTGCCCCTGCCCTCCTCCACTGCCTGGGCTCCAGCACGTGTTCGTGATGTTTATGGGGTTGAATCAAGTGGATGAGAAAAGACGCTCGTGCACCAGATGGTGGCCCTGGGTGGACCCTGGACCTCCACACACTAGTGGGCGTGTTTCCACATTTCCTCTACTTCCGCTCAGGATCCTACCATGGAGAAGTGGGATGGGCCCAGAGACCCTAGTCATACTGAGACCAGAGTCAACCTTGCCCTCTGCTCACTGGTTGATAATGATCTTCTTCTTCCACTCGTAACACTATAATTCCTTGGTGCTCTAGTTGTTCTTACCCAGCTTACTGGGTAAGAACTTTCTGTGTATTGGCTTCACAAGCTCAGCAGAACTTCAGCATCAGGTAAAATAGCAAAAAAATAGAGTTCTTAACTCTAAAAAATGTTGTGCATGGTACCTTCATGCACTGCCTTCCCCATTCACAATAGCTCTTCTCCCTCAGTATATTTAAGATGATTGACTCATGAAATGTTAGGGTTATTCACAGATGTTCTATATGCACCTTTTGGGGCAAGCAAAGATGTACCTGTAAAGTACATTTTGGTGGCTTCTCAGTGTGATCCCAGAGATGAGGAGGATAAAGTGGTGCTATACCCAGCCACAGGATTCACTTTGATCCCTTAGCTTCCTTTCTTGGAAATGTCTAGGGGGATAGAATGTCCTCCTCGAGGGGGACTGTGTTTCCTACAGGCCATGGGTGCAGAGACTCGCCTGCAGTGGAGATGCCTGGCTCCTTGGCACTCCCTTAGCCCAGCTGAGGCCCTGAGGGCCCTTTTCACCCTCCTCCTGGGTTCCGGAGGTCTGCCTGGTGGCAGAGGCTCCCACCTGGCCTGCCTCCCAGGCGTGCAGTGTGCCCCGCATGCTCTCTGAAGCCCGTCTTCTCCCCACAGCTAGCATGCCCACCAGCGAGACTGAGTCTGTGAACACAGAGAACGTCAGCGGTGAAGGCGAGAACCGAGGCTGCTGTGGAAGTCTCTGGTGAGTGTGGGGAGCACTTGCCCTCTTTCCCCTCCTGTTGTCTCAGAGAAGCAGGTGGTGAGGAAGACCGCCCAGGCTGCAGCAGAGCCCCGGGCCATCGCCTTGGGTGTGGCGGGTGGGAAGGCTCCTCGTACCCCACGCCACGCTTCCTCCTGTGCCAGGGCTATCCCTCCTGCACACCTCCCCACCCCCCGCCCCCCCGCCCCCCGGCCCAGCATTTCACATGCCTCTTCCTGTAAGTAGAGCCCGTGAAGAATGTGGTGGTTAACCTGGCCACCTGCTGTGTCCATTAGGTGCTGGTGGAGACGGAGAGGCGCGGCCAAGGCGGGGCCCTCTGGGTGTCGGCGGTGGGGGTAAAGGCCTGATTCTCCTTCCAGCCTGGGTTTGGCAT
Source organism: Homo sapiens (assembly GCF_000001405.40). Classification (NCBI taxonomy): domain Eukaryota; kingdom Metazoa; phylum Chordata; class Mammalia; order Primates; family Hominidae; genus Homo; species Homo sapiens. The sequence continues at coordinate 53,718,780 of NC_000003.12, forward strand.
TTGTGCTTTTGAAGAAGAGCTTCTGTGGCAGAGTTGCTGACTAGAATGTGCTACGTATTTAAGTTTTCCTTTGCTCATGGGACCTTCCTAACCTCAGGCCTGGCGGTTGGATGACGAGGCCCTGCCTTCTTGGTGCCTGGCACTTTTTCCCTGGAGCCCTGCACCAGCCTCTCCTCATGATGGAAGGCACCATTGCATTAACACTCACTGGCTTTTTTCTAGATGATTTGGGCTGTGGCAGCTGGCGGGGGGGCTGGGGGGGACCAGCAGTGCAGAATGTGCTGGGCACTGTCTGCCGTGGGGGAGCCCTGTGCGGTTTGGTTTTGTTTGCTTCTTGCTGGTATCCTTCAGGTCTTATCTCTGTAAAGTGCAGGTGTCATTTTTAAGAGAACTCAATCTTACTCTTGGCAGAGTTTCATAAAAATGATGTGTTATGGGCAGAATATGCAACCATTTGTGAAGTGATTTTGCCTCCATTCTCTTGCTCTGCCCTCTCTGAGACATCATGAAGCAGACAGAGAATGGGTTTGTCATCCCCACTTTACAGATGAGAATGCTGAGGCCCAAGACCTGCTGCTTTCCCATACTCACCCAGTGGGAGAATGGCAGTGCTGGGACTCCTAGTGCAGTGCTCCCTCTGCGGTAGTAGCAGCAAATGCTGCTGTCGAGATGAGTGGCAGGAGAGACTCTGCTGCCTTCATTTTGGCCCCTGCATCACTGCCTGCTGCCAGGGCCTGCAGGGAATCTGGCCGAGTCTTCCCTGACCTGGGCCTCGAGGGTGCTCAGTCTGCTCCTCTGGCCCTGGCAGCATCCTAATTTCTGCTCTGGCCTTGCCCCTGCTGGCCTGCTGTGGTAACCAGGGGTGCTAAGTCCAGGCTGTATGCATGGCTTTTATGATATCTCAGCTGAAATGATGGGGAGTGTGTGCTCAAGCCCTCGGAACCAGAATCTTAACACTTTTTGTCTTTCTTTCAGTCAAGCCATCTCAAAATCCAAACTCAGGTCAGTATCTTCTTTCTGTTTCTTCGTCAGCCTGTGTGTTGCCTTTGTATGTTCTCACTTCTGAATTTTACGTAGTATTGCTCTGGACTTGAGTTTTCCTCTGTGGATTATAACATTGATACTGAATTGCAGTCAGTCAATTGAATCCTATGAGCCTGGCTTAGGGGGAGATCTTAGGTGCCAAAGATCTCCCTCAAAGTAAACCAATAAGACTCAGTAACGAGTTTTGCCTCCCCATTAATCCTCCTTATCCTCTGAGTCATTTTCCTAAGAGAGCTGCTGCTTGTCACTTTTCTGCTCGAAAGCTTTCCATAGAAAGGGAGTTCAAGAAGTCTTCCAAGGTACTAGCATTTCTTGATGTGCATGCGGGTTACGTGTTCAGTTGGTAAAACTCATTGAACCATATACCTATGATTAGTGTACTTTTTCATCTGAGTGTCATTTTTCAACAAAAACATTTTCCTACTATATATAAACACTAACTTAAAATAGGCAAAGACCTAAATATAAAATATAAAATCATGAACATTCCAGAAAGAAAACAGGAGAAAGTCTTTGTGATCTTGAGTTATGCAAAGGTTTCTTAAGATACAACACCCAGTATACTTTCTGTAACAGAAAACAAACAGATAAATTGGTCTTTGTCAAAATTAAACTTCTGTTCTTCAAAAGAAAAGAAAAAGGTTAGCTTCAGACTTGGAGAAAAATATTTGCAAAGCATATTTGATAAAGGACTGGTATCCCATATATATAAAGATTAATGCATAAAGGAGAGTGTCAATAATAGAAAAACCCAATAAAAAATGGGCAAAATTTTTAATAGGCATTTCACCAGAGAAGAGATGTGGATGGCAGATAAGCACATGAAATGACCATCAGTTGTTACAAAAATGCACATTAAAATCACAGTTAGATACCACTACACATCTATTAGAGTGAATCAGATTTAAATATCTGACAATGACAAGTTCTGACAAGGATGCTGATTGGTGGGAACTTTCATACAGTGTTGATGGACATGTCAAATGACACAGCCGTTAAAAAAATAGTTTGGTAGTTCCTCATAAAGTTTAAACATATATTTACCACGTTTATATTTGGCCCAGCCATCCCACTTCTAAGGTGTTTGTATAAGAGAAATGAAGATATATGCCTACATACAAAGTTGTAACATGAATGTTTGTACCAGTTTTATTCATGCTTACCCCAAGCTGGAAGTAACCCAAAGGTCCATCAAATGTGAATGGGTAGACACACTGTGGTTCACCAGTATGATGGAGTACTAGTTCATGTCTGCTGAGTTATGCATCCTAGGAGAAACCCAGCTGTGAGCGGGACAGTCTTTAGTGTCCTTAGTAGAGTTTTTCCACGCTGGCCAACATGTTAGAAGCTGCTCTTTCCATTGGAACCTGCACAGCAAGAGTAATAATAAAATACACCTTACTTGATCCAGGTTTTGGTAAAGAGTTGGCACAACTCTTTCTCTGCTCACTTCCTGGGTTACAGATTTTCTTTTTGCCTAGCAACACAGCTGAGTCAGCCAGGGCTGCAGCTTGGGTAGCCTGGAGATTCCTCTTGACTCAGGCCCCCAGAGGAAGTACCCCATTGTCGTTAGTGAGGCAGCACAGCCTGGAGAGGACTGACTTTACCAATTGGCTGACCTTTCCACGGGATCTGGGTCACTGAGCTGCAGCTCATGGCACACTTTACCAAAGCATCCCCTTGTGGCAGGGAAGGTTTTCTAGAAGGAGACAGGCTAAGGGAGAGAATATTTTCTCTAATCACAATCAGGAACTGAAGGTAGGTGGAGGACATGCTACTTGTCTGTTTGGCTGAGCTCATTTTATTTTTATGAAAACACGATTCAATATTGGCTCTTCTCCTAAAGGTATATTTTGAGCATCACTAGTTAGAAAGGGCACCTGATGACTCAGTATGAAGATTCATGTCCTACTCAGCTTTGACAACTCTGCCAGGCTCTGGAGGAACCTCAGAGATTTAAGAAAGGATTGAAAAGGTTCCCTTTAAAAAAAAAAAAACTAGCTTTGTAGCACTTTGCTGCCTGGTAAATTCTGTATGGTGATTGAGATGCTGCAAGAGATGTGTATAATAAGCGAAGTGGCTCTCTGCACTGATTGCATGAGCAGATCCACGTCCCATATGGTGGATATAGGAACTGCATATGTGTGCAAGTGTAGTTTTGCATCTGCACGTGAATCTATGAATATCTAGATTTTCTAACCCACTTAAGGGCTGCATATGACAGATTCTGGAGTTATCTATAAGCCATAAGGAAGGACTGATAGCATGATCAAGTCAAGATTATACTTTTAAAAGTCGCATTTTAAGACCAACATAATTTTTATGATGAAGTCTGTTAATTTCTGTGCCATTTGTGCTCATCTTTCTTTCCTGCACTCCCACCCCAATCTAGACCTCCAGAGTGAAAGCCAAATTATCTCTCAATCATATTTATTGGATACTCAGATGCTGTATCTGTCATCTACGTAGTAATGTTTGCTTGTCTTTTAGCCGACGCTGGCGTCGCTGGAACCGATTCAATCGCAGAAGATGTAGGGCCGCCGTGAAGTCTGTCACGTTTTACTGGCTGGTTATCGTCCTGGTGTTTCTGAACACCTTAACCATTTCCTCTGAGCACTACAATCAGCCAGATTGGTTGACACAGATTCAAGGTACAAGCAGAGGCCATTCCTTTTTTGTTCTGAACTAGAGATTTCTGTGGCTGTCCAACTGCCATTTGGTCTTATCTGATCGCTGCATGATGAAGTATCGCAACATTTCTAGTGAGGACAAACTTGGTAGAACCATCCAGACACAGCAACTACCAGAGCGAGGGTGCCATCTGTGCCGCGTGGTGAAGCACCTTGGAGCCACTTAATGCCAAGCATCTAATTGTCCTAACCCTGAGCCAACCTAGGACCAAGAATTCTTGAAGCTGGAAGGGACCTCGTAATCCCTGCTCCCTGCCCTCATCGGGGAAGCTTCATTTTCCCCTATAGTACTTCTGGCAAATGGTTTTGGTTCCCCTGCTTTGAATGCTCCAGCACTGGGGTGTGGGACACTCATCCCTAGAGACAGCCCATTCTGGGTTTGACAGTTTTGAGCCTTTGAAAAGTCCTTCCTTTCATCCAGTCAAACCCGTTTCCCTCTACCTCTCCAGCCTGCTTGGTGATATTTTCAGCTGTTAGAAATGACATTGATAGGTGACTGCTTCTGATATCGTCATGCCATAAATGAATTCAGACAGATCTTTTCTGTGTGATTGAATGAAAAAATATGTATAACCTGATGGTGTCAACGCAGAATCGTAGGCTTTTAGGGCTGGAAGGAGTCAGAGATTATGTGATGAGCTGCCCCTTCCCATTTTGTCATCAGTGACACTGAGACCTGGAGAAATCAAGTAACTTCTCCAGAGTCACACACATAGCTAGTAGCAGAAGCAGGACCAGAACCTGGTGGACAGACTGTCCACGCGAAGGCCACGTTTCTGTCCTGAGTGAGGTAGTGAAGAGAGAGACAAGGTATTGGCGTATTTCCTGTGGGGCCTGATAGGGAGGGAGGTGTGAGGGGCACGAGCAGTCTGAGTGTCTTGCAGGAGACCCTGAGGATGGGTGCCCCTTTGTCTTTCCAGATATTGCCAACAAAGTCCTCTTGGCTCTGTTCACCTGCGAGATGCTGGTAAAAATGTACAGCTTGGGCCTCCAAGCATATTTCGTCTCTCTTTTCAACCGGTTTGATTGCTTCGTGGTGTGTGGTGGAATCACTGAGACGATCTTGGTGGAACTGGAAATCATGTCTCCCCTGGGGATCTCTGTGTTTCGGTGTGTGCGCCTCTTAAGAATCTTCAAAGTGACCAGGTAAGGAAATGTGGGTCCCACTGCAAATGTTTTATGAACATGAGGCGGCAACCAGTCACATCCCCGGGCAGGTGATGTTCTGCTCTGTCCTGCATGGGTGTTCTGAGCTGACACCCTCATCTTGACTTATAGGCACTGGACTTCCCTGAGCAACTTAGTGGCATCCTTATTAAACTCCATGAAGTCCATCGCTTCGCTGTTGCTTCTGCTTTTTCTCTTCATTATCATCTTTTCCTTGCTTGGGATGCAGCTGTTTGGCGGCAAGTTTAATTTTGATGAAACGCAAACCAAGCGGAGCACCTTTGACAATTTCCCTCAAGCACTTCTCACAGTGTTCCAGGTGAGTCCTCCCTCCATTCCCCGAAAAGCACTTCGTGAGCAGCAGCTAAAACTCCTCTGCCTTCTTGTCTGCTCACACTCAGGAAGACAAAAGGACTCCATTTTTGTTCATCTCTGCCCTAATCATAGCCTGGTAAATTTTGTGCCATTTAAGTTATTCGTTCTGCATCATCCTCCAGCTGTCTATCTTAAGTGATGTAATTTTTTTAAAGACTTCTAGCTACATTACAAAATAATAAACCAAAAAAACCGTTTTTCACACTCAAGCTCTTCCAAGAAAACTTTTTGATTGATTTTATGAGGTTTCTTTGAAATAGACTCTAAAATTCTTTTCTCTTTGGTACTTTTTGATGGCAGGCCAGTTCATAATCCTAGTTATAATAGATTTACACAAGAAGTGAATTCTCATGCCTCCATGCTTTGGTGTGTAGTTGGAGGAATCAGAGTGGTAGGAACTGTGGCAGCCATTGGTCCCTTCTGTCCTCCTCCTGGGATGCAGTGAGGACACAAAGATTCTGAGGGTGCCTGTCCTGTGGGGCCTCTGCAGGCAGTAGCTGAGAAGGGAGCGGTGGTTGCAGAGAGGCACCGATGGCTCTGCTGCTCAGAGCAGCAGCACATGCTCCCCTGACTCTACGCTGAGGTGCTCAAAACCCTCCTCCTTGGACAGGGTCTGATGGGGAAGTTTAAAAGACCCACCTGTCCTCATTGCTTTTCCTGTGTGATGTGAGCTGCAGAGCCCTGCCAGAGAGGAAAGGCAGCAGACAGCTGGGTCCTGTGGTGGCCCTTTCCATGCCCAGCTCTCTGCTGTGGATGAGTCACTTACCCATTTCTGAAGAAATCCAGAGACCAAAGGGAATGATCTGGACAATTCTCTCCCACTTGGTCATTTTCAGGTATATATAATCTGCTGTAAGCCATAGTATTGTTGTTTGAATTATACTTAAATTTTGGCTGCTGATCAGTGATTCTTTTTTAAAAAAAAATTTCTTTCAGAGAAACTGGTGTCTTTTTTTTTTTTTGGTAATGCATGCATATGGCACAAAATTCTAATGTTACAAATGAATAATAATTCTCCCAGCCAGCCACAAATTTCCTCTTCTAGGAAGCAACCACCATTAAACAGTTTCTTGTGAATTCTTAGATCTGCATTTTCTGATAGCTACAACTCAGTTAAGCTACCTATAGGAGACTTTCCACAGACAGGAGCTCACTGTACGTGCTGTTTTGCATCTTGCTTTTATCACTTTGAGTGTCCTCAAGAGCCTTCCTGCTTGGTCCATAAAAGGCTGCCCCTCCTTTGAAACGCTGCGTCCATGCGGTGGTAGATGTGCCGTTGTTCATATGACCAGTCCCTTGCTGACAAGCATTGAGTTCTGTCTGGTCTTAGCCCACATACACAGGGCTCCAGTAGGTGACCCTGAACACGCATCAGAGGGCACATGTGTTGGCTGTAGATCTGTGGGATAAACTCCCAGAGATGGAATTGCTGCTTTAGAGGGTGTGTCCATTTTAAATGTTGACACACGTGCCCAAGTGCTCTCCTTATGGTTGTATTAGCTCATTGTCTTCACACTGCCCATTGCCTCACTGCCTCTCCCCTCAGTGGAGAGCATGCTTTGGGATGCCCATCAGTTAGGTGAAAATGGCATTTCATTGTACTTTTAAAAGATACTGTTCTTATCAGGAGTGAGGTTGAACGTCTTTTCCTATGACTCAGAGCCATCAGTAGTGCCTTTTCTGTGAATTACTTTATCTTTTCAAATCATTTGCCCATTTTTGTTTGGTTGTGATCCATAACAGTTTAAATTTTAAAAATATCTAGTTCAGATTGAAGATAAAGGAGCTCTGTCTGTCGTCGGAAGATAGCATTTTTTTCATTACTGTTCTTATTCATCTGATTCTATTTCATCATGGATTGAATTATCAAGTATGATCAGTAGAGAAGATTAAATTTCAGGTCATTGGTGATATCTACTCTTGAGGTAGTTTTGTAAATTTACATGAGACATTTAGAATTTCCTGCTTTTGTAATTTCATAGGTATAATTATCCATTTCCACAGTTGATGGACTATGTGGAATGCTATGCAGCAGTTAAAAGAATGAGATGCACCTTCTGACACAGAGGGTCTCCAGAGTATGTTGTTGAATGAAAAAACAAGCCAGTTGCAGAAAACTTTGCATAGCATGATATCCTTTATGTCTGAAAACTCAGAGAAGACACCTAGTGCTTGTTTTCTTTGTGTGTAAACGTGTTTAAATCTGTAGTTGAAGGTTCCAGAGAGACACAGAAAGAGCATGCTTTCTGGGGAAGGGACTAAAACTGGGCTGGGGTGTAATCAAAAAGCACATAAATCTTGGCTGGGTGAGGTGGCTCATGCCTGTAATCCCAGCACTTTGGGAGGCTGAAGTGGGCGGAACACTTGAGGTCAGGAGTTCGAGACCAGCCTGGCCAACTGCTGTAACACTCTCTCTACTAAAAATATAAAAATTAGCCGAGTGTGGTGGTGGTCACCTGTAATCCCAGCTACTTGAAAGGCTGAGGCAGGAGAGTTGCTTGAACCGGGGAGGTGGAGGTTGCAGTGAGCTGAGATCAAGCCACTGCACTCCAGCCTGGCAATAGAGCGAGACTCCATCTCAAAAACAAACAAACACTTAAGTCTTAATAATAAGGTTATTTTTTTTCACTCAAAGAATTATCTATTTGTGTAATTAAAAAACAGTGTTTTAGAAATTCCATGGGATAACAGATGGATTTGTTCAGTGCAAACTGGACTGTGAAAGGCAGCTTAAACCAGATCTAGGCAGCCACCGAGGGGCTCTAAGAGAGCGGCTGCAATTTGTGAATCCACCTGCTGGCTGATACCAGTTTGGCTTCTCAGATCCTGACAGGCGAAGACTGGAATGCTGTGATGTACGATGGCATCATGGCTTACGGGGGCCCATCCTCTTCAGGAATGATCGTCTGCATCTACTTCATCATCCTCTTCATTTGTGGTAACTGTATCCTTCAAGCCGACCAGGCTTTGTTGTTGCCGTCGTTATCTGGTTTTGTTTTTCTTCCTCTGCATTTCTCTGTGGTGATGGTGGTGGTAGTAGTTGTGGCAGGGAGGTAAATGCCTTTACCTTATTAGCTCAATATCTGCTTTTCTTCCATGCTGCTGGGGGACAGCGTCCTGTAAGCAGAATTCCAGAGAGGCTTTGAGGGATGCGCTCTGGCTAAGAGAAGCAAGCCCAGGGAAGGAGCGTGAGACAGCACACATACTGGTCCCAGAGGTCACTCAGTTTGGCATCATGTCTCCTGTACAGGTCCCGAGGGATGGCTGAGCGCAAGGCCAGGTGGTTCTTTATGTTATCATTATTGGGAGCTTAGGCGTCCATCTGTGACTTCCTAAGACCCTTCGTGACTGATGAGAGCCATCTTTGTGGACTGATCTGTGCTCCCCTGGGCTAATTTCACTTTGCTGATCTGTCCATCTTTGCGGATCAAGTGTCCATTGGCTAGCTGCTAAATCATGCTGCATAACTTCTCTCTGCCTTACTTTACCCCTTTTCCCTGTCGAGAGGCACCCTCTAATCCTAGACTTCTGGAATTGGCCCTTAGATCTGTATTTACCTCATTCAGACCCTTCCTGATCCTATAGCCTTTGGTTCTCGGTGTTTTATCTCCAGGTCCTCCATGCCTAGCACCAGACCTGGTACACAGAGGCCTTTAATGAATGTTTGATGCATGAACGACGTACACACTCATGATACTACATCTGGGTTTTCACCCTTCCATTTTAAAAGGTCCTAATCTGGATTCTGCTTCTAAGGTGGCCCAGATCTCTGTAGGTGTTTTCTTCTTTATCTTGTCTGGCTCACTGATAAATTTTCTTCAGTGTGGTAACCTCAGTGCAAACCTGCCCCCTTTTCTACAAGGACAATGCTTTGTGCTATAAGGTATTTTATAAAAACCCCATCTCAACACATATACATCCTTGTAGTCCCTTGACTCGGCTCTAAGGCCCCCTCCACAAGAGCCACCCCTGCCCTGTCTCCCACCCAGAGAAGGTTCTTCTACCTCTGAGCTCCCCCTCAGATTTTATCCACGTCTCTTACTGCCTGTAGGTTCTTCTGTCTACTGGATTTTTATTTATTTATTATTATTATTTTATAGAAGGAGTCTCACTCTGTCACGCAGGCTGGATGGAGTGCAGTGGTGCAATCTCGGCTCACTGCAACCTCCGCCTCCTGGGTTCAAGTGATTCTCCTGCCTCAGCCTCCTGAGTAGCTGGGATTACATGTGTGCACCACCATGCCCAGCTAATTTTTGCATTTTTAGTAGAGATGGGGTTTCTCCATGTTAACCAGGCCGGTCTAAAACTCCTGACCTCAGGTGATCCGCCCGCCTTGGCCTCCCAAAGTGCTGGGATTACAGGTGTGAGCCACTGCGCCCGGCCTGTCTACTGGAATTTTGAGTGGGCATTCCTCCATCTCCCTAACTAGATGGATAAGCTTCTTGAGTCAGGAATCTTTTTGTATTCACATCTCTCAATAGAGTACGGGATCTTGCACATAGTTGGCCCTTGGTAAATGAAAGGTCATTATTTTCTTTTTCTGCTGTCCTATGGTTGACTCTTTAGGCCACAGCAACATCCTGGACTTGAATCTGCAGAGAAGTATTCCCTGGTGCTTGTCTGTGGTTGCATGTTGTTTTCTTTATAGCACATGCCACTGTATCAGAGGTGCTTAGGGAGCTGCTTATGCTCTGTCTTCCCCAACTAGAGTAGACATTCCAGTGTGTGGTGTTTCTTCCTGTGCCCTCAGCACCCACAACAGTGCCTGACACATTGGAGGTACTTGGTAGATCTTTCTGGATGAATTCCAGAGCATGCCACTCTTTAGGAGGGTCTGAGTAATGCCTCTCAATACAGATGATGGATTTTGCTCTGGAAAGTTGTTACAAGCTTGTAAGATCTTCCTGTGGCTCATCACTCTGGATTTGCTTTCCACTACCCAAAGGAGTTGAGTGTCATGGCAAGACTAGAGAGATTATTGTTTCTTCACTGAGATCATGGAGGGAATACTCAGTACAGCTAGTCTCATCACTAGCCCCTGTCCGAGTTACCATTACCCCAGGCCTAGCAGAGGAATGCTCATGTTACCAAGCCATCTCCAGCCCAGGACTAATTGCTTCCTGAGGCTCATTGCAGCTCCAGTTAAAAAATAGGCCAGCATGTCAAAGGCTTTTTGAGTCTTAATGTAATTCACTTACGTTTCTCTCCTCTTTAAAACCTTGAATAGATTAGTCAGGCGTGCTATTCCCTCACAGAGATTTCATCATCTGTTCCTTGTTAGGTTATGTTGGTTTACGTGTTCAGCAACCCATCCAAGACAACAAATTGCACAGGGCGTATGGGACAGTGCTATGCTGCTCCTGTCTCGGGGTCTCTGGGCTCCTGCAGTTTTGCCTGCAGATGGCCGGGCATCAGGCAGAGAGAAGCATTTGTCACAGAAGGGGGCCTTCTCACTTATTGCCCTCTCATCCCTGTGCTTCTCAAAAACATGCTTCACTGCTAGTGGGTAAGAAACAGGCATCTTCTGATTTAGGAGTCTTGTTCAGAATACTTGTTAAAAACAAAAACATTCAAGAAAGCCATGTATACAACATTAGAGTAAGAGTGAAAAAATATGATAATTTGTTCAGTCACCTAACCTTTTATTGTGTTTTTTAACTGGAACTGCAATGAGCCTCGGGAAGCAATTTGTCCTGGGCTGGAGAGGGCAAAAATCAAGTTCAGGTACAGTGATCAAAGATCGAGCTGCAGTGAGACTATTCACAACAGTCCAGCACCAGGTGGCAGTAAGTCAGACACATTATAGTCAGTCAGTGTTTGTGGAGTGAAGGAATGAATGAGTTATCTGTAGACTCTGAAGGTTATTTCAAAGGAGAAAGTCTCATACTGTCTTGTGCAAGGGCATCATCATTTGAATAACTTGCAACCTTTGAAGTGGTCTGTTTTGGAAAGCACTCCCCTGAATATATATGTTGTAGTTGTAGTATGTGTTTAAAAAAAAAACCCAAACTACTTTTTAATTATACCATGTTTATGTTATAGATTGTTTTATAAAATGTATAACATAGCTATAGATACGTAGATGTTTGGACACACACACACACAGAGAAAGGTTGAAATTAGTGGGTTTTCATGGGTTTTAGTGAATCTTAATTTTACTTCTGTAGACTGTCCTTTTACAGGTTTTTACTTTTGTTTTGTTTTGTTTTGTTTTGTTTTGTTTGAAAAGCAGGGCTCTGGTACTCTAGTTTTGCTGTGTGAGTATAACACTTGGGACGGTCACTTACTACCAGCTTCCCGGGATGCAGAGGTGTGTGGCGTTGCCATTGTTGGCCGCACGTAGTTGCATTTAGTAGTGTGTTGTGCCCTTAAAAAGTTGAAATTAGATATTCTACTGAATGTCTTCTTGGCCATCGCTGTAGACAATTTGGCTGATGCTGAAAGTCTGAACACTGCTCAGAAAGAAGAAGCGGAAGAAAAGGAGAGGAAAAAGATTGCCAGGTAACCCTATTTTCCCCTGACGTGTTTGTCCAGGGGCTGTGTTGGGAGCCCTGCAACAGTTGCAGCCTGCCAGGCTTACCCCCGCATCACGGCAGCTGCAGCCCCCGGGTTGCTGCTTTGTGGATCATGGTTGACCATGCACTGCAGACCAAAACGGATGGAATCTTGGGCAGAAGCCAGGCTCTTGGCTGTCATCCCTCGGGGCTGAGAGTGGGAGTCACGTGTCCCCATGCTTAAAGAATCACTGCAGTTAATTTTGGTGTCATAAAATAAATGATGCATTCAATGCTGATTAGCTCTCAGATGAGAATTTTAATAAGATGGTCTGTGTAATGAATCCATCGCATTGAGATTACCAGGAAGCTCTGAGTTTGGGTTGTGCTAGGCTCTTGTGGTTAGTGTTGTTTCTAATTAAATTCTGTCCTTCATTGGAGCATTATTGATTCAGAATCCTGATTAGCATTTTTATACAGAGTAACATGGTTATTTGGTTTCTTGTGCTCTTTTCTCTTCTCTTTAGAAAAGAGAGCCTAGAAAATAAAAAGAACAACAAACCAGAAGTCAACCAGATAGCCAACAGTGACAACAAGGTATGTATTCTAAGATGCTTCTCCCCTTTTTGTTTCAAAATGATCCTGTTGATCTCCATACATGTACCATTTACACTGTGGAAGTGTCTTGTGTATCATTCTTGTAATATTTTGGTGTGAAGAATATGGCACACCATATAGACCCTGGCTTCCCAGGGGGGATTCTGGTTGAATTTAGGCAGTTAGTTGTGTTTACTGATATTTCACCAGAAAACCAATATGATAAAGAATTGACTAGTTTGACCACTTATGTTTTCTTTATTGGAATTGTGCAATCAGCCCTGACCCGTGGTCAGGATCACGTTAGCATCTTCTGAGTGGGTATGAAAATCGCGGATTTTTAATAGATGTCTGTTTCCAGAGGTAATCCCAGGATCAGGTGGCCTCAGGGCTATACTGTAAAACTGAATCCCATTTATGACAGCCCTGGTTGTTTTGTTCTTTCTCTGTTCATCGAGTTGATAAATGCTTACTGAGTGGCTATCATGTATCAGACACTGAGGATTCAGGAATGAAGAAGACAGGTCCCTGCCTTCATGGGGCTCACAGTCTGGCAGGAAGACAGGAGTATGAGATGCATTATCACATGGTATGAGTGAATGTGCTGGCACAGGGCAAGGACAGAGCCCTGAATGGTGCTGGCTAACCACGACTGGGTCAGGGTTCAGCCTTCTTCTCACCTGCCCTCAGGCCTTCTGTCTGAAGCAGAATCACCATCTGGGGACATCTGCCTGTCCCTGCACACTCAAATACAGATGCAGCTTTGGGGAGGAATCCATGCCCTATGCTGGACCACCAGGGTGACTTTTCCTCTCTGAAGTGATTTTAAGTCAGTCTCCCCTCCTCCCAAGATGTCTTTGTCATCCTAGGTTACAATTGATGACTATAGAGAAGAGGATGAAGACAAGGACCCCTATCCGCCTTGCGATGTGCCAGGTATGGTGGCGGAGGCCGGAGACGCTGGCTTTGCTGTGTGTCTTTGCTACTGCTCTGTGACCACCTGCCGAGTCTGCGGCCAGCCAGCCCAGCAGCGTGCACATGAGCTGCTGAGGCCACCAAGGCCGTGGGACCAGTTAGCTCGCCTTTTTCCCATGGTCACAGGCAGAATGTGTCACTCAAATTCCAGGTGATGGGGAGGGAAAGTGCAGGTGGGTCAGGGCAGTCCCAGCTTCTGCTGGGAGACTGGTCCAGGAGGCCCCCCGGTGTTAGCGCTCACCTGACACTTTTATATTTGACTGGCACATTTATTGGCTGATGTGGGTGGGACTGTGGAGTTGGGAGCCTAGGAGCTGATTGAGACTGAAAGTCCCACACAGTTTCTCAGGCTAGTCTGAGCGAGGAGGTTACTGGGGAAACAGCCAGGTGTTGGGAGGTTGGCAGTGAGAATCTCAGCACTGCCACCTTTCATCTGTGGTCAGATCTTACGCTGGTGGGAATCTCATCATTCCCGCAAACTAAACATGCTCACCAGACGGGGACACTTCTCAGCACCCCCCACCCCTGCAACACACACTCAGTCCATGTTCTGAAGGAGCAGGAGGGTTTTGATTCATGTAAGCAGGTAGATGTTGTTAAAGTTTAAGCCAAATTTGCATGTGAAATTAAGAATAATTCAAACCCATATGTAGTCTTTATTTCATGCCTATAAAAAAAGTATTTCATTTAAAGTAGGGGAAGAGGAAGAGGAAGAGGAGGAGGATGAACCTGAGGTTCCTGCCGGACCCCGTCCTCGAAGGATCTCGGAGTTGAACATGAAGGAAAAAATTGCCCCCATCCCTGAAGGGAGCGCTTTCTTCATTCTTAGCAAGACCAACCCGTAAATACTCCCCTTCTAGTCTCTCACGGCTGCCTCTTGCCAGTGACCCTACAGGTTGCTTGAGGGTGGCTCGGGTGGGGGTGAGGGGAAGTGGTTCACAGCCCTTTCTGAACCTGAGTGTCCCTGGCGCCCTCACCCAAGTCCCCTCCAACCCCTCTCTCCTCCACTGTTGCTCTTGCCCTCAGCTCATCTCTTCCTAGCTGCCTCCTTCCCACAGGGGTGTGGCCAGGTCCTGGGAGGAGCTCCATTCTAGGTTCTCCTCCCTGCCTTCACCCCTGCATGGGGACAGCAATGGGGAAAGCCTTGTCCACCCCAGCATATTCCAGCTGGAGCTCACTGCTCTGGTGTTCCATGCTTCGGCCAGCCGTGGAAATTTTTCCTAATGAGTGGATCTTCTGTTAGGATGCCTTGTGGGATGAGAATTTTTGTGACCAAGGTCCGCATAGCATCCTCATCCTCATAGATCCCCCACTTGATTGATCAGTTTTCCCAATTGAGTTTTATCTTTGTAAAGTCATATTGCACAGTGATATTTTATGGGTTGTAAGTATTCAGTTCAGCTCTATGATAGTCTACTTAAAATAGCATTTCTCATGTTAAAATGATAAGGTGCTCACAAGGAACAGGGTAATGACTCACAAGTACTATAAGAGGAAGACGTTTATTTACTAGCTAGTTTCTAGGTTTTAAATCATCTGGGACTGAGTGGAATGCCAGGGGAAATAAATGGCTCCTGGAAAGGTTTCTAGAATTGCAGAAGTAGTTCTTGGCTGTCAGAGAACAACTCTTTATAATTCATTGGCCCTAGGGAGACACAGGTGGGAAGCAAGGCCTGCTGGCATCCTCAGAGATATGAAGATGTGATGGTAGCTTTTACAGCTCACCACTGTTTGGGTGTTCTTTAAAAAAAAAAGGTTATTAAACTGATATTGCTGACACCTACAGCCCTTTGTGTGTGTGTGTGTGTTTGTGTGTGTGTGTGTGTGTGTGTATGTATGTATGTATGTATATGTATATATATATACATATACATATACATATATATATGTGTGTGTATATATATATATATATATATATATATATATATGTTGAGGGAATGCATTTATTTTCACCTAAAGCTACAAAGCACTCCTGCCCTCACTAGCTTGGAAGTTCTTTCCCAGACTCAACTGCTAACCACCTTCAGGTCCTCAGGGGGGTACGCCCAGCATTAAATAGGCCCAAAAGGGAGGACTTGAAGTGAGGGGTCGCCTTACATAAAGTTGACTCCAGTTTGAAAGTGGAAAAAATCTTTTCCAAGGAAAAGCTATCTATCTATAATAGTCTTATAGAATACAGGAATACAGATAGGTATATATACATATACACACGTATATACTTTAGAATTTAAACATATACATACATATTTTAGATATACATATATACACACATATACTTTACAATTTAAATATATGTGTATACATATATTTATGTGTATGTTTTATATATATGTTTTATGTGTATACATATATGTACATATACATACATAAATACATACATGTGTATATGTATATGTTTAAATTCTAAAGTCAAACATTGAGGGTATGGATAACCAGTTGCTAACCAGGCGCAGGGCACATTGAGGACAGCAGCGAGGTTCTGATGGCCCAGAGAGCCATCGTTTGAGCCCAGGTGTCAGGCATGAGCCACCCTCCATTGCTTCACGAGACCACAGGACTTGGTGAGAACTCTCATGCCGGGCCATGAGATCCTTGCATGTTAGCAAATGATGCTCCAACCTTCACTTTCTGAGGACTGCTTGTGGGTCAACTCCAAAATTTAAAAAAATAATAATAACATCTATTACAAAATCTGCAGACAGCCAGAGATGTCCTGAAGTCTCAGTTACTGCAGGTCACTATAAATAGTATGACCTTGCACCTGCAAGACAAGCCTGGGATTCATCTCATTCTGTGTGAACTGTTGAGGGCAGGCCTGGCCTCAGTTTCCTCTCTCAGTCAGGGAAGATAAACAGATGAGTTTCTTGTCATAGTGGAAAAACTTCAGTGATGTAGACCTGGATCGATTCTGCCCCTGGTCCTTACTAGTGTCACTTTAGAATTCTCTTATTAAGCCTCAGTTTCCCCATCTTGAGGAAGACAACAAGCCCCACTTCCAAGGACTTGGCAGAGTGGTCTGTGTGGCACCCCCAGCACAGAGGTGACACACCACCCACAGTCCACAGGTTGCCTTTGGTGGGCTTCGAGAGGCTGACGGACAGGTTGCTCAGGTGTGCCGGGCAGGGTGCATGGGCAGCACAGCAGACAGCTGCCCTCTGCCTGGCCTCTTGCTGCAGTGGCCCCACACTCTTAAGGACCCAGTGTGTTCCACCCTATCTGGGACTGTTTCCAAGCAGCGGCTTTTCCCTGCAGGATCCGCGTAGGCTGCCACAAGCTCATCAACCACCACATCTTCACCAACCTCATCCTTGTCTTCATCATGCTGAGCAGCGCTGCCCTGGCCGCAGAGGACCCCATCCGCAGCCACTCCTTCCGGAACACGGTAAGTCCCCAGGGTGGGGCTCGCTCTGGGATAGCCCTGGCCTCTCTCGGGCAGAGGCCACTGTAGAGATGGGAGCTGTGGAGGCCCTCAAGGTGACAGCTAGAGTAGGTCTTTCCTTCAGCTGGGGACGTTGGCTGTTTCCGGTTTGTAAGTGCCAGAGAGCTTGTGTTTTAGCTGGGTAAATCTGAATGGAATCATTAACTTAGAACTTCATCTTAAATACTCTGCAGGAACGGTCAGTGAATTCAGGGAGCCTGCTTCTCCGCCTCTTTGCTCCCTGCTGCTGATATTTAGGTCCTCCTTTCCCTCCCTGCTCAGGTTTACACTCACCCCTGTTTTGAGATTCATGCCTCGTGGAAGCACACAGCAGGGAGGAAGCAGAATTCAAACCAGGCACACCACATGCCCAGGCTGTCTTGTTCAGGGTTGGAGGCAAGATGCCTATGTCGTGTAGACTTAAATACACCAAGCTGCTAGGCTCCACGACTCAGGAGAAATACAAGTTAGGGAGATGATAGGATGTCAAGTTGAGGTGTTCAGTGGAGAAGAACATTAGGCCAGGTGCACTGGCTCACACCTGTAATTCCAGTGCTTTGGGGGATAGAGGGGGAGGATCACTGAAGGACAGGAGTTCAAGACTAGCCTGGGCAACATAATGAGACCTAATCTGTACAAAAAATAAAAAAAATTAGCTGAGCGTGGTGTCACATACCTGCAGTCCCAGCTACTCAGGAGACTGAGGGAGGAGGATCGCTTGGGCCCAGGAGGTCAAAGCTGCAGCAAGCAATGTTTGCACCACTGCACTCCAGCCTCAGTGATACAGTGAGACCTTGTCTCAAAGAAAAAAAAAAGAATATATAATGAATGTTAAAAAATTTCTTCTCTGGGAAGATTTATTATAAAATATGTGATTATGTTATATATTTCACAAGTATCTCCAAAGAAAGTGCTGACCTTGGCCCCAGATAGCCAATATTAAGTTTGAGTAACTTCATGAAGCAGAGTGCACCAGGCAGAGCCACTTGGACCCTTAAGCATGTTAACTTAGCGGTTTACAATATTACTTTTCATTGGTAGAATTAGGAATATACAAAGAGTTATTAATTGGCTGGGCGTGGTGGCTTATACGTATAATCCCAGCATTTTGGGAGGCCAAGACAGTAGAATCGCTTGAGCCCAGGAGTTCAAGACTAGTCTAGGCAACATAGTGAGACCCCATCTATATAAAAATTTAAAAATTAGCCACACGTATTGGCACATGCCTGTCCCAGCTACTTGGGAGGCTGAGGTGGGAGGATTGCCTGAGCACAGGAGGCTGAGCCTGAAGTCAGCTGTGTTCACACCACTGTATTCCAGCCTGGGTGACAGAGCAAGACCCTGTCTCTAAAAAAAAAAAAAAAACAAAAAGAACTCTAGATTTTGGTGTGGCAGAGGTGGCTATCCAGTTAGCCCTCTGTATCCATGGGTTTGGCATCCATGGATTCAACCAACCACAGATAGAAAATGTTTGGGGGTGGCCAGGCGTGGTGGCTCACCTGTAATCCCAGCACTTTGGGAGGCCGAAGTGGGTGGATCGCTTGAGGTCAGGAGTTTGAGACCAGCCTGGCCAACATGGTGGAACCCCGTCTCTACTAAAAATACCAAAAATTAGCCAGGTGTGGTGGTGCACGCCTGTAGTCCCGACTACTCGGGAGGCTGAGGTATGAGCAGTGAGCTGAGATCGCACCACTGCACTCCAGCCTGGGCAACAGAGTAAGTGAGACTCTGTCTCAAAAAGAAAAAATATTTTGGGGGAAAAAATGTACTGAATTTGTGCAGATTTTTTTCTTGTCATTTCCTAAATAATTTACATGGCATTTACTTGACCTTGGGTATCTTGGGAAATCTAGAGATGATCTAAAGTCTACAGGAGGATGTGCATAGATTATATGCAAACACTACACCATTTTATATCAGAGACTTGAGATTTTGGGGTCTGAGAGAGTCCTGCAACCAATCCCTTATGGATACTGACTGTACTAAGAAAACAAGTCAAGGGACCGGGAGCAGTGGCTCATGCCTGTAATCCCAGTACTTTGGGAGGCCAAGACAGGCAGATCACTTGAGGTCAGGAGTTCAAGACCTGCCTGGCCAACATGGCGAAACCCCATCTCTACTAAAAATACAAAAATTAGCTGGGTGTGGTGGTCTGCACCTGTAATCCCAGCTATGCAGGAGGCTGAGGCAGGAGAATCGCTTGAACCCAGGAGGCGGAGGTTGCAGTGAACTGAGATCATGCCATTGCATTCCAGCCTCTGCGACAAGAGCAAAACTCTGTCTCAAAAAAACATACAAACAAAAATACAAGCAAGTCAAGGGTTTTCTATTAGTTAGTTTTGTAACTTAGAGATGGTGCCCGCTGACTGTGTCTGTGTTGTAAGGAAACTTGCACCTAAATTGGCTCTTGCCTCAGCAGCCCCACCTTAGCTGTGCAGCTTACTCGGCACTGAGGACCATTCAAAGGCAAGACGGCTAGAAGCAGCAGCCTGTTGACTCTCAGGCCTAGATATTATCGTGCAGTTTCAGGTTATTACCAAGAAACCCGACCAGCAGAGGGAGGCTGGCGAGTGTGCAAGCATCAGGTGTCCCTGGCTTGCTGGTGGGCACCTTTTTCTGAGCACCAGGTTGTTAGAGATTTTAGGGTTAAGACACACCTGCAGATCTGTGCCTCCAGGACTCTGTTGGGACAACCAAGCCTCATGCTGTTGCTTCCCATTTCTGGAGCCTGGCAAGCCCTACCTATCAGATTTATGAAACACGCACTCCGATATGAAGAGAAAAAGTGCTTTCCCCATGGTGCGTGTTAGTGTCAATATAAAGAGGAAGGCACTGGGCCTGTCTTGATTTGTCCTCACAGATTAGGGTTTTTGTTAGAGAGGGTTTAGTTGCTCTAGATGCCCCAATAGAAGAAAGACCTCTGTGTCATTTCATTCCATCATAAAAAAAGGACACAAGGGCAGTGTTTGGAAAAAAACAGCATTAGGTGACAAACTAGGCCAGGAGCTAGTCTAGGATTCGCATTGACAAGGGATTAATTTACATGGGGGTTTCATGTCTTATTTTTAATTATAACTGCTTCTCCATAAGTTTATTTCCCTGCTGCCTTACCCAAAAATGTTACCGTTCTGCTTAAATAGATGTACATATGTGTATGAGTATTGCTTTTTAGATTCTGCAGTGTTTTGTATGTTTTTTAACCTTAGCCGAATTCTTAGTTTAAAAAAGAGAGCGAGAGAATGCAAGCAGAGTGAGGGAAAAAAACAGCTTAAATTTCAACTTCAGCCCTGGCGCCAGGTTGCCTTGTAGACTTGTGGGCTGCAGTGTCTTTCTGGGCTACTAGATGCTTTCCATGTTAATATTCCCACTGTGACCTAGGAAGGAGTAAGGAAAAGTTGGCTGAGGCCTGGCAGTGCACGGGAAGACACCTTCCATAGCCTGGCCAAGAAACTCCATTACACAGAAGTGGTCCCACAGAATTCATAAGTCCAAAACCAGAAACAGTTTGGAAAGTGAATACCCTCTGAAGAGAGAGACTGGGCTTGAAACAGAGGTCCTCGCATTATTGTGACACAGCCCCCAGGCGACTCCTCTACCTACAACAGCTCACCCCTGTGACTCTTCGCTGGCATACGCCAGGCCTACTCCTTGCTCTGCAGTGCCTGTGACTAGCTGCGTGGCCTATGCGTGTGTCCACTCCCTGCTCCCAGCAGCCACATCTGTTAAAGGATTAGGCCTGGGTGGTCTCCACAGTCCCTTCTAGCTCTGGTCTCTTCAGTTCTTTCAAAACCATAGATCATAGTTGTCATGAAGATCAGTGGCCAAGACCAACTCGCCTTTGCAGATAAGGGTGCTACGGTCAGAAGCTCCTGGTGAGCAGCTTTCCTGGTGGTCAGACTTCTTGCTGCTGGCCCACTTGCCTCCATGGCTCCGAGGAGAAGCAGGGACCCCAGAAAGGGCTAGCAGGACTCTGCTGATGGGATAATAGATGGTATTGTCACCAATGAGGATAGAGTTGCCTGGACTGAAAATTCAAAGACCAAGTCAGTCTGTTATTTGAGTGGGCCCAGCAAGGTTTTTTAAAAAAAACCCTGAGTTTAGAGAGAGCAGTGTGAGATGCAGAACAACGGGCAGGAGTGCTGGAGACCACCAATGCAGGAGTCTGTAAAACCATCCCTTGCAGACTTAGCCAGCCCAGCGCATGAGCAGGGAAGGGTGCTGACGCCCTGATTACACAGGCTGGAATGCGAGGGGGCATATGGAAGCTACTGGCTCCGACAGATGCCGCTGCCATCTTCATTTATGCTTCTCCACCAATCTGATGCTCAGATGGAGGGCAACATACTTCATTCAGCCAGAAACGCGGTTAAAAATCGAAAATGTGTATAAGCCTCTAATTTATTTGGTGCCACAAGTCGTTTGTAGATGTAGCACTCTCTGATGAGAAAAGCTTGTTAACAAAGCACTCTTAGAAATGAGCCTCTCTGCCTGTCCAAGACACAAGACTGGGAAGCAAGTCGGTGAGTGGTTAAAGGAGGTCAGGATTCTCAAACGCTCTTTGGGAATGATGTAATTGACCAAAGTGGGCATTCACCCGTGGCTCTGCACTTACCTTCAGAATGGCAGGGTTTTCCTGGAGGGATGGGTCTCTGACTGGATCGGGGGTTTCTGCCTGTAAGCATGCAGATGTCAGAGTTTGTCTGAATTCCTTTTCTCACTCCCACATGTTGTGCCTTGCAGATACTGGGTTACTTTGACTATGCCTTCACAGCCATCTTTACTGTTGAGATCCTGTTGAAGGTAATGAATTTTCCTTGATCTTCACATACTCCACAGCAGCTGGAGCAATAATAGTTGCACTTCTTTGTTTGCCTTCCAGATGCTAGGTTACGCAGACTATGTCTTCACTGGTACTTTTGCATTTGAGATCATTTTAAAGGTAACAGGTTACCCGGCAGTGTGTTTAAGGGCTGCTCCTGCGTGTGACACACAGGAAAGAAGCGTGGAGTGCTTTTGATTTTTTATGGGTTTTTTTTTTGTCTTTCGTGGTTGAGCTAAGTTTTTTTTTTTTGTTTTTTAAACCGAAGGATTTTTTTTTCCTGTGACCATTCCAACTTGTTTTTGCTCTTTTTAACCTTTGAATGCATGTAGGAGCCACTCTGGCTTCATGATAGTGGTTGAGAATTACATTTTGCTCATTTAAAAAAAATACCCTCTGTAATTTGTCAACTGATAACACATATATCTCTATGTGTGAACTTTTTTCCACCCTTTCTGACATCAAAGTCAGAGGAAAAGCATTTATCCTATGAAGAGGATGTCTCTCTTTTTGTTTCTCTGACTGCATTATGCTTTTGGGGACCTAAAATAGTAACACACTATTTTCTTGCAATAGGATTTGCAAGATGACTTGGGTCTATTTGTGTTAAGGTATTTTCTGTCTGTTTTAATGGATGGGCTTACATTTACACAAAAGGAGCGCCCTTTGGCCGGGGTGACCTAAATGTACTGCCCATGCATGAGCTAATGGCTGCCATTGCTGCTTGTGGTTTGTGGACTGACTGTGAAGTCTGCCCCATGGGGAGCCCATTCCTTATGTGCTTAGAGTGCTGGAGACCACAGCAGAGCTCCAAGAACCTATCCAAAACTGGCCAAGAACCACAGGGCGTGGGTCATTGTGGTTCTGGGAGAACGTGGCCCATCAGAACTGTCAGGGCAACCATCTCCTAGCAGGAAGACAAGCTGGGAAATGAAGACTTTTAACCATGGTTTTCTTTAAGCCATTGGGGAATTTTTGTGTGTGCAATTCAGGCAAAATGTATTTTGCATCGGACTACTGTGGAACTTGGGCTCTTTACAAAATCTTATATAAAATGAAACCTCAATTAATATGGTCAGGGAATGAGGTGGTTAGTTTTTTGAGGTTGGTTTTTTTATTTTTTTATTTTTTGGTTCATGAAACAGCATAAAGCCAACCAACAACTGTTTACCCCTTTCTTAAAAGTCTTCTAAAAATGTGAGTTCATTTTCCTGCCTTTAAGCCGATGAATTTGGTTGACACTTCTCCTAAGTCAGAGGTGTGCAGTGGGATGGTGACCAGCTCTTGTTGATGAGGCCTCTGTGGGAGGGCCTGTGGATGCAGAATGCACAGTGGTGGGGGTCGGAGGGATGCCGCCAGAACACTCACCGGCTCAGCTTCTGCCTCAGCTTCTTGGTTTTAGAATTTGACTTCTTTTCAAAGTGAATGGGGAGCTGTTCTACTTAGTCTGTTAGCCTGGTTAATTGAGGTTTTATTTTACTCTCCACATTTTTTAGTTGTTAAATGAATATAGTTACCCTTGGGCTTTGGGGAAAATTAGACACAGGATTATTTAAAAGGAAAAAAATGATTGTTACTTTTTAATTTCGGTAGAATTGCTTCACCGACTTAAATCTTCTGAGTCATTCTTCATTTTGAAGGTATTTTAGAGAATGGAAAATAAGCTAAAACAAGAAGGATTCAGAAAATGGAGACTCACCAAGAAGTGTCTAATATCTGAGACGATGGTTCCTGGTGGCCTTGGGGACATTTGGAAGGCTCTTTGGTTATTTGCTTAAGCCCTATGAAATTGCCATTTTTGTAGGTCAAAAAGGGTTGAACACTGGCGATTTCATAAGGTTCAATGTAATATTTCCCACCTCTACCTCTCTTATACTGTACTTACCTGAGCCTTCTCCAACCTTTTTTGTTTTAAAATAAATAGTGAGCTGTATATATTTTGCTATTTTTACTTTGGGGAACTAAACTCTTTTTCCATCACCAATAGAAATCTCACTGAAGCACCCATAATAGGTGCTCCAGGTACATGTGGCAGGTGAGCACAGAGCCGTTGAGACTGGCTCAGGTGAGATGCCACCTGGCTTCCTAGCCATGCCTGGCACGTGTCATCAGACTTGGAGGAATTGCTTAAGATGGATGCGTCATTAAAGACCATTAGGAACAATAAGGGGCCTCTGTGGAAAAGTGATGTAGGTCCATAGAGCCTGGGAGCCCTGAATTCAAGCCCCCACTGGAAAGGCTTAATTGAAACAAGGTAGGCTCTACCAGGGCCTCAGAGGGGCCAGAACCAGCACTTTGTGGGGAAGTGGGCTCTCCGGACAGCACTTACCTTTTGACGAATGTAGTCCTGTGGAGCCTCTCTTAGACAGGCTCTTTGGACATGCCAACAGTGTATTCATACTTGAAACCTGTGATCACTGTAATAAAGCCTAAATTGGTTTCTTCTTTTAAAATGTATCCAAAATAAGCTGCCCCTTTTTGATTTTTGTTTGAAGAAATTATCCTGTGGCTCAACCCCGTTGGTTTACATTTCTGACTTCTTAATGCACACTTGTTAATGAAGTTATACTTTCCTCAAGATTTTGCAAAGAGCCCAGGTTTCTTTTCCTTTGGAGACAAAAAATGGTAAATCATCCATGATTCTGCTTCTAGATGACAACTTTTGGAGCTTTCCTCCACAAAGGGGCCTTCTGCAGGAACTACTTCAATTTGCTGGATATGCTGGTGGTTGGGGTGTCTCTGGTGTCATTTGGGATTCAGTAAGTATTCTGGGGTGTGTGCCCAGAATTGTTGGGCTGAATGGTTTATGTAAGGGATTTTAACATAATTGATAAAGGCTGGGCATCATTTTCATGATTATATTTAGTTATATAGGTTTATTTAATTTGCTCCCATTCCAGAAAGATTTAAACAATTCATGTTTTCTTGTGTGTGTGTGTTTTTTTCTTTTTGTGCCTGCTGCTAAGTTGAGCTTATTACTGTCTGTGAAATTTGCTTTCAACTGAGGTGAAAGAAGTGTTGACTAGGAGGGAGGGAATCTAGGTTCTAGTCCTGGTTCCTCCAAAGGCTGATTCCAGGGCCTTGAGGGCATCCTCTCTCAGGAACCCTGTGCCCCTTTTATATAGGAGGGGCTGGGACCAGGTGGCCTTTCAGTTTTTCCAGCTTAGATATTGAGAACTTCCTTTGATTTTCAGGATATAGAACCTGCTAGGACTTTTTCTTTGGCCTCAAAATTTTTCAGCTAGGAGGGAGCCAAGGCTGAAAGTCAGGGCCCCAGGTCTTTTCCATGGCATTTAGCGATTTCTGGTGGGAACAGCCATTGCTGAGTACTGCTTACCATCCCCAGGGGTGTGGGGCAGAGGCTCCAGTAGAGCATCAGGTGTGGCCTTGCTTTCTTGCTGGCCTGTGAGCACTTCTGTTCAGGTGCTGAGCATAGAATCTCCCCTGTATGAGCACACATGCACACACCTGCCCTCTAAGCTAAAGAGAAGTGGAAAGGACCTGCCCTCCTAGGAAGACCAAAAACCTCTGCTTGGAACAGCCCTTTGTGTTATCCTTCTCGCCTGCCACTGAGGGAACCCTGTGATCATAGCTTGGAAGGCCATTTGCATTAACATCTTTGCAGCTCCTATTAACTCCCAGGCTGTTCATGTCCAAGCTGCAGCCTTGCCCACTTCCTCCTGAGCATGTGTTCTGGCCACACTCAGCCACCTAGGGTAAAGCAGAAAGCTGCATTCTCTTGTGTCGCATCTTTGTACATGCTGCTCCCTCACACTGGAGCCCCCCTCCCTATTGTCCTCGCTAACCCCTACTCCTCCTTTGGGACTCACCTGGCTATCACCACCCCCACCCCAGAGTCCTTCCCAGGCTCCCCCTGCCCCACCCCCACAGGTTGTGCTCCCCTGGCTGAGCACACCACATTTACCCCTGTCATGTGCCACACTGGGTTGGGATTGCCCATCTCTCCACCAGACTGTGAGCTCCTTGAAGGCCAGAGAAGCCCTGGTACCAAAGTGCTACAGCAGACCTCCAACCTTAAACAAAAACAAATGATATATGAAGCCTAAAAGCCAGCTACTACCTAGTATTTACAGTGAGTGGAAAGAACAAAGAGAGTTCGTGAGTTGTGTCTCTGCCAAGGTTAGCTGTGCACCTGTCAGCCTCTGTGAGTGCCATGGGCTGGGCTTGGGAGGTGCTGCCTCGTGTGGGCGGGGAGGAGAAGTCGCCTCTGAGTCGTGAAGAGAGATCAGCTCAGCACCACATGGATCCCACGCTAACTGTGCAGGGATACTAAAGTGAAGATCCAGTGAAAGGGTGAATCTCAAAGCATCCTGTCCATTTATAACACGCTCTGCCTGCCGTCTTTCTGCTCCTTCCCTAGATCCAGTGCCATCTCCGTTGTGAAGATTCTGAGGGTCTTAAGGGTCCTGCGTCCCCTCAGGGCCATCAACAGAGCAAAAGGACTTAAGGTTTTGATTCCTCTCCTCCCGGCTGGGCTGGCTTGGGTTGGGGTTGGCTGTAATTACTGGCTCTTCTGGGCAGAGCTGAGCTGAGGCCTGATGGATTTTTAAAGTGAGTTATAAGGACCTTTCTAACCAATTCAGCCACCTGTGCCAAGTGCTAATGGCATTTTAAAAATTATTATTTATTGTCTTTATTTTTGGTAATTGAAGATATTTTTCTTTGTAATTATTGTTCATTTATTACCTTTTTATTAGTAGTTCTTTGTGTTTATTTTAGTCTTTTATTTAGTTTATTTAGTCTTTCAGTTTTCATGTAGACTGTATAAAAGGCTACTGGGTTTCTGTTTTCCTGAGTCATTTATGGGGTGGGGACCCTTTGGGCCCATGTGCCAGGCAGCACTGCACCTGTAGCATTTCTTCTTTTTTTTTTTTTCTTTGAAACGGAGTCTTGCTCTGTTGCCCAGGCTAGAGTGCAGTGGTGTGATCTCGGCTCACTACAACCTCTGCCTCCTGGGGTCAAGCAATTCCCCTGCCTCAGCCTCCTCAGTAGCTGGGATTACAGGTGCACACCACCACGCCCAGCTAATTTTTGTATTTTTAGTACAGATGGGGTTTCACCATGTTGGCCAGGCTGGTCTCAAACTCCTGACCTCAAGTGATCTGCCCACTTCTGCCTCCCAAAGTGCTGGGATTAGAGGTGTGAGCCACTGTGCCTGGCCAACACAGAAACTGTCGGCTGATGTTAGCTCACCTCAAGGCCAAAATCACAAAGAAGAGTCACGCCCCTCTGCCCTCTCCGCAGCACGTGGTCCAGTGCGTCTTCGTGGCCATCCGGACCATCGGCAACATCATGATCGTCACCACCCTCCTGCAGTTCATGTTTGCCTGTATCGGGGTCCAGTTGTTCAAGGTAGAGGAACTGCCTCCAAGCATAAAACTCAGGTGGATTTCTTTAAGGAGAAGCCTGCATTTACTTAACTGCCTGTCTATTTTATACCCAGGGGAAGTTCTATCGCTGTACGGATGAAGCCAAAAGTAACCCTGAAGAATGCAGGTGAGCGTCCTGAGAGTGGAGTAGGGGACTTAGAAGAGCAAATAGCAGACTTCAAGGATTCACACATGTTGGCACGTCAGAAGTTTTGGTCGTGAAATAAAATAGGCCTGTGTGCTCAGCTTGTGGGTAGATAGATGGTGTTTGTTTTTCATTGAGGTGAAATTCACGTAACATCAACCATTTTCAGTATACAGTTCCTTAGCATATAGTATCCATGGCATTGTTGTGCAACCAACATCTCTATCTAGTTGCAAACTTTTTGTCATCCCAAAAGAATGGCTAGATGGCTTTTGTGGTGGAGAATCTATAAATGATGGGAGTTGGGGGAACCCTGAAATAACAATTATGAAATGCCCCAAATAGCTTCCATGACAGCCATGTGGATGATTTCCCCAAATCAGAATTTGGAACTCAACTCCCTGGTGTTTGGGAACTGGCTCCCTCTTCTTATACACTTTCTAGACTTCCTCTCTCCTGGCTCCTATTACCTACATCTTGGCCATATTTCCATAGACAAGAACTGGCAGAGGAGAGACAAGGTGGGAGATATTCATGCCTCCCATTCCAGGATGTCCAGTGACCATGAAGGCAGTCATGGAAGCCATTGCCTAAAGTTTCAGACTGTGCAGAGGCCTGTGTCTCCCCACCCGCGAGAGACATAACTGACTGGGCTCTGGCTGACTGTGCCTGTACATTGGTTTGGGGTTTATTTTAAGCAGAAGGTGCAGTCAGAGAGCACCAATTGCAATTTGGCTGTGTCTCTGCACCTCCAGAGGCACCGTTCACACACCGTTCATGGCGTCCCTGGAGGTGAGCAGCCTGGCATTGGCGTGAGGACACTGTTTCTTCCCTCTTGAAGCCTCTGTGTCTTCATTTGTAAAATAAAGATATTGCGCTTTATCTCTTGGGTTCCTTCCAGAAATGAAGTTCTGGGAGAAATAATTTGCCAGAAATAATGCAATTCTTTCGGAAAGAAAATTGGGAATGTCATTAGTAAGAAGAGAAAGGGATTTGATTAAAACTAAAATGCAGGAAGAGTATACGTGGGTTCGTTTCCTAGAGCCTACAGAGTTCTCTATGGCTGAGCTTTGATCCTTCAGAGCGCGCCTCAAGCCCATTGTGTAAGAGATGCTCTCACCATGCTGTGGTTTTTATCGGCCAACGACGTATGCCCGGTGTCTGGGTGGCTGCTCTGGAGAATACACGTTGCACTGGTAGTTATTCAATGGTTATTTGAGCCGCGAAGTAGATTAAATGGAGGGCGAGGAGAGGAGAAACGGCGCCGGTGTTATGCTCAGCTGTGTGACAGGCGGGCGGACTGAGTGTGACCTGCCTGGAGGTTGGATTGGGGCAGTGTGTCCAACTTTACGCTGCTTCCACCTGTCATGTGTGAAGCCAGACGACCCACACCTGTTTTCCTCTCCAGGGGACTTTTCATCCTCTACAAGGATGGGGATGTTGACAGTCCTGTGGTCCGTGAACGGATCTGGCAAAACAGTGATTTCAACTTCGACAACGTCCTCTCTGCTATGATGGCGCTCTTCACAGTCTCCACGTTTGAGGGCTGGCCTGCGTAAGTACAGGGAGCACACAGTCTTCTGGAGAGGCACCTGCGTGCCCAGGGCTGAGCCCTCCCTCCTGGAGTCAGTCCCATTTCTGTTCTCCAGTGTCGCAGGATTGCCCTGTGGCTTTTTAACCTTGGGCCACTTCTCAGTCACTTCTTGACCCACAGGGCCTCTTTCTGTGTAGGTGGATGATTTGTGAAGCAGGGTTGGTAGAGGTGCCTGGCAGCATCTCTGGGTGGAAGCAGGGAGGCCTGAGATGCCTCAGTCCCATGAACTCCCATTGGATGTCAGGAAAGCTGCCATCCGCTGCTCCCAAAGAGGGTCTGAATGGTGTCCCAAACCATTCATTCATTCATTCATTCATTCATTCATTCATTCTAATATATTCCCAGTTGCGGACAGTTGCTGTTATGCCATCTCTTTTACTGAGCACCTGCTCGCTCATTTACAGACCATGCTGTGCAGAGGCTTGTGTCTCCCCACCCGTTAAAAATGTCTAACTGGGCTCTGGCTGACTGCGTGCTTAGATACCAGCTCTGTGCAACATGGCATGTTAGGCACTGTGGAGGAAACAGTGTCTAAACATGCTTCCTCTCCTCAAGCCCAAATCAAATCAGTGTCAAGTGGTCAAACCAGGCAGGTGGTCTGGTGTGTCCTAGATGTGCAGAACAGGGTCCTGAAGAATGGCTAAGATGTTGATGGGTAAAGTAAGAAGAGCAGGTAAGGAGAAGTTAGAATTTGAAAGGGAGAATCCTCTGTGCTTTCGTGTTGCTCTTTGCTTCTGGAGCTCCCACCCCCAGCTCCTGCCATCAGTGTGCAAACACACCTAGAGTCCTGGATACCCGGTCCCCATGCATAGATGAGCTGCAGGAGGTGGGCAGGCTGGGGCTCGCAGGCCAGCAGAGTTCTTGGGGTGTGTGTAAGAGTCAGATATTTTCAGGAGCTCCTGTAGGATAAAGAGACAGTCAGGTGGGGCTTGTTCATTAGGGATTTAATCCTGGGAGAACAGAGGCATGGAGTAAGGCCCTTCACTGTGTGCAGGCACAGGCTATAGTGTCAGGCTTTGAACACTGTACTTGAGCAAATCATGGTGGCAGCTGAGGAGAAAGGAGCAAACCTGGGACTCGGGGCTTGGAGGAACTGGCTCAACTCCTGGCTCTGCCCCCAAGGAGTGTGACTGTGGCACTTTGATACCTCCCTGAATATTCCTATGATGGGGATGATAGTAATGTCTGCCTTCCCAGATGGATGTGAGGATTAAGGGAGAGGCTGTGAAAGTGTCTCGGGAAGCCTATGCATGGGCTGGGTGCCCCAGAAGTGTTGAATCTGCATCAGAATGGGGATCAATGGACCCCAAGGGTGTTACAGTAATCCCCCTCTTCCTGTTAAGAGTTCCGCTAGGCATAGCTTTAATTTTAGTGCATATCTCTGTTTGGGGAAGCACCCTTAGTTCTTTGGAACTACTCTGGTTGGTCACTTACTGTCTTGCCAGTGTGCATAGTTTTCACTTCCTCCAGTGTCTTACACGTGATATTCTTCCTCTCTGAATAGAAAGGAGTGTTTTAGGATATTTGTGAAATCTTTTGATTTTCAGTTCCTCAGAACAGTCCCTCGATGATGATATCCTGGGTGCCCCCTCCTCTTAGTGCTGGCTGTTTGGGCCTGAGGCTGATGGGAGAGACCTGGTTGTGTCCAGCAGCCTTGGGGTGGGTTCCCAGCGAGTGCTCATGAGAGGAGTTCTGGAGAGGGAGGACCTGGGAAGGCAGCGGGCTGGGCCGTGTGGGCTGGGGGGCTTGGCAGGTCCTCACTTGGTTTTTCTCTCTCTAGGTTGCTGTATAAAGCCATCGACTCGAATGGAGAGAACATCGGCCCAATCTACAACCACCGCGTGGAGATCTCCATCTTCTTCATCATCTACATCATCATTGTAGCTTTCTTCATGATGAACATCTTTGTGGGCTTTGTCATCGTTACATTTCAGGAACAAGGAGAAAAAGAGTATAAGAACTGTGAGCTGGACAAAAATCAGGTTAAAGTCACACACTGTTTTGGCTTCTGTCCCTTGGTCAGGAGCGGAGTGCCTTCTTTATTGACTGATTTCCCCCATACCCAGAGAAGGGCACCCACATACTGTCTGTCCCTGGGGCTAGGGCCCTGTTCTAAGCACACCCTCAGCCCATTTGAGTCATCACTGCTGAGCGTTAGGTTTCCCGATACATATGAGACTTTGTAATTATGAAATCCATCGCCAGACCTGGTGGTATGAAATCAGAGAGTGCTTACGCCACCTGCCATGGTCATGACCCACTAGTGATGTATCAGAATCTTAGTTGGGGTGCTGTGGCCACTCACACAGACATTCACAGTCCCTACTGGGAGATGGTCTTTAAAGCCACTTAGGGCAGTTTCTTACCCTTGGTGCTATTAGCATTTCAGTCTGGGATGATTCTTGGTTGTGTTTCCTGGGCTTTTTAGGCTGTTTAGCAGCATCCGTGGCTTCCAGCTGTTAGATGCCAATGGTTCGTCTTCCCCTGGTAGCAGTAACCAAAATGTCTCCAGACATTGCCAAGTGTCCTTTGGGGGGCAAAGCTGCCCCTTGTTGAGAACTGCTGACCGAGGGGGGAATACCCTGCATCACCCCAGGGAAGTCAGTAACTTTGAATTTGGGACTAAGATTGTATTGGCATCATTCTTGATCTGACACCGTGTTTTAGCCAGTCTGGTAGAAGTAGGAGCCTTTTGCTCGGGTGACGTGGTGAGGAGAGGGAGCCCTGTGCTCTGGGCTATCTTCCTACACCTGCACTGTGACCCTAGGTGCCCTCTGATCCCTGCTGGGGCTTGATCCCTCATCTCTAAATCGAGGGCATTAAGGAGCTGCTCTTTAGAGATTCCTTGCAGCCCTGAAAGAGTCTACAAGATCGAGATTCTTTTCTGGGAGTTTCCCCGGGTCCTCTATCAGTAGCATCTCTGTTTTGATGACGACGTCGCAAGCAAGAATGATCTGGTAGCCTAGGCTTCCTCAGAGGAAGTGGCCCAGGCACGGCAAGCCAACCATAGCTGGCTGTACCCACTGGGAAATGTGAGAACATGCCGGTTTGTGTTTGCAGGAAGATTTTCCTTTGAGTTGTCAGGGTGTCCCTGTAGACTCCACCAGTGATTGTCAGGGAGAGGTCTGGCCCAGCAATTTGCTCACCCAAGGAAGAGGAGTGTCAGAGCAAGGCCAGGCCAGCCACGCAGAGCCAGCGCTGAAAGTGTGTCAGCCTCTGAGGTCCAGCACAGGCTTGAATTGGGGGTCCCTGGAGTGAGCATGTGAGGTCAGAGCAGCGCCGGGTCCCAGACACTGGGAACCTGTCCGAAGCCTGCACCCAGAGTCAAAGCAGGAGAGCGGGGGTAGGTCTAGGCTCTCAATGCTGAGCTGAGGGCTCTTGGGGCTAGAGGTTCCCTCTGGGCCTGCTGCAGAGGGTGGACCAGCCCCACTACCCAGAGTAAGTGAGAAAGTGCTCCAGCTGGGTCCCAACCTGTGTTCAATCCAATTGTCACTACAGTGCTCCAGCTGGGCCCTAAACTGCGTCCAATCAATCCAGCTGTCGCTACAGTGCTCCAGCTGGGCCCCAACCTGTGTTCAATCCAGCTGTCACTACTGACCACATCCTAGGGATTCTGAAATGAACACAACAAGCTCCCCAGCCCAGAAGCTCCCCGATGGACATGTGGATAGCTCCCCATAAGATGTGTATTGTTAACACACTCTGGCTCCTGAAGGGTATCTCATGTGGTTCCAACTGGGAGCATCCAGGAGGCTACTAGTCTTGGGGAATGAGCCAGCCCCTCTCGTTCTTGTGAGTTTCTGTGGTTACTTGGCCTCCTTTCCTGGAGGACAGCACAGGCAGGGGAACTATAGGTGTGATCCACCTATAGATCCCCCGTATGTGTGATAAAGAGGAAAGGCAGTGATAAGGCCTGGACCCAGTCCTCACTCCTGCTTGTGTATACACTGCAGGGCCTCAGGAAAGACAGCTAAAAGCTCTGAGCCTCAGTTTTTAGTAAGCAAAATGGAAGCCACATGGGTAGGCACCCAGCTTACCCGGAGCTTGCTGGGAGGGTCAGCGAAGGTAATGGAGGCAGGGCCCTCGGTGACTCAAGAGTGGTGCCAGCAGCAGGAAGGGGGTCACTCGTAATCATTTTCACCATCGTCCACGGCCCCTTCCCGGGAGCTGTAGGGTGAGCTCTTTCAGAGCAGATGACCACGGGGTCCTCCTTCCCTGCAAGTGCTCAGAACCCCGTTTCTGCCCTTTTCTGCTGTTGCAGCGTCAGTGTGTTGAATACGCCTTGAAAGCACGTCCCTTGCGGAGATACATCCCCAAAAACCCCTACCAGTACAAGTTCTGGTACGTGGTGAACTCTTCGCCTTTCGAATACATGATGTTTGTCCTCATCATGCTCAACACACTCTGCTTGGCCATGCAGGTAAAAATGGAGACAGCCGTGGGGATCAGGTCCGGGCATTCCGCACAGCCCCGTGCCCCAAATGCTGAGGGTGGAATGCTGCCCCTCACAGGAGGGGTTTGATTTTTCTGATGAGTCTGGGCTATAGGTTGGCCAGAGTTCTGTTCTGGCTGACAGTTGTCACGGTAGGAGTTTAAGATAGTTCTTTTGTTGAAGAAATTATCCGTACAGCATGATGGTAGGTAACATTTCCATGGAGCCTGGCATTGGTGCTCAATTCTGTAAACATTTACCATGGGCCTCCTGTGGCCAGCTAGTGGTTGAGAACTACAGCTCTGGAGATACACAGCTGTTTCAATCCTGATTTTACTCTGAATTTTTTGTGACTTGGGGAAAGTTGTTTAAATTCCCCGAGGCTTGATTTCTTTATCAGTAAAATGGGGAAATCTGTCACACCTACGTTAGAGATAAGGTTTATGCTGTAGATAATTCCCCTCAGACACTTTGTTTTTTATTTTTTGCCTTTTGTTTTTGAGGCAGTCTCACTCTGTAGCCCAGGCTGGAGTGCAGTAGCGCGATCTCGGCTCACTGCAACCTCCGCCTCCTGGGTTCAAGTGATTCTCATGCCTCAGCATTCTGAGTAGCTACGATTACAGGCATATGCCACCATGCCCAGCTAATTTTGTATTTTTAGTAGAGACAGGGTTTCACCACGTTGGCCAGGCTGGTCCCGAACTCGTGACCTCAGGTGATCCGTTGCCTCAGCCTCCCAAAGTGCTGGTATTACAGGCGTGAGCCACCGCGCCCGGCACCTTTGGACACTTTGATCTGGGCCTGTCACAGAGTAACACTCAATGTTGGAAAACAAAACATAAGTCACACTCCTGTCCTCAGGTGGCTCTCAGCATGGCAGTAGGGAATTTTCCAGTTGATGAAGTGTTGAGTTTGACCTGAGTTACAGCTACTTCTTATTCCAGTGGGGGCAAGAAATGCAATTGAGTTTAATTGGCCAAGTCAGATTATAGTATGGTATTAACAGCGAATGTTTTCAAAAGTTACATTGCCTAGTAGATACTCTACGAGGACAGGAAGCAAAGACCAAGGTCTAGAGCCAGCTTTTGCACTGACTTTAAGAACTCCAGCACATCAAACCAGCTCTCAGTGCTGTCTGGACAGTAGGTCTAAAGATAGGGATAAATTTTCTGGCATTTTTCTTAACCTAAGAGTTCTTTTTGAATGAAAAGGACTGTGTGCTGACGTAGAAGAAAGTGTAAAATCAAGAAAACACTGCCTTTTATTCAACATAAACTTACATGGCATAAAATTTATCCCTAACCAAATTCTACCTCTATTCATAGACATTTTGGTGGTATCTGCATTGTGCTCTGGTCAAGGCCCTCAACATAAAGCCCTGCCAGAAGAAAGGGTGAATTCCCTTTATCCTGAGCAGAGGAAATGGATATGTTTTCCCCCTTCATCATTCAATCATCCTCATCTTGTCACAGACCCTCCTGCACTTTGTGGGAGTTCACCACATGACCTTGCAATGCCGGTGGAATTGCCCAGCGAGGGTGCTGGGCTGTGGAGGATGCCCACAGGGGCACAGAGGGCTGGGAGCCTCCATGTGCAAGCATGTGAGATCGTGGCTGAGGCTCTGAGAACGGTCCCTCTGTCTTCATCCATAGCACTACGAGCAGTCCAAGATGTTCAATGATGCCATGGACATTCTGAACATGGTCTTCACCGGGGTGTTCACCGTCGAGATGGTTTTGAAAGTCATCGCATTTAAGCCTAAGGTGAGTTGCAGAACCCACTTTTCAAAGGTTGTTGCTGAGTCACCCTAGAGAAGTACCCGCTTCCTGTTAGTCTTGTGTTACTGAATTATGCTAAAGTGTTCTGGCCGCTAACTGGGTTACCACCTGAGAACATTAAAATCTGATTAGAGCATGTGTGTATATATGGGAAAATGAATCTGCAAGAACAAAACCTCATGAAAACAATTCTGAGAAACAGAAGCAGGGAGATTAGAATTGGGAATTTGTAAACTGCAGATTATTTTGAAAGCCAGTTTTCTGTTTCTAGAATAGTACATATCATGCTGTGTCAGGGAAACCTGCCTCATTACTTGAGCACTAGAGAAAATGTTTGAACATAACCCATCAGAAAGAATTTGACCCTGATTATACTTTCAGATATCTAGTCTAAAGACTTTGTTTTGTTTGTTCTTGGTCTGCAGCATCCTTTTTACCCTTTAAGGGAAGTGCTGATACCAGCTGCAGACCTCTCACAGCCATACCATCTTTTGTTTGCTTAATTTAGAAAAATTTCACTTGACTTTAACACAAAATGAGACATGAAATGTGTTCAACTGTGCTCGACGACTCAGCGTGTTGTACCCCTTTGGGAGGGAGTGAATTCAGTTCCCCACTTGTCAGTGGCTGCCAGATGAGGGGCAGTGTAGTTCAGTGTCAAATTGCATAGTTGTGGAACTGGACTGGATTCAAATCTCTACTCTGGCACTTACAGCTGAAACAAGTTCCTTTCTTCCCTGCGCCTCGACTTCCTCACCCATAAAATGAGGACGCTAATAGTGCTGTTTCATGGGGTTGTCATGAGGAGTAAAGAGTTCCCATATACGCACTGCTTAACAGAGTGCCTGGCATGTAGCGCCACGCTGCGGACTGTCGGCCACTGCTGTTCCTACCCGCACCACCACCCTCATCATCATCAAGCAAGGATGTTCCCTCATTCTAAAAGCCTAGACAGAAGAGCCACACCAAGCTGAAATGTGGGATATTTGGCCCTCATTTTCTTTCCCAGTACAGCCAAAAACTCTCAGAGTTAGAGATGACAGAGTTCAGTGACCCAGTTAGTTATCTCTGTGTAAGGTATCTGACGACACTGATTTAATTAAGTTAGGCATGGATTATGAAATGGATGGTTTCACATACTCCATAGTTACATGAAATTCTAATTCCAAACTGTTCCTTTCTTTAATTTGAATTAATCTCTATGCAATCTTTATCAGATCTTTGTGGACCAAAAAGAAAGGACATTTGTAAGTGATTAATTGGGGTGATTGCAGTGGGGTCAAATTTGGCACCTAATGCATGGCCAGATGTTATTATCTACTGTGACTTGTCCATATCTACATACATAAACATTTCCTCCTTTTCCAAATTCATCTTAATTTCCTTTGAGATTTTGGTTTGCTTCCCTCTCACCTTTACTTCTTTGAACAATATTTGTCTGGACTGATGGAAAAGGTTGCAAAGTAAGAACATCGAAGGTACTTGAGAAATGCAACATGGAACCTCTCTGTGGAACATTTCCCAGATACCTGGGCCATGTCTTCCCTTGCCAGATGATTAAGCTCTGAAGTTTTTGAAAGCTTGCTCTAGGCTGAAGAGAAAGCACACTCACCCATGGTGTGTATGTGTGTGTGTCAGTGTGTGTGTGTGCACATGCGTGTGTGTTCATGTGTGTGCTTGCTCCCTTCAGCCGGCCAGTGCATTGACAGCCCAGTAGTGCACTGCCCAGTAGGCTGACAGTTGCCCAGAAGATCTCCAAACCTGGGAGGAGAGTTCAGTAGCGCGTGAACAGATAGGCGATACCAAAGGGAAGTGAGTAGCTAAGCTATAATCAGTACTGATAGATCGGAGTTTTTAAATGGTTGATTTTTGCTGGAAATTGTACTGCTTGTAGTTTCACTCAGCAAGATATCTTCATAGCATTAGACAACCTCACGTTACAATTGGGAGAACTTTTAAGACAGTAGCAGCAGCATCTCCACACTTGAAGAGCACTGTCACTGCGTTCCCCCCGGCCAGGGGAGGTTGAGTTTATATCGTGTGCCGGGATGAGTGGGAGAGTATCGGTTCACCAAGAAGCAATGCCCTCCTTAAAATTTTTCCTGCCCTTTTTTTCTTGCTCTTCTCTTTGGTGTTCACAAGCCCAGCCCGAGCAAGTGGTCTTTCACAAAGAAGCCAGGGAGGCCTCCTCCCTCCTGGTCGGTGGGGTAGTCGGGCTGAAGAACAAGGTTGTCAAGGCTGCAGAAGGAGGAATATTCTGAGGAGATGGCCACATGGGACCTCAGCCTCCTCTCAGGAGAGCCTTTGTCTCATGGGAGGAGCTTTGTAAAAGGGTCCCTCATGGCAGAGTTCTCCACTGAGTCAGGTACACCTTCTAGCAGGACTCGTCAGTATCTCTGTTAGGGGACACAGGCTGGCAGAGTTTCAGTTGCTTCATAAAATAAGTATAGAAAGTGAGGTAAGACAAAATTCTTACTGGTAGGTGAGAAGGCATTTCAAGAGGGAACGGTTAAAGAAAGTTGAGAAATCTGACCTTAAGGACTTATTTTATGTAAGGGAGCTTGATGGAGAAACTGGGCCTCCTAAGAGAGTATATTTAGAGGGAAATGGCCCAAGGTCATGGGAGATGAGATGACCCAGCCTCTGCCAACCCAGAGGGAGGTGGGAAGTAGACAGAGGGAGAAAACTCCGAGCTGGAAGCCTCCATGATGGAAGAGGCCATCTCACCTCAGGGGAGGAGGCATTTTGGAGCACTGGTCAGGCAAGAGTGGAAGGTAGTTAGGAGCCGAAGCGCAAAAGCATCCGGGAAAAGCAAGCAGGTGATTTAGCCGATTGTGGGTTCCCGAAGGGAAAGTTCACCAGCTGGGTGTTGACCTGGTGCAGCCTAGGTCCTGCTTTCAACTTGGGGTCAACTAGACCTCTGTAGGGTTTTCAAAAGCAGGCCCTAGTTTAGGTGACACAAGCCCCATTCTCCAAGCCTTTCCCTCCAGCTGCTAGAATTCTCCAACAAGTTCTCTTGCTCCAAGGAGGAAGATTGATTAAGAAGGGCCTTTTTCAAAGTGCTGGCTGCAGCAGGTATAGAGAGCACTTCTGTGGAGTAAGAAGAGCCTGGTCTGTCTGGGATTCTCTTTGTGGGATGTTACCCATCTGGCGTTTTGTCCAGGCTGCATTCTAGGCCATGTTGTTTGCTGCGGTTACTGGCCTTCTCCAGTGAGCCATACTTCGTTCCCATCTTAGTCCTTTAAAGTGTTTTGATCTTGATTCTACCCTGAAAATATACTAATTTATACTCCTAGCTACTTGGGCTGGAAAAAGTAAGGAGAAATTAGGTTTGGGGAAAGAAGAAAGTGTTTTGGTGCTGTCCTCATGCTGCTGTGCAGAGCTGATGCAGAATGGGCACTGAGTCCTCATCTGCCTTCAAGGGCTCTGTTCGCTGCTCCAGGGTCCCTTGCAAGAGTAGAGCTTCTTCATGATCTTCCTAGAGTACCTTTTCCACCTGCTGGAGAGAAAATTTGACACTGTTTTTTTTTCAGTTCTTCATGACCCCATCTGTTCTAGATTTACTTTTAATGGCAAATAATACTTGAAACCAAGTATTACTGTCCTTAGAACTTTACATTGGGCTTCTTGTTGGGCTCCATCCTGTCCTTTTGACATTGAGGTTTCCCAGAGCCCTCTCCTGGTCCCCTTCTTGCCTGGTAAGATGCATACATGCCAGAGCGTCAGTGGCCGCCTCTGTGGCATGCAGACCTGCACTGCCCTTCTCTCTCCTGAGCTTCTATGCCTCCCTGCCTTCAAAATGATCTCCCTGCCTCTGGCCTCAGCCCTTCTACCTACTCCCTTTGTAAGCCCAAAGCTGACCAGACCACTCTTGCAGTGATATTTTGGCACTGGCCACCTATTGCTTGAGAAAGCATATACAATTTTCTTAGTCGAATATTCAAAGTCCTCCATGAAGCACTGGCCCCTGTATATTTCTGCCTCATTTCCTGCCATTCCCTCCCTGCTATTTCTTCGTCCCCACCCCATCCCCAGGTGTTGGCATGCTAGACCTTTCCCTGCCCATGCGCCTCTGTCTAGATACCCTGCTTCCTCTTTGTTATCCTTGAAGGCCTGTGGGAAATGTTATCTTCTCTGAGACAGCATCCTCACCCCAGCCAGAGCCAGCCCTGTCCTCTGCTCATGCATCCGTTGGGGGCCTACTATGCACCATCGTTACCAACACTACTCCATGTCTGCCTCTCTGTTTGTTGGTGAGCAGCTGCTTGAGGTCTCAGGCTGAGTCTTCTGCTTCTGGCTCTGTGGTACCTCACATGATGCCTGGTGGTAGCTTCCTGGTGGTAGCTCAGTAAGATTGGTGGAATGAAGAAAGGAATAAAGGGATGATCCTGGAAGTGCAGCCTCTGGGCATGAGACGATACCTGCTTTTCTGTCGCAGGGTATCTGGGTAGAGCAGAGTGGAGCACATCTTCCCTTAATTCCCCGCTTACCTTTGGAAAGGCTTTTGCTAGTTAGAAAGCTGTCAGGCATAGTTTCTACCAAAAGTTGGCACTTTGGGTTATCACTTGGGTCAAATGCTACCCAAATAATCCCTGCCAGCATGGGTAAGAGATCTGGCTGCCATGATCAATGACAAAAGGCACATTATTTATATAGGCTTCTACCGATCTGCAGATGGGAGTGAATCCAGGCAGCAAAAGGAATCTGAACTTGGGTCACTTTTCTTGTTTCCCATTTGCAACCGTTCCACAAACATTGCCCCCTTACCATGTGCAACGCCTGTGCCATATCCTGGCAAGAGGGCCAGGAATAAGAGATGTGCCTTCCAGGAGCCCACTGTCCAGCAGGAGACAAACATTGATGGATGGTGACAATAGGGTTCTTAGACATAGTGGTGCTTCCTGACCCTGAGGCCCACATTAGTCTGGTTTATGATTTTAAATTTCCAGAGTCAGAAATGTTTCTGCGCAATACATATTGCATGTGGCTGACTTGTTTGGTCTTTTCAGACAGGTAGAGCTGGACACAAAAATAATATAGATTTGACTGCTGGTTCCACTTGAGAGGTTCTGGCCTCAGAATTCAGTTGTAGGAGAACACATCATCATAGGCCAAGAGGAGAGAGCAGGGAGAGGGGCCCTCTGTTAGGAGCCGTGTCATTTCTTGTATCTTATCTTCTGGTTACAAAGGCAATATGGTGCCTTTGGTGGGAGAAGGGTGGGGGAACTGAGTCATGCCACTTGACGGTGATTTTATTAAACAAGAGGCTACTAAATAGGGAAACAGTATGTGGGAAGAATGGGAGGGCTGACATTTTCTCCCTCCCCTGGACTCCTGTCAGAGCCACCTGGTCAGAGCCTGTGATTTCAGCCACCTGCCTTCTGCTTCCTAGATTAAGGGTGTCAACCTTCAGTCCATCAATCATTCCAATTTGGGCACAGTTTTATGAGTGTGAGGGGTTTCTGGAGAGAGAGTCAATGAAATTGCCAAAAAATTCCAAGACCCCAAGGAAATATTAAGCCCCTATTGTGTTGATTTAAACGGATTTTATCCATCACAGTGCACCAGCATTGAGAATATCTTATAGGCTGATGGAAATGGCCTGAAGGGGAGAACACTGATAATTCTGGAGAGAGGGAGAGAGGAGCTGTTCAGGAATAAAATCTCAAAGTCAGAGGCTGGCCTCCAGCACCCATGTGGTGGGTTTGGCCTTTGGGAAATGACATAAATAATGGAGAGAAGCGGCGCACACGGTACAAATGCAGGCGGGGCTGGGGCACGCACCACAGCAGGTGCGAAGGGCGAACGCTGGGTCTCCTCCGCCTTGTCAGTACTCTGGAGGTCTAGTTGCTACTTGTGACCAAGTTTTTGATCAAGGTGTAAATTCCTTCCTAGAGGGGAGGGGAAGGATCACTGTGCTTTCTTTAGCTTTTGAGTTACTCTTAACTCCATGAAGAAAAGGGCAGGCTCTGCCCCTCC
This sequence comes from Homo sapiens, assembly GCF_000001405.40. Lineage (NCBI taxonomy): Eukaryota > Metazoa > Chordata > Mammalia > Primates > Hominidae > Homo > Homo sapiens. Next base: position 53,759,677 of record NC_000003.12, read on the forward strand.
AAGTGTGGTCTGTGGCACTGCCACCAGTCAGAGAACTGCTTGTTATCCATTCGCAACAAGAGCTGTCAGCTCTAACACTAAGCACATTGATTCAGCTGGCTTTCTTGTTAGGAGACTTCTTGGACGAAGGAAACTGCTGTGTTCCCTTACAACCTGAGGCTAGCTCTTGATCTCACCTCTGACTGCTAGTCTAGACCTCAAAGGCAGCCCATCTCTGCTCAGTTTTGCCAGCCAAGAATCATGAATTCATGCAAAGGAAAGCTAGAAAGCATAAGCTGTGCTGTTTTTAAAATAGCCCTTCCCATTAGACTTTTATACATAGATCATCAGATTTGGGGCTCACAAATTCCTTTTGTCTGCTGATAGATGGGCCAGGGAGGGTAGCAGTCAGTGAGGGTAAAATGGGAGAGAGGCACTGTGATCATAGGGCGGGGAGAGAGGTGGAGAGTTGGTTAGAAACCACGGCGGTTGGGTGGGGGAATCTTACATTATTAAGATTAAATTTAAGAAGCAAACCCGAAGTCAGTGTCGTAGCTCCCCCATAAATGCACCTAGACTGATGGATGGTGACTAGAATAAACATCCCTACTCCAGCTGTTAGGACAGTCAGTACGTCCACATCTTCTATACTGTCGCAAAAGGCTGTGGTTCTGCAGTGGCTTCTTCTGGGTCTGTGTTTGATCACAAGTTTCTGGGACCTGACACCTCAAAGTACTTTTTGTTCTGGTTTTCTTAATGCAGCACTAAATGTACCCCGTTGTAAACAGGCTGGGCCCCATTTTATATAATATGTACCTGAATTTTCATTTCCAAAAAGCGTCCAGACTCTTTGGAAAAACACAGTTGGTTTATAGACAGAGCTGTTGATCTTGACAGTCAGTCCGTTGCCTCTTTGGCTGTCTGTGCAGTATCTCCCCACCACCCTCTCCAACCGGGAGCTTCCCAGGGGTGTCGAGAGACCACAGGCACTCATTTAGCACCTGCTGTGCTGATGCTGGAAGAAGATGTAAAATGTCCGGCACATACATATAGATTTTAAGTTACAATTGTGGGGATGTTGTACCCTCAAAATTGTTGCAAGATAGCAGGACCTGAACAAACAACCAGACAAAGCTGGATGACAGGCAGGGTGCAAGTTGGTGGACAAAGGGGACATTGCCCATGTCAAGCACTGACTGGGTTCAAGGCTCTGGCTAGATAATGGGGTTAGGGAAGTTGGGGGACTGAATATGCAGCACAGTCATCATCCTTCAGGGCTTTTGATTGGTAGAGCTGCAGACAAAGACCCCACATTCAGCCATCAGTACGTAAGAGATTCAGCGTCAGCCTGAGGGAGTGCAGACAGCCGGGACTGCGAAGGTTCCATCAGGGAACATTTATCTGACCTTGAAGAAGGGTGAAGTTGAACAGATGGAGTTGGGGTTAGGCAATTAGGATTGCAGAGACATCAGGAGGTGGGGAGGAACCTGGTGCTATTTTCGAAGGATGGGAAGGACTCCTCTCAGCCTAGAGGGTGAAAAGTGGGAGGGAAAGAAAGCAAAAGCTGAGATGGAAGAAGGAGCCTATTGGCTTCTTTGAAGGACAGAGGGAGCCCTGGAACATCCTCTTCATTCCATACTCTTTTCTACTATAGAGCCTGCCTTGACTTCCCCACACTAAGCACCACCCCCATGACAAGGAGCCAGTGTCTCTGCCACGACGCTGTGCCTCACGGTGCCTGTGTCCCCGTAAGCCATTATCTACCCGTCTGTGTCGTCTACACTGAGAGTTCTTTGAAGACAGGGACTTGTCTCAGTCATCCTGCCACAAGGCATGGCCTTTGTAATACAGGCTGGACTTGCGAGGACTGGAGAGCATTGCTGGCCCATTTGAAGGAGCACAGAAATGGAAATGTGTGCAATACCTGGTGACAGTGCTCTTTAAGTGGGGTGAATGGAGATTCTAAGGAAGGAGTCCATCAGATCGTGAGGGTTTGGGATCATCCCTCTGGGTACCAGGACAAGGTTGCCAAAATGCCTTCCTCTGCCCTGTAGATATCCTGCTTGGTTTGGTGCCACTCAGGACCGTGAGTGTGTGTGTGTGTGTGTGTATGCACACGTGCGTGTGTGCGTGGGCGTGCACCTTCTCTCACACATAAAGGTGCACAACCACCCTGCTGTGCCCCTTTCCACCAGTGGACAGTATTGTTACTTCCCCTTTGGCTTTCCCACCCTACCTGGGTGCCATGGGTGCGGCAGGGACTCGGATTCGCCCCTATACGGTCCGTGTGGTGGGTCATTCATACATGCTCATAAACATCTGCCCTCGCCTGCTCTGTCCAGGGGTATTTTAGTGACGCCTGGAACACGTTTGACTCCCTCATCGTAATCGGCAGCATTATAGACGTGGCCCTCAGCGAAGCAGACGTGAGTATGCACCTGGCGTGGCCGCCACCTGTGTCCTCTCTCCTCTGTCTGTGCATACTCCGCTCCCTGCCCTGCAGTGGCATCACCTGGACAAGTCACAGATCCCAGTCACTTGATCTGAAACTAGGATTTCCTAATGAGAGCTGTAGGCAAGACGTGTTTCAGGGTAGAGCCTTATCCCAGGGCCTTTTGTAGACACAAATCACCTTTTGGAGGACAGGCCTTTTTGCAGCATTTACCCTGGTCACTAGTAGGCAAGGTAAGATAGGATGTCTCTAATTGTTTTCATTTGCTGTGTCAGAAGTGATACCCACAGTGGCGTATCTATAACATGTTTATTTTAGGGGGATGTTTCAAGTCGCCGTGTGGCGCGATGCTAGAATGTTCCCCTTTTGTAACACTGTCCTTTTCTTCTTTTTTCCTGTGGTGCTTCCTCTCCTCTGTGGCTTCTGAATGCTTGCCCTAACAGCACTATTTCACTGATGCATGGAACACTTTTGATGCCTTAATTGTTGTTGGTAGCGTCGTTGATATTGCTATAACTGAAGTGAATGTAAGTAGCAAACTTTGTGTCCTATATCATGGTTGTTTTCATTAAGTCTGACATAGAAGAGACTAGAGGCCCTGCCCTTAAATCTCCACACACTTTAGAAATCCAGACACAAATTTATTTTGAAAGACTAAGGATAATTTGTAGTTTCCTCTATCTCACCCCATCTCTATCTCCTTCCCCTGAAAAAGAGTGGGGAAGTCTATGTAGAATTGCCTTTTGGAACTAGAATAGTATTTCAAAAGATCTAATTAAAGTTATAAGGGCTGGGAGTTAATTGTGTGTCCGTGTGAATGTTGTCACTCACCAGTCGTGTGACCGTGGAAGTCATCCGAGTGCTATGTGCCTCAGTCTTTCCAGCTGTACATGGAGTTACTGATGTGCACCCTCGTCCCCGCAATGGTTCTGTGAGGGCACAGGCAGGAGACCCCACAGCCAGCTATGCCCTGAGCCTGTGGTGGCTGCTGCTGGTGCCCTCACCTGTACCGTGTCTGCTCTGAGTCTGACTGGTGACACTGGTGAACGTCCCACACCCAAAGGGTGATGCCAGCCAGTGGAAGGCTGCTTGGGGCCAGGGAAAAGAGGGCCGAGTGCAAACCAGGGAGAGGGTGTCAGTCCGCCTTTGTTACATCCAGTAGATTCACTTGAGGGGGAACAAGTGCAGTAGTGGCATTGTAGATGGAGTGAACCACTCTCCCTAGAAGCACTCTGAGCACCTCTCCCCCTGCAAAATTAAGAAGCGTGAGAAAGGGAGCCCCTCCTTCTGCCTGGCTCCCCTTGGGTCTGACCCATGCTAGACCGGAAGGCCTCAGGCAGGCAGAAAGGGCCCTGTCTACCTGATCTGTTCCCAGTTCATCAGCAAGTCTTAGTGGGCGTCCAGTGTGTGTGCCGAGCCTGTGCAGAGCCTTTCGAGAGAGTGGGCGGAGCACGGGGAGGGACTGTTGTGTGGTATTGGCTTTTGCTCCACAATGTCCAGCCCACCCCCTGCCCCTGATGCTCTGCCTGGTGACATCTGCAGGATTGAGGATTATAAGGTCCATCCTGGTGCCCAGACAGCCTGCATCACACAAGGACTGTGAAATCCCTGTATGCCACCTATCTGGGTCCATGCTGATCCTGGCGTGTGAATAGTAAGACAGCCACCAGCCTGGCAGTCCTAAGACCTGGCAGTTGCAGCCCTAGTTCCAAACTGACTTGGATTCCAGCTCCCTCATGGGCCAAGTGGGGTGAATAACATCTGCCCCCTTGCTGCAGATATGTTATAGTGATAAAATGATCGGAATATTCGGGAAAATGCTTGCTAAAAACCCCAAAGTTTTAGGGAGATACAAGTTTTGTATTATTCTAAGTGTAGATTTTCCCTGTAATAAGTAAAACAGACTGTCAGACGTGACTGTGCCCATGAGGGTGTGATTTAAGCCTCGTCATGCCACGCTATGACCAGGCACTCAGATGGTATTTTGCTAGACCTAGGTATACACATATTCCAACTTCTAAAGCCCAGACATGTAAATTCTACTTCATGTGAAATGTTCCATGTGTCAGCTATAAAATTGCCATTCAGATATGTAAATGATGCTTGGTTGTAAAATAAGCTGGTGCTAATGGGAGAACAGCAGGTCCCTAACTGGGCTGCCCTGAGCTCTCTCCGAAGTTTATGGCTAGACATCTGCCACCTTAATCATCTCACAACGCAAAGTGCTTACAATCTACTCGGAGGTATATTTACATGAAAATTCTGGAACATACCCTTCTGTGAGCCAGAGATGGCCTATAATGGAAGCGAAAATACAATAAACCAGCAGCAGGGCAGATCTCCCTGGACTGCTCAGCACTTCAAGTGCTGTGCAGGTGGTGGGTGTAAACACTTAGCTTCCGGGCACCAGGATGTGGCCAAGGTCTGTCCACCTGGGGACACCCAGCTTTCTCACGCCTGACCTGCCTGCTGGCTGGCAGGGGTGTAGCACCCATGTACTCAGGGACAGCACGCGCCCGGCTTCCTGGCTGCCTCACGTGTGCTGCAGGCTGGCCCTGCTCCTCCCGCTGCCCCTGTCCCCTGTGGCCCAGCTTTGCTCATCAGTGTATCAGTGTTGCTGTGTTCACCTTGCACCAGTCAGGAAAGGGGCAGGTCTACGCTGAAGTTTCTAGTTAGCATTTGACATTGGGGTATCTGTGCAACACAGGCTTTCAGGGGGCCCCTTCTTGGCATGCAATTAAACTTTCAAAATCACCTAGGCAGACACTCCCATAGTGTGCTTTCAGTCAGTGACCTTTTTCCTGGTCAGCTGTGGCCTGAGACCAGATATATTCCTCAGCCATGGCAATGCCAGTTCCCTACCCCAGGCCAGCAGAACACCACCTTCAGAAATCTCAGTGTCTCCTTGCTGGGCCTTGGAACAGAGGGGATGCTCAAGGCCACCTTCACATTTATTCCATCTTTCAACACACATTCACTGGGCATCTATCACTTACAGGCTCTGGGCTAGGCTGTGGGGAGGCACAAAGATAAAAAAGGACTGGGTGTCCTTAACCTCTGGTGTAAATACATGACAGTGGGACTGTTGGTTCTGACACCCCACTCCCCTCCACATGTAGTTCCCCTGGGGAGCAGTGCACATCACATCCTTGGTGGCCTTGTCCCCTGAGCTGAGGGGTCAGCTGTCAGCTGGGTGTGAACACCTTTGGTTCATCATTGGCTGGTTGTAGCTGCCATAAGTCATCATTGTTTGCAATGTTTAACCTGCCATGCTCTCTTCCCCAAACTCTGTTGATCTTTCTTTTCTGTTGCCTAATTGATTTTCATGTTGGTTTTATTTTTAGAAAATTGTAGCGGCAAGTATATATAAGCATATATACGGTGAAGTCCTTAAAGCAAAGCACTTCTAAAGAATGTGTGCTTGTTTTTGGCCTCTCCACCTTTGGTTTTCACTGCGCTCCACAGGACGTGCTAAGGATTGGTTGCAATCATCTAAATTGTTCCCCATCCCATAGATTGTCATCTCCAGCCTGGGGCCATCTTGGTCAGTCACACTTGGCTCTGTGACTTGCCAACATAGTCTTCCAGAATGAATGATCTGGCTGAGAAATGATTGAATTCAGCCTGCGTTTGTATTCTTTGCAAAAACGTTTTGGGTAGTCCTTTGCATGGTCCTGCCTGCGCACGCACCAGCCTGCTTCATCCTACTGTCCCCCTCCCATGTCCCCACACCCCGCTCAGTTCCTGGTTTGGCAGCACTCATGGACTTATCTCCATCACATTTGGTCCTAACCTCACCAGGCTGCTAAAATGACACACTGTGACTGCTGGGCTCCCTCTTGCTCCGTCCCTCTTTGATGCCTGTTTGTTCCTTGAATGATGAAATGACCCAGCAACATACTGTCCCTAACCCATGGATGGCTGTCACTGACATTTGTCTCTTCTCATTATCATTAGTGTCTGGGAGGCAAAACACTTGTTTAGAAGCTGTATCTGCCTTATTATTACTTACTTTGAAGGAGCAGGTAAAAAGTCATTAGGGAGCTCACTCTCAGAGATCCAGGAATGGTCCCTGCCTTTTAAGGTATGCTGTTTGGACCAGGTGGCTGACAGTCTCACTCATCTTCTTTTTCTGACCCCACAGTAAGGTTGTGTAGTCCCCCATTTCATATGTGAACCCTTTCCCAGGAGCCAGCTCAGCTGGGCACTGGGTTGTGGACACAGACCCAGCAACCCCAAATAAAGAAGCCCTCCTCCCAGAGGTGTTACCTGTGAGCTCAGAAATAGTCAGAGGGAAGACTGGCTTCTCCGCAATGCCTCGGGTTACCTGGCCCAGCTGTTCTGGGATGCTGGTTTGCTTCCTATCTGAATTAGAAAGCTGCATCCTCTCAGCTCTTCCAAGCACAGATAGAAATTAAAACAGAAAATGAAATGGACTGATTTCATTGATTTCACTTGGGAACCTCAGGGTCTTTTTGACTTCCACGGTTGCAGGGGGCTGCCCCAGAGCCTATGTGGTAAGAGCCTGCTTGAGAGCCCTGTGGGAAGAGGCTCGAGGGAACATCAGCAGAGCCCCAGGAATCTAAGGAGCTTTCTGGACCCTGACATGTAGTCCGGCCTCCTGAGGCTAAGGGGCTGTCTCCTGTAGGGTTCCCAGCTGAAGAATGTGACATCTTAGGGTGGGAAGGAACTGCCAAGTTTGTCTTGTCCAAGCCCTGAGGTGACACTGGAATTCCGCTTATTGAAAACTGATTAGTAGCCCCTTGTGGCCATGTTTGGAAAGCTACCTAGTGAAGAGTCCTTCCCCAGTCTGGTGTCCTCTAGGGGTGTCCAGCATAGCGTAGCCCACTTGCGTTCCAGCTCCACCAGTTCCCTTCATGTTGAAACCTCCTCCATCCCTTGTAGGGGAGATGGGGATGGAGTCTAATCGCTCTCTCTTCATCCGTGTACTGTTCCCTCGTCAACCCAGAAAGAACCCACTGTTCAGCCACAGCAGCCTGAGTGGGCTTTTCTAGTGACCCCACTCTGTATGGCCGCTCGAGATCTAAAGGGCATTAGCTGGTATAGGCCACCTGTTAACTACTCGGGCCAGCTTTACCCTGGCCCAGGACTGGAGTTCTCAGCTCTGGCAGCATATTTGAATCACCAAGGAGCTTTTAAAATTCCCAACATGGAGGTCTGGCGCAGTGGCTCATGCCTGTAATCCCAGCACTTTGGGAGGCCGAGATAGGCAGATCACCTGAGGTCAGGAGTTGGAGACCAGTCTGGCCAACATGGTGAAACCTCATCTCTACTGAAAATACAAAAAATTCGGCAGGCATGGTGGCGGGCGCCTGTTATCCCAGCTACTCAGGAGGCTGAGGCAGAAGAATTGCTGATATCCTGTAGGCAGAGGTTGCAGTGAGCCAAGATCATGCCACTGCACTCCAGCCTGGGTGACAGAGGGAGACTCTATCTCAAAAAAAAAAAAAAAACAACAAAATAAAATTCCCAACATGCAGATACGCCCCAGATCCATTAAGTAAGAATCCCTGGGGTGGGACCTGGGCTTCAGAGATTTTGTTAAAGATCCCCAGGTGGTTTTAGTGTTCAGGCTAGTATGAGAGCTGGCCTCCCCTTTTCATTGGGCTGACATTTGTCATTTGGGAAAAGCCATCCTCAGGGTTCTTTAAATTTGTAAGATATTTTGGCAACTTGCACTGTCCCCCCGGGGCTGCCAGTCACATCCTCCCCTGAAGCAGCCCCCCATGCCCAGTGGTGTGTGGTGGGAGGGGAGGTGTCGCAGGCGCACTGAGGGTGCATGAAGCCTGGTGTGCTGTTTGCTCTTTCCTTCCTCCCTCCCTCGCATGTTGTGCTGCCCTCTCCCTTTACAAATGCTGTCTCCTCTTCCCTTTTGTTCTTTTAAACAGAATATTCATGGTTTGAAGTTCATAGTCCATAGGTTGTCAGTTTCAAAGATATCAGTTGAAGAGATGTACACTTCGAAATTCAGTTCGGTTGCTGACTTTCACAAACTCTAAGGAAGGGGGCCGTGGATGGCGTATCAGACTTGAAGCAGAATAGGGAGAGGCCCGCAGGAGGGTCTTAGGCCAGACTGTGGCCAGGAGTGTCTTCCCTGACCAACAGGCCCCTTACTGTCTTGCAGGTCTGATACATAAGTTGTGCACATTTCAGAAGGATAACTGTAGAGCCGTCTCTCTCGTGCACACTGCCTGGTCCCCTGAACACAGGCAAGCAGAGGTGCACATGCGGGCACACTTAGCATGCACACTCACACCCCACACTCCAGCCAGAGAGGGAAGAGTGGAACCTTCCTGTGCACAGCCTTAGTGAGAATGATGTGGAAAATGATGAGAACTTTAAAAAATTAGTTCCTTCATTTGTTAAGGTCTTAAGTTGAAAAACATTGTCTGTCCCTTTAAGGAGCTGATATTTCTTTTGAGACGAACTAATAGAAGAGGGAAATAAAAATAGCAATCCTGGGTTTTTGATAAACCTGTGGCAGAGTTCCCATTCTGAGCATCCCAGGAGAAGCAAGGACCCCTTTTAAACTCTGTCAGAACCTGTTCCTCTTGGGTTCATTGTCACATTACTGAATTTCAGTTTTTCTGTGATATGCTGAAACCCCTTATTTTCTGTGAACTTTGTAGAATTTCCCTTTGGTCTCAGGAGGTAGCCCTTGATGCTAGAGAGGCTTCAGAACTGAGCTCTACCTTTCCCCAGATCCCCAGGGAGGAGGCCCTCGAGAAGTGAGCACATCCAGACGTGCACACATGTCCCTTAACTTTGCAGACACACTGTACAGAAAGCGTCCTTGAAGCCCCTAACCGGAAGAGCCTCATTTCTCTCTGTCGGCTCCTGGTGACACCACTGAGGGGAAAAGAGAGGCTGGCACATGCTGGCTCTGGTTCCGCTGACTGTTGCTGTTTAATGTAAAGATGCCTCCTGGTGCTGGCTGGAGTTTGCTTCCAACTCCTCTGTGTTCTCTCAGACACTTTCTGAACACTCAGGTAGTGCTAGGCACCATGCTGGGCACGGAGTGGAGTGAGGCAAGGCCCCTGCCCTCCCTGGGGTGGGGGTTGGGGGGCAGGTAAGCACCAGTCATTACAGATTCTGCATCCTGGGGCCGAGGGACAGGAGCACAGCCAGACCCTGGAGGAGGTGGAGCTGCTGAACCACAGGGGAGCTGGTCCTCCACTGTTTCTTCCAAAGACTCATACGGACCTGCACTCCCTCTTATGTGAAAGCTGTCTGAGCTGTGGGGCAGGCAGCGAGGGTTTCTGTAGGGAAGCCTGCCTCTCTCCTCCTCGCCCTGACTCAGTCTGTCCAGCTTTTCAGCAGCCCTGCCTAAGAGGCTGTTGTCAGACATACACCACCCAGGCGTTTAGTCTCATAGGAACAGAGTGTGGTCCAAGGGGGTTTGTGGCCCGCAGGCAGGCACCACTGCTTGCCCCTCTGCTAGAGACATTCTGTTCCTCGGGGCTAGGAGGCCTGCTGCAGAGCGGTTAGTTCCTGAGACCCACAGCCCTGACTAAGCCAAGAGAACTAGCCTCCTCGCGAGAAGCGGGGGCACACTCTGCATCTGTTGAGGTCTTGCAGCACTGCCTTTACTGGATGCCTGTCAGCCTGGGCACAGCATGTCCCCAGATGTGAATTAGAAAGTGGTACTGTGTCCATGCCCATGTCCATGGCTGCCTGCCCTCAAGTCCACCTCCAAGGAGAGCCACTGGTATTTTCTCAGGGAGGGAGCAGGTGTGGTGTCTAAAGATGGGAACCACACATTTTTTTAAAGGGGGAAATGCTCTCTGGAACCATTGACTCCTTCCTGGTTCATTAATCCATTTTCAATCTTTGATTTCTTAAAGCCAACTGAAAGTGAAAATGTCCCTGTCCCAACTGCTACACCTGGGGTAAGATCAGTGACTAGTCCCCAGGGGCTGGGCCTTTTCCTTAAGTTTATTTGACCATGTCGAGTTTTCCACTGGTTTTTCTGTATTCTCCATGATTGTCCTTCCAGAACAGTGTCTGCAGTGGTTTGCATTCATCATCAGTGTCCAGTACTCTTGACCAGCCCAGCGTTCTCCTCTAACACAGTAGAATACGTGGACATGCATGTGCTGTGTGGACGCAGTTTTCCGAGCTCTGTGTTGTTAGCATGTAACTCTTCCTTTCATATCATGCTTTTTAAGATGAAAAGGCCCTAGAATCACATCTTCAGTTCTTACCTCTGTCACCTTTGCATCTGTTGCTGTTTTTCTGAAAGTGTTGCATGTTCTACTTTCCATTGGGTTTGACCTCTCCATGATAACCCTTCAGAACTCTGAAGAGAGCAATAGAATCTCCATCACCTTTTTCCGTCTTTTCCGAGTGATGCGATTGGTGAAGCTTCTCAGCAGGGGGGAAGGCATCCGGACATTGCTGTGGACTTTTATTAAGTCCTTTCAGGTAAGAGCCATGCCAAGGACTTCTCTCTTTGTCTTTGAAGATCATATGTAAGTCAGTGATTGTCCCCATCCTAGAGGACCCAGGCTCCCCCTGTGTGGCCACTCTGTGGACCTAAATCAATAGAAAACATGGAATGCTGGAGAGACCCAAATCAGCATTTCTTGGGTCAATCACATGGGATTACTTGCCTAAAGGAAACAGAAGAGAAAGCAGGAAGGATCCGTAGCTGAGAGATCTGTAGCATTTCCAAGACTGAGAGAGGTGTGGGGCCTGCAGCCCTGCAGTGCCCCCGGGATGCCTGGTGGTGGTGGTGAGTGCCAGGTCCCAGCAGACTGCCTGGAAGCCCAACAGCCTCTCTCTGACACCTTTTCCTCATAAGGCTACAACAGTGCTGTGTCTGTTGGCTAGTCTAGATACAAATCAGAAACCACCACCTGGGCCAGTGCACTATCACTGGGTTATCCTGCACCTGGAAGGGTCACAGAGTTCGGGATGTTTGGGCATACACCATGTCTCATTTGTCACCTCTGATTCTCCAGGCTGGCACAGCTCGGTTCTAGACTTTCCCAAGTAGAACCAGCTTTTCCCGTACCTGCCAGTACCCTGCCCCAGACATTCTAGCCTTCTGGACTGATTCCATTTGGAAGAGAAGGTGTGGGAAATATAGATTCTTAGTAAAAGGTGGACCCATGTAGGGAATTTGTGGATATCTACAAGCATTAGAAAGTGAATCCTGCATCTTCATTTTTTAAATTATTTGACTATTTTTCATTCAAAAGTTATAAATGTTTACAATAACAAATGAAGCTGTCCAAAGGTATATAAAGAGAAATTTCAAACTTGGCCCTCACCCACCCCTGGGGTAACCAGTGTTACCCTCCCAGTAAGCATTTGTCCCTAGTAGATGGGATTTTCACAGGTAAAAGGGAGAAGGGACAGCAAGCGGGGTGGTGCAGGCACTCACAAGGGAAGTCACAGATCCTGCTGGGGAGAATGAGGTTGGAGGAAGGTAAAGTGGGGGCCTCAGGCAGGTGAGCCTTGAACTTGCTAAGGCACAGAATCCTCGACAGTTATTATTCATTTAAAGTACCAAAACTTGGGAACAAACTGCTATAAAAATAGATAATTCAGAGGTAATGTTATCTCACTTTTTAAAGAAATTCTTAAAGATTCAATTTGCCACAGATAAGAAAGTCATGTTCCAGAGCAGCAGTTCATAAAAGCAGAGAAACTGTGCAAACAAAAATCGTAAACATTTGGCAATCTAGGAAGAAAATGCACGTAGGTATGTTGAGGAAAGCCTGAAACGAACTCTGTGGGACCCTGCTGAGCAGTCCAGCTGCAGGGAGGGCCAGGCTGGCAGGCACAGGTCAACAGCTGGCACAGGTCTGAAGGTGGCTGAGCACCTGTGAGCCACTGACTTTCTGACAAGCTCTCTCGGATAGTAGAGAAAGCGGGTGCTTTAAGCATGTGTTCCCAGAATTAAGCCTAACACTCTGGGCACCCTGTGCAGGTAGACGTGTTGGTCACATGTGATGAGGTAAGACAGCAGTTGACATTCAGTGAAAGGACGGGGGATCTGTCAGACACTCGTACTTGTATTTGGTGTTTATGAAGGGAGCCACACTTGGCGACCCCCCAGCTCACTCCTTTTCTTCCCTGGCCCAGCCCCCCAACTTAGCAGTTCTTTCAGAAGGTGTACATCTTAAGAGAGGTATTTTGCATCCTACAGCCACAGCCAGAAAGTGGTTCTTCCCCTCTGACCCAGTAATTCCACTCCTAAGACTTCACCTTAAGGAAATACTTCAGCAGAAGCAAGGTGGTTTTGCATAAAGATATTCCTTTGCGACATTATCTACAATACCGCCCCCCAAAACATACCCACAAAAGAAAGTGGAAGTACTCTAAATGTCCAGTGTTCTGGAATGGTTTGATCAATTATAATTTCACCCCAAAAATCCAGTAATGAATTTAAGGATTATGAGAGTTACGTGTCTGTGTTGAAAATGTTTAGGGTTAGGCTACAGGGTTAATGACCGTGGAAAGCACATCCTGCCTGTAATATTGTAACACTGGGCGTGCATGTGGATGGTGTCTTCAGGACTAAAGTAGTTGGGCAGGGCTGGGATTTAAACGGTTCTTCCTCACTGTCGATATTCTTTCACGGTAACACGTGGAATAGAAAGGAAGCATGTGGCCACTCATGGGTCTTCTCAGGCTGTGGCGGGCCGTCACGGGGACAGCCGGCTGGTGCTGAGCCAAGTGCCTTTTCTCTCCCAGGCGCTCCCGTATGTGGCCCTCCTCATAGCCATGCTGTTCTTCATCTATGCGGTCATTGGCATGCAGGTAAGCTCCAGCCATCTCGCCCTCAGGGGCCCTTTCACTGGGTAGCCCCAAATCTGTGGCAAGATGTACCCTGACCAAGTGAAGTAGAAGCATTGTGATTTTTCAGCCAAATGCCTCTGCTGAAGCCTAGGAAGATGAGAAAGACAAAGCTGCTTAGTAGAGAGCTCCAGGGGAGGCCCAGGCTCAGATGAATGTGGAGAGGTTAGAATGCACCAGGAAAAACTGCATGTCATGGCAGAAGAATTATGCTTTATCATAACAAAGTGAAATTCACTTGAAACTAACTATTTCCAGATGCCAAGACTGAAGAGAGAAGCAAGTAGCCCCTCGTGGGTCTTTTCAGTCTGTGCCGAGCCGTCGCGGGAACAGAAGGCTGGTGCTGAGCCAAGTGCCTTTTGTGACCATTGTTGTGCTTTAGTAGCTCACCTTTAAAAAGAGGCATGAAACTGGGCTCTTCTGTGACCCAAGCAGAGGGGCTGCACCCTGTTTCCCAGTTCCTCCTGGGCATGGGAAAGGGACTGGGCCTGCCTAACAGAGGAGCCCTAACATCAAGTGGGCAGTGGGATGGGTTGTGGGTGGAGGGAGGCAGCCTAGTCTAAGAATGGAGGCAGTCGAAGAGCCCAGGTGGCTGTAGATCTCTGCTGGCAGGCTCCTTGCAGATTCTCCACGTGTGCAGGTGCTGTCTTTCAGGTAAAGGAGGGATGTAAGTCAGAAAGAAGTAAAGTGATTCTATGATTTTTGGGGCAGAGAAATGGTAGTGCTTTTTTCTTTTTTCTTTTTTTTTTTTAAAATCCTGAAAGCATAGAAGCATTTGCAGATCTCTGGGAATCTTACCAGGAGTTATGAAACAAAAGTCAGCATACTTGAGCCTCTGTGATTCAGCAGCACGTGGTGCTATGTGCCCTGGAAGGTCTTTTATCACATATGTTCTCATAAAAAAAAGCCATCTCAGAACTGCAAGCTGCATGGCACACACAACCCCAGATTCACCCAGCAGGCGTTTGTAAGCATCTGCAGGTTTCTCTAGAATGTCAGTCTGCTCCCTAAATCTCACAAGTAAAACTCTTTAGTACCTTCCCATTGCCCTGAAGATAAAGCCCACTCTTCTGCCCGGGGCTCACAGCCCCTGCCTGTTGCCTCCTGCCCTTGTCTCCAGCCTGGTCTTTTATCTGTCTGCTCATCACACGTTATTTTCATTCCCTCGGTATCTATGCTGTCACCCTGCTCCTATGCACATGGTGCTCCCTCCACCCGAAACACTCTTCGCCTTTCCTATCACCTGATGTATCTTTCAGTTCTGAGTTTACATGTCACTTCCCCCTAGAGGCCTTCCCTGACCCAGCCCCCCAGCCTTCAGTAGATGAGCCTGTCTCACGCTTCCCTGTGTGTCTGGACCACCCCAGCATCATCACTGGGGTTTGATGTTGCCTGGCTACCTTTGTGTCTCCCCCAGGGGAGATCCGCGAATGTGAGACCGTGCCCCTCTGGAGCACCACGTTCCCAGTGTGTAACCTGCTGCCTGGCACATGGTTGTGCCTGGCAGATCTTTTTTGAATGAGTGAAGTGCCAGGTACCATGAGAAAACCCTAGCTGGTAAAGATCAAACCTGAGTTAGTTCTAAATTCACATACGGATTTTTTTTGCATGACGAAATCTATTCTCTTTTTCCTGACAACTTCTCCACCTAGATGTTTGGGAAAGTTGCCATGAGAGATAACAACCAGATCAATAGGAACAATAACTTCCAGACGTTTCCCCAGGCGGTGCTGCTGCTCTTCAGGTGACTGCAACTGGCTTGGGCGGTGCTCCTGGGCAGGGGGGTCCGCTAGGCGTGGGTCCAGAGGGACGGAGGACACAGGTTATTAAAGCAGTGTGCCTTTCTCAGTTGATTGTGATGGCTTTTTGTTTTTGTTTGTTCTGTATTCTTAAACACAGACCCTAGCATTTCAAACACAGGAATTTTGCTGGATTGTTAAAACTGCTGTGGTAATCCCGATTGTGGCTGGCATAAGGTTTATTCATTTGGGAGTTAGTAGGGCTACTTAGGCCACCTGAAAAATTGTAGGATGTACGTTTATGCATGGAGGCATGCACTTGAACACGACCAGGAAGACAGAAACTTAGCAAAAACGTCAAGGCCTTTTGCACAGCCAGTGGGGAACATCCTAAGATGTATGATTTCAAATTTTTTGGGATTGCTTTTAACGTCAGTTAATTAACTTTGTAAAACAAGCTGCCCTCATAGTGAGAAAACTTTCTAGAGATCATGAAGTATTTCTAATGACTCTAGTGACTGACAAGTCATTTGCAAGTTAGGTGGTTTCCAGCTCTGCCTTCAACAAAATTGAACAGAGACTTAAGTTGTTAAGTATTTTGGTCATTAAAAATAATCAATAGGCCAGGTGCAGTGGCTCACGCCTGTAATCCCAGCACTTTGGGAAGCTGAGGTGGGTGGATCGCTTGAGCCCAGGAGTTCGAGACCAGCCCAGGCAACATGGCAAAACCTTGACTCTACTAAAAATACAAAAATTAGCCAGGTGTGGTGGCAACTGCCTGTAGTCCTAGCTACTGGGGAGGCTGAGCCCAGGAGGTCGAGGCTGCAGTGAGCCAAGATCACACCACTGCACTCCAGCCTGGGCAACAGAGCAAAACCTTGTCTCAAATAATAATAATAATTAATTACTGTTAATTATACAAATGTTTAAAGTAGAGAAGACACAAAAACAAGCATCCATTTATATGCAGACAGTTAGCGCGCTTGCATCAGATGATGGCTGTAAATCCAAGGGAATTGCAGCAGGACCTCCAGTTACTGTGATAAGTTGCACGTGAAAATCAGTAGGAATTTCACATTTCCATTAATTCAAATTGGATTTTCTTCAAATGACTTAGGTTTTGCTCTAATTATGAGTTTTTCTCCCCTAAGATCTAAGCTTCAAATTCCTTCTTTCCCCCACTAAAGCCCCTTTGTTCTTCATCTGAAAAAGGTGTGCAACAGGTGAGGCCTGGCAGGAGATCATGCTGGCCTGTCTCCCAGGGAAGCTCTGTGACCCTGAGTCAGATTACAACCCCGGGGAGGAGTATACATGTGGGAGCAACTTTGCCATTGTCTATTTCATCAGTTTTTACATGCTCTGTGCATTTCTGGTAAGTGAGCAACACAGCTCCCCCTCTCAATTTACAGATGCTTATGTAGCAGTCAGCGTTCACACAAATGGCCTTGCCCTGTCCCATCGCCTGAGGACAATTGATGTGGATGAGCACTCTGGACTCCACTTGGCAGTTGAGGGCTTTTGTTTAACCAGGCGTGTGTCACTGCCGCCACCTTTGTAAGCAGAGATTTGGTGCTCACTAATCGGCTTGGAGCAATTACCAATCACCTTAGCTTCTTAGGGTTCCTTTCTAAAATTTCAAAGCCAGTGCATATGGTGGTGACCTAAGAGTGTGAATTATTTGGTGATAATGAAATTATAAAACTGCAATGTGTTTCAGAAGGCCTTCCTTCCCCAGGACTTAATTAAAGCCATTCCAGAAAGCTAGAATCACACTCTTTTCTTAAACATTCTCCAAATAGAAAGTTTTTACAACTTCTCTTGGAGACATGGGTTCCCATGTTTCATGTCCATGTCATTAGAAAGCCTGTGCTCAGTTCTAACGCAATCCAGCTGCAGCTGAAGTTCTTCCTTTCCTATTTGCTTTTTCAGATCATCAATCTGTTTGTGGCTGTCATCATGGATAATTTCGACTATCTGACCCGGGACTGGTCTATTTTGGGGCCTCACCATTTAGATGAATTCAAAAGAATATGGTCAGAATATGACCCTGAGGCAAAGTAGGTTGAAAAATATTTGATTTGGCGTGTGTGGGTGGATTTTGGAATGTCAGCTTTTTTTGTGGAGTGGACTGAAAGTTCGGGCCAGCTGGTACTGTTCCTGGACCTTAGATTGTATTTTACTTCCAGGGGAAGGATAAAACACCTTGATGTGGTCACTCTGCTTCGACGCATCCAGCCTCCCCTGGGGTTTGGGAAGTTATGTCCACACAGGGTAGCGTGCAAGGTGAGTGTCCTGTGTGCGTGTCTGACAGCCTGTCTTGTAGAAGCTTGCTTCATTTAACAAACACTTGTTAAGTGACACAGCCAGGCCTTCTGTCAGTTGCTAGGGATGCAGCAATGAATAATATGTGGTTCCTACCTCTGGGGAAATCTCAGATTTGTAACTCTTTGGACACCCTCTCAGGAACCATCAGAAGAGGAAGGGAATTCTGTAATTTGTCATTGGGTGGATGGTAGAGAAGGCGACATTTCAGTCCGGTCCAGAAGGAACACAGGAGTTTGTCAGAGGCAGGGAGGGCTCAGAAGGAGGCAGGAGAATGGACATCGTAATGGCAAAGGGTGAGCCATTGGGTCATCCTTTGGCTAGGACATAAGAGGAAGTCAGAAGGCCCCAGGTACAAGCTGAGCCTTCTCTGTCCTGCTGAGGTCCAGGAGAATGGGGAGGAAACGTGAATTTCAGGTTCCCATGTTAGGAAGTTGGCTGTTGGCAATGGAGAAGTAGACCTGAGGCAGGGGGATCAACCAGGAGAGCCAGAACGAAGGCAGCAGAAGTGGGAAGAGATAGGAGCAGTCGCTTGGAGATCCACTTAGGATGTGGAGTGGGGAGGACTTGGTGGCCTGGGTGAGGGGAGGGGGAGTGCTAGGAGAGCACATCTCCCAGCCTCGGCATTGGGGGACATGGTGCTCTGTGTTCCACACGTCCCCTCTGCTACAGAGCTTTGTGGCCACCACAGGAAATGGGGCCCCTTTGCTGGCACACTAGGCTCTAGTCTCTCAGGGATGGATGCAGATCTCCCAGTGCAACGCAGTTCTGTGTTTCCATGCCAGAGCACGCTCTCAGGAACCCTCAGTGAGACTTTTCCTTCCACAGAACTCACGGTGTAGCACCTTACATTTGTTGCAGCGACAAAAAAGATTTTCCTTTTTCAAGGAAAACGCAAGGTTTGCCTCTTGAAACTCTGCCTTCTAGAAATTCATACAGTCTGCATAGCAACTAGTTCTTGCTCCTCATGGATCCAAGGAGATCCTGGGGTCAGGCGTTTTTACCACTCCAGGATGCTGAGCCAGCTCTAGACAGAAACCAAGGTAGCAGAACAGAGTCTAAAATATGTTTCAGACTCTCAAAGAAATCCCTTGAGCCAGACTCATGTTCCCTGCCCTGAAAATCCAGAAAGCCTTCTAGGCAAGGCCTTAGGGTCCTTGCCTCTCTTCAGGCCGGACTCTGGATATTGAAACAGAGCTTGACTTTTTTTTTTCCATAAACTTCCCAGTACTGGCCTCTTTTCTGCTTTCCAAGAACAGTGTGGGATCCCGTTCACTGATGTCTTCTTGTGTTTAAATTTCCAGACCCTTTTACATAAAGCTTTCAAATGTCCTTGAGGCACAGTCATCCATTTTGCTGACTCAGGAACTTACCAGGAAAAGTGAACAAATGTCCAGGGTTCCCTGGCTGCCTGTGCTGGTTTTGAAGAGGGTGCCGGGGTTGGTAGGAGGACTAGGAATTTGGGTGGGATGGACTTATGCAGACACAAGATTCCAAATCATCAATATGGAAGAGAAAGAAAATCTTTTCTTTTGGAACATGCTGTTAATGAAAAATAAGAAGTTTTTAAATATTATCAACATCACCATTAATTTAGTGCTTGCCATTTGCCTCACACAAAACTCTTTGTGTCCGTGAGTCCTTTAATCCTTGCAAGTTCCCATCCATTGGGCATGTCATCTGCATTTACAGGTTGAAGTGACTGGGGTCCAGAGAGGGTGTACCTCACCCAAACCCCCTCCAACTCTCATTGCTGGTGTTAAAGGGATCAGGATATAGAAGAGGAGTGGGGAGCATGGATCCTGCTCTGAAAGACCAAAGCCTGGGAGAAGCCACATAGGCTCATGCAAAATGCCACAAGATGTACATGATGGTCTAACTAGGCAAGGTCTGAAGGACATTCCCTGAGTTGGGAATAGTAATGGATCCCGTCGGTTGAGAACCTAAGTCCCAGGCCCTGTGCCTGGCCCATTGTCTTTTACTTCCTTTAACCCTCACAACAGCTTTAAAAACATGCTTGGAGCCGGGCACGGTGGCTCACACCTGTAATCCCAACATTTTGGGAGGCCAAAGCAGGAGGATCCCTTGAGGCCAGAAGTTCAAGACCAACCTGGGCAACAAAGCGAGACCTCATCTCTAAAAAAACATAACAAAACAAAAACAATGTGCCTGGAATGGAGGTCTGACCCTAAGATCTCCATTGAGATTAGTGAAAAAAAGGAGAAGACTGTTTGAACAGTGAAGTTTCACGGTTTAAAAAACAAAACATCATCTGCGTGTTAACATTTATATTTCATGACTAAACCTTTGATCTTTGTCATCCCAGAGTCCCCTAAGTGGTAGGTTGTATTAATCAGGGTTCTCCAGAGAAACAGAGCCAATAGGATGGATATGGAGGTGTATATGTATGTATGTGTGTGTGTGTGTGTGTATTTGTGTGTATATATGTGTATATGTATATACACACACACAGAGGTTTATCATGGGGAATTGGCTCACGTGATCATGGAGGCTGGGAAGCCCCATGGTCTGCCATCTGCAAGCTGGACCTGGTGTTGGTGTCCACTCTGAGTAAAGTCCTGAGAACCAGGGGAGCCCATGGTGTAAGCCTCAGTCAAAGGGCAGGAGACAATTGATGTCCCAGCTTAATCAGGCCTATAGAGAGAGAATTAAATCTTCCCCCACCTTTTTGTTCTCTGTGGGCCCTCATCAACAGAATGAGGCCCACCCACATTGGGGAGGGCATTGCTTTACTCACTCTACCCACTCTACCAATTCACATGCTAATCTCATCTGGAAAAACCCTCGCAGACACACCCAGAAATCATGTTTAACCAAATTGGCATCTCGTGGCCCAGTCAACTTGACACCTAAATTAACCATCATATGCGTACCCCCAAATGGCTGTTGAATGGAATTGAGGGTTGACTAGAAAAGAGATGAGTGATAAACGGAAAATAAACATCCAAAAGGATATGGTCGTGGTCACTCATTTGCATTCTACAAAGAAACCTTCCTTTCTGTTTACAGAGATTAGTTGCCATGAACATGCCTCTCAACAGTGACGGGACAGTCATGTTTAATGCAACCCTGTTTGCTTTGGTTCGAACGGCTCTTAAGATCAAGACCGAAGGTGAGCATTCCCTGCCAGCAAGACAAGATGGCAGGAAAGGAGAGAGACATCACATCCCATCTTGCCTTCCTCATCTGGGCCTTTTCTTGGCCAAGGGGAGGCCCTGGGGAAGGGGCTGGCAAGTAGAATGAAGATGTCCATGCTGGGCTTGCCGGCTGGCCCCTGCCTCCTGTTTCCTCATCCTTTATCTCCTTCCTTTATGCTTCACTTTGTCCCAGAATGTTTTGAGTTGACTCATACTACTGCTTACTACATAGCAAGGGAAACAGGCAGGGTATCGGAGCAGAGACGAAGCCATCACAAATGAACTCACTCCAACCATCCCTAACTAGTTGTATGACCTGCAGTGAGGGATTTCACTGGTCTGAGCTGTAGTTTCTTTCCCTATGAAAAGGAAATACGGGGATGTCTAGGAGGTCCTGAGGATGAAATGAGGTGATGTCTGCAAAAGCTCCTTTGCAGTGCCTAGCACACAGTCAGCACTTGAGAAATATAGTGGGATCAGCATCTTCCCAGCTGAGAGACCAAACCAGAATGGCCTTCACAGCCATGCTCAGCCCTGGTCAAATCCTGGTAAAACAGGCACTAGAGTGTGGCCATTGGAGCTGGCTCAGTGGTGACTTCAGAGGTGGAATGGAGAGCAGATTGCAACAGGCTGAGGAGTGACCAGGAGGTGGGGGGAGGTGGGAGGTGGAGACCTCAAGGAGAGCTGACTCTCTGAGGCACTGGTGGAGGAGAGGGAAGAGGAGGCAGCAAGGGACTCATGCTGAGTGCAGGCAGGTGACTTCTTACAACCCTAGAGCCCAGGGAGACTTGATCCAGCAAAGCCAGCCTCTTCCAGCCTAACTAACAGGGGCGCCTTGTAGCATGCTTGTCTGTACCTGGCCCCAGGCCAGCATTGTTAAGGGCTCCAGAAGGCAGAATGGTCCTCTATACTGACATGTTAGTTGAAAAGACAAGTGTCAGCTCATATAATAAAAGGCCAAGGTTATGTTGTATGGATGAGTACATATAGTAGGAATTGAGAGTCTTATTTGGGTGAAATTTAGGCTGGATCTTCAAGGAAGGAGGTACGATTTGGAACAACCCATGAAAGAGCAGAAGGCAAAGACATTCTGGGTTGGGAACAATGGAAAGCAAGTAGTAGGTCTCAGCTGTGGGAGGGCAGGATGGAATCAGAGTGGGACAGGCCTTGAATCCCAGGGTGAACCGTGTTTGTTCCCATGGTGGAGGGACTTCCCACTGGGAAGGCATGATCGCTATTGCTGAATATAGGAAGTGTGTTTGCCCCTGACTGGGGAGAGCCTGGTGGGAGTGGAGCCCCATCAGAGGGCAGCATGTTCATCCAGGTCAGGCTGGGACAAGGCTGTGCAAGCAGAGGAGGAGCTGGGGAACAGAAATGAGGCTTGCTTTTCCCCTTTTGTTTTTTGAATCCAGGGAACCTGGAGCAAGCTAATGAAGAACTTCGGGCTGTGATAAAGAAAATTTGGAAGAAAACCAGCATGAAATTACTTGACCAAGTTGTCCCTCCAGCTGGTGGTCAGTGCAGTCTATTTCCTAAGTAGTCCTTGGCCAGTGCTTTGGTTTTAATGCTAGTGTCTCCAGAAAGTCCAGAGAGTGTTTGCAAAATGCTTTATGTATCATTTAGAGCATTAAGGCCAACTGATAAAGAAAGCCCTTTGGCCATTTGGTGTGATTATTTTGGGGGTGATATGAAGAACATTCCAGACAAAGGAGAGGCTTCAGTGAAAAACCAAAACTCACATGGCTGGAGCAGGGATTTTCTTTTTGGTGGAGGAATTAATGTTTGAGGACAAGATTGTGATCTCAAAGTGAAAAGCCTATATTTTTTGTCCAAAATGAAATATTCAAAACTAGTTTCCAATTACCCTTCAGTATATTGTTGAAAATGTCCCATGAAAAATAGACAGCTTTCAGGAAATTGTATTTTTGAAATGTTCTTATCAAGACTGAATTTACTACCGTAATTACCAAAAATGTCCTTTTAACTAACAGGCATGCTTATTTCCTTTTGTTATTTATCACAAAATAACTAACCTTCTTTAAATTTTTATATATATAAAAAACATCTATATATATACACACATACAGTGTGTGTGTGTGTGTGTGTGTGTGTATATATATATATATATATATATATATATGCATACTGGCTTTGCATTTTTATTTAAGTACATGTGGACTTAGACGTTGAGATGGTTGTTTTTGACTGTTCTGTTTCCAAGTTTTAAAGGTGCAGGATCTGTTCACCCAGTGCCACCACACCAGCATTCTAGCATCCTTGGGCCGGGCACGTGATGAGCCTTTGGTGTGTTTCGTGACCAGCGAACTTTTATAGCGTCGCTGCCGCCACGGCTTTCGAGACTGGTCTGGCTCAGGTCTGGTAGCTGACTTCAGGACCCAGGCCAGGACGGTGACCGAGGCCCTGCCCCTGAGAAGGTGATGAGCTCTGGCTCTTGGGGCGCAGACAGAGCAGCATGCCAGCCAGCTCTGCTCCTTAGCATGAAGCGAGAAGCAACGTGAGCTTTTGTTGCTGAAGGGGTTACCCGTAGCTGGCACAGCCACAGGCTCAAAGCTGGGGAAGATGGCCCAGAAAGAAATGATAAAAGGAAGACAAACCAACAACAACAACAAAACAAAACAAAAGTCCTCCCACCTGGAGGGCCCTGGCTTCCCACAGGAGAACCGATACTGCACATTTAAAACAACTCCTTGGTTTTCATTCTTTTCTTTTTAGCTGCACACCTAAGAGCTTGCATGGCTTACATGAAATGCTTTGGAAAAATTGTAACAATGTGCTTGAGCTTTTCCTGCAGCCTCCATTCCTTTCACCTCTCAGTCTTTCAGAATATTCTGAAGCAATTCTGTTTTAGGGTGGTGGCATGGAATCAGAGTTATCTCTTGCCAACTGTATTCCCCTACGTTGTTTCTTTAAATACAGATGCATGCTTCAGAATAGTGGGCTATGTCTGTCTATGTAAACCTTCCCCCTGCGAGCTGAGGACCCCGCTCCTCCCTCGCTCCACCTCACATCTCTCTTGGAACGCCACCTTCATCACAACCAGCCAGACTCCCACATTGATGCCCATCCTCGTGAAATGCCCTCGGAGGGTGTCATTTGCATTAGTGTGAAACTTCATTTCTTTTCATTTTACCAAAAGAAAAGTCCAGAATTTAGCTCGCCATCGAAGCTCCCTTCCTTTGAAAAGCTGATCAACTTTTAGCTTTATCAGACTTCTAGTAGAGTAGAAATCTTCTTCTTTCTTGGTCCAATAACTGGACCTCGCCTTTTCTCTCTATTTCTTAAAATGGATTGGAGTTTAGGATGACAGGTTTTAATCTATTCCACAACGGCAGCGAGAGGCAGTGTGAGGCACAAGAAGAGAGAAGTGGGGCCTTAGGAGGGATGCAAGGCTTTGCAAGCTCCCTGCCTGTGTTGAGTGATGTGCCCAGTGCAGGGCTTATCCGGGCTGAATCTCATGTGAGTGCTGTGGCCACGAAGGAAGTTCCGAAGGCAGTGGCCATCAGGCTTTGGTGCATAGACTCTGGAAGAGTTGCCGGACAGGGCTTGGTTCTCCACATTCATCATTTGTCTGTCTTTCCTCTTTTATCCTTCAGTAGGCCCATGTCCCCAACCTTTCCTGCATCACAGCATACTTAGAAAAGGATATTTGCATACCCCTCTGGGAACAGATGTGGAGTTCTTGAGGCTGAGGGCCTCAGCATCCCCTACACCATCACCTGGTCAAGAAGCAGGAGACTGAGTAAGGCCAGCCTCCACTCCAAGTGGCTGGGACTGGCAGATGTGGGGTGCTCAGGAAGCCCCTTTTAGCCCTGGTGATAGAACTGAGTCAGATGCTTGTCTTGGGTGGCTTCGCTAGTGTGCTGTGAGGTGTGGCCTGGCTCCTCATGAGCCTGATGATGAGATCAGGAATGAGCTGTGGATCTGTGGATACATGTCAGGCTTGCTTCACTCCCAGTGGCCCGGGGGTCTCCGCTGCCCCCTCACCATCAGTGCTGAGCCGCCTCATCTCTGCCTCTCAGCTCAGGTTCTCACCTCTGCTCTTCAGCCTTCCCGTGCCATCTTGTGGGTCCTTTCCCTTCATTTCAGAAGCTCTCTCTCCTCCCCAGGACTCTCCTCCATCCATGACCTGGATCCTTTGCTCCTTTGCCCTGAAGAGCACACTGAGCTGCCTCCATTGCCTTCTTTTCAGTCCGGAGCCCAGATGGCCTCCTTGTATTCATTCCTTCTCTTCCTTCCTGTTCTGTCCTGCTGTAGCTTTGACTTTTCTTGTTCTTAGGAACTCTTCCTTGGGCCCAGTCTCCTAATTAGCACAGTGTCTCAATGGAGAAGACGAAGTGACCCTTGAGTTCTCTCCTGCAGAGCTCTGGGTGGGTCTGCCTCTACTCTGGAGGCTGAAGGGAGATCAGAGTTAGGCCTGTATTTGCTAGAAGCATCAGGGTGGAATGGGGTGTGGGTCTTCTTCAGGTAGAGCCAGGGCGTTTTCTGGGCCCCACAGAGAAGACACAGAGCCCTGGAATATAGAGGAAGGCTGTGGCATGGCAGGCCACCAGAGACTCTCCCTGGGGTCCCTGGAGTCATTAGCCAGACAACAGCGTGTCCACTTTTTGTGTGCAGCCTGGGAAAGGGATACACTTGCATGGTGTGAGAGGCAGCTCTGAAGAAGCCCAGCAGCCAGTGTGGCTGGAGACGGCCATCTCTGGAGAGGTGGTATGAAGGATAGGATCCCAGACTCAAGGAGCACACTGTCCTGTGGTAAGGTCCCGGCTTGACTGAGCTGGGCAAGTCATTTAGCCCTCTCCATCTGTTGGAGGGGGTGGTGGTGAGCAGATCCACCATGTCAGAGTTGTGAAGAGGCCATGAGACCCACATGGAATTCTTCTGACACAGGGCTTGGCATCTATAGATGTCCAACAGTAGGGGCTGGCTAGAGCCAGAGCTGATATTCCAAACATACCCTGAGCAAATGGGGAGGCTGGAGAGTACAGCGAGGGGTGAAATACCAGGACCTGAGTGGTCTCTGCTCACCTCCTGCCTTCTTGCCTATGGACCTTGCATCATTAGACAAGCCGAGACAGATTAGGAACCATGTTTTACATGCTACTCAGAGTCTTTGGCTTATACCTGGGTGGCCCCTACACCACTCCAGGACTATCTTAGCTTAGGTTTAGAAGGAACAGAACACTTCTCCAGGCCAGACCACCTGAGACAGCCTTCTCACACAGTAACACTGAGTGGCTTCTGACAGGGAGGCCTGGAGAGGCAGCCCAAGGAGGCCCGGGCATCTCCAGTGGGGACCACAAGATGTTGGCAGCACCTCCTGGATGGGCACTAAGTGAAGCCCACCCCGGGTACATTAGTGAAGGATGATGGTTCTCCATGTCCCCCAGCCCATCAAGCTTCAGGATCCATGTCAATGGATGCCACCGTCAGCACATTTTAAAATAAGGGTGACTCTGAGGGCTCATGATCAACATCAAGTGCCCAGCACTTAAGACAGCCTGAGCCAGGTGGCTGAGTGCTTTACCTGCTTCCTCCCACATCATCCTCACGGCTCCTCTGAGAGGCTTATCCCCACTTTACAGATGAGAATACAAGCTCAGAGAGGTTGAGCCCCTTGCCCCCACATCAGCATGTAGATCTTGCAAGGGTGGCCTGGCCTAAAAGCCAGCTGCTCTGTAGCCTTTGGACCAGCAACCATTCCTCCTTCCAGCCTCTGCAAGTTGTGGTCAGTGGCCCCCAGGGCCCCACATGGCCCCACACACATGGGACGGAGTACTAAAGTGGTCACAAGCTTTACCCCCAAGAGACACAGCACACTGAAGATTTGGTAGCAAGCAGCCGTGGGAGAGCCATGGGGCACATTTACACGTCCAAAGTGGTTTACCATGAGACAGCCAGAGCCTCTATTCTGCCTCATGCATCACCTTTAAAGTCATCAGCAGAGTTCTGATTCCCCAACCATACACGTTGGAGGTTGTTTCTGAACAAAGCAAAAATAAGCCCAGCTCAACTATGAGGTTGGTTGGAGCTGTCACTACAGTGCAGAAAATGAGCTGTTCAGAATTACAAACCAAGAAATGGTATATGGAGCTTATTGGTGGAGAATAGGGGGCGGGGAGCTCATGAAAATCTGAATTTGCAGTCACTTTTCTAAACCTTCCTCTCCTTCTGAGCATGTATGTCACCTTTCTAGGTCTCTATCTTGAGACATCGGGATTTGGACGGTTAATTGCCCTTGATAAGTTTATGGTAGTTATACATGCAAATCCCTATGCACAGGGGTGAAATGTGGCCCGTGAAGCCTCTTTTTGTTTTGTAATTTTTATTTTAAGTAAATAACCAAGACAGCATTTCATAGTGTTACTAATATGCTGCTCTATTAAACTCATAACAAATATATTATTTTCTGCAACCTAGAGTATCAGTTCATTTAACTGACACTAATTTTGAGCCTTAGTTGCTTTGCAAAACCTTGCTTTTTGCTGGTTTGAGACCCCTGTGTTATATGCTGAGACCTCGGTGCCTTCTGCGCCGGACCGCCCACCCGCCCCACTCTGCCCCTGCCCCTGCCCCAGCCAGAAGCAAGTGTTTAGGCTCTTGGTCTAATGTGCTGATTCGGGAGAGCTCTGTCTGGTCTCTCCGTTTAGATGATGAGGTAACCGTGGGGAAGTTCTATGCCACTTTCCTGATACAGGACTACTTTAGGAAATTCAAGAAACGGAAAGAACAAGGACTGGTGGGAAAGTACCCTGCGAAGAACACCACAATTGCCCTACAGGTGAATTGTTGTCTCATTTTGTTTTCTCTTTTGACTAACGATTTTACAAGCTTATTTGAAATACTAGAGAGCTGCCTATTCATGGTTGAGCAGTACCACAAGGATTTTGTTTAAACTGAGATACTACACACTCCCCCAAATGTGGACTAGCCATTTCTGGGCCACAAGGTAAGTGCTTCCCTCCCCGATGCCTACCCCATAGAGCCCTGCACCTGCCACTACCCACGCGGCAGGGCTGCCAGGACGGAGAGGAGCGAGCGCTACCCTCGCACCCCAGCCCCTCCAGGCAGCATCCTCCAAGCAGGCACCCACCTTCCCCACAGCCCTGGGCTCCAGGGTTCTGGCTGCCCAGTGAATGAACAGCTTTCCATCTGAACGCAAGTGCTTTGTTTTGTTTCCGTTTGTTTCTTACCCCACTGCTTGTTGGTTTTTGGTCCATTTCAGTAACATCCATCACCTCCTAGTATGTATTCTGTGTGTGTGTGTGTGTGTGTGTGTGTGTATGTATGTATGTGTGGTGTGTCTGTCTCTGTATGTTGTCTCCTGATGGCCAGGAGGCCAGCTGTGCACATGCTATGCTCTCATGCCCCAGCCAGCCTCTGGTCCCTCTCCCTCCTCCACCTGGGCCCTGCTGCAGGCTCCTAGAGTGTGGATGTGGCTTTCAGGAACCTCTGGTACCAGCCAGGGTCCTTGCATGCGAGGAATGTAGAAACCTAGGAAAGCCCAAAGCTCTGGGATGGGAAGCAGGTATGTGGAGGGGCAAGGAAGGCACCATGAGGACCAGCAGGAAGAGGGGCTAGGAAGGTGGTCTGTGAGTGCCGTGGATGAAGGAGGCAGGGCAAAGAGGGAGAAGATGCTAAGGACAGGGAAGAGGGAACCACAGAGGCTGGCAAATCATCTGAAACAACTGACCTCTGCTGCCCAGAGTGCTCATAATCCATCATGGATAGGATAAAGAATTTTTTAAAATCTATTTACGCCACAATTTTATGCCCCTGTTCTCAGTACATGTTAAATTTGGCCTTGTAGATATTGATAAGGTTCAACATGGAAGAGTCCTTCACTCTTATCCAGGGAAAAATGCGCAGCGTTGTGTGTTCAAAGTGATGGTAACAGCCCAAATGAGGGCTTATCTTTGATCTTGCTGAGAGAGAGAATATGAATATGAATATGAATATGAATGACAGTGAATGAGTGAATGACAAACATGAGCTGTGTGTGTGTATCTCGTGGGTTAGTAGATGGCCTTGTGTAACAGTGACCTGCTGATTCATGGTGCAACCTCTGCTCTACCCAGACAGCTACAGGGGCTGGGGAAAGAGGCATATGCGGGTTGGCAGGTGGACCATGAATCCGACTGAAGACAGTGATCTTCCTGCCTCTCATCACGTATCCTAAAGGTAGCTGAGGGAATCACAGGCTCAGTCACACAGCCCATTGGCATCTCAGGTGGTAGGATTTGCAAATGAAGCTTTCTCACTTCCAACCAATCCAGTTTGTAAAAGTGACAGCCCCCCTCCTGGATTGCAGTTCACAGCTAGCCTCCGAAAGACAAAGCAAACTGCAGAGATATGTTTGCAGATTAGAAGAAGTCTCTGGTCCATCCATCCTTGAGGGCAGCGTGGCCAGGTTGGGTGCCAGGAGAGGGAGTGATGAACATGCTTCTGCAGGCTTGTCCTTAAAGGAGTCCCCTGCCCAGAAGATGAGGCTGGTTAGATGGTTTAGTTCCATTTCCCAGTGCCCTCTGCTTGTAGGGAACTGCTTATTGTTCTGGGAGCCTAATTGGGACCAGAACTTGATAACTTTTCTGGAGGGAGGAACATAGTCTGTCATCGATGGTTGATGTCCTAATTTACAGCCAGCAGGTTAGCTAGGTACCATGAGAATCTTGCATTTTCTGTGAGAGGCATGGCGGCCACTTGGATGCAGGGTCATTTATACTTTTTCTGAACCCCCAAGACTTCCCAATTAGACAATTTCAGCACTTTCTCTAGTGGCTGGAAATAGTGTTTTGATGTTTTAAGATATGCACAAACAACACACAGCTAAGTCATTACCAGGTTTCACGTATGGGGTTTACTGAGTCTTAAGTTGAAGGGTCAAATGGCATGAATGATACAGCGGCAGGTTGTGGGTTAAAAGACTCTTTTTGTGTTGCAATAATGTTGAGGGTTTCTCCTAAACGTTTTTCATTTTATTGTTTATAGAGTTTCATTTTATTGATGAAATGCAAACATTTCCAGTTAGATGATACCAACATATTTTCGCATGGCTCCATTGGGAGCTGAAGCATCGTCTGTAATTTATGTTGAGAATGCAGCCTGGAAAATTAAGTTGTGTTCATAATCTTAATAGAGAAACTGAAAATGTACTTGATTCTGAAACATTAAACATAGACATTTTTTTTGTCTCCTTGAAGGATAATTCTAATTGCATTTTGGCTTCCTGTGCTGTAGAAATGGCTGTGAGTGTGATTTGTTACTCCATGTTTAATTAGCATGAGTAGGCTTTCGTTTCTGCGTGATGAAATACCGGGTGACGATGTAGCAGTTAGGAAAATTTGGTGGGACGGCAGTGGGAGAGATATACCACCAGTGTAACTAGGACAAGGACACAGCCTCGGGAAGCCCCTGAGAGTGGGCGTGGCCTGTTGAGATGGAGGATGGCTTGCCTCCTCCCACAGCAGGGTGCCCCATGGCTGGCAGACTGCGTGCTAATGGAAAGTGGAGCATGGCCGTCGCAGTGTGAGCGCAGAAGTGCGGACCTAGGCATGTGCGTGCTTGTGCTGCGTAGGGTGCAGTCTGTCTGAACAGCTTCCAGGATGGGCCCAAGACCTCTGCGCCCCCACCCCCAGGGAATGTTTTTTCAAGGACACATATACGCACTGTGGTTTTGAACCCTGTGGGCTCCATCTGATCTCCCTGTGTTCAGACCAACTGCAATGCTGCCTCCCACATGAAGGGGAATGGCTTGAGCTCCTGGATCCATGTGTGGGAAGGAGCTCGGCATCCGGTGTCTTCTGGCCTCTGTGGTCTGAATGAGTGTGCAGTTTCCATCCTTCCATCCATCTTCATCATTAAAACCAACCTTCTCTCCAGCCCCTCTACAGAGGGAACCAGAGAGAAGCTGCATCAGGCCTTTTTTAATTTCCTCTTGCGCATCTCCTACATGCCATGTTCACTTTGGGTTGACTCAGCATTTGCTCGTCATCCATTGTTGCTACATCCGAGTGACCCACGAGTTTCCACGAGGGGCAAATAAATAAAGGAACACAGCCATGCAGCCATGAAAATTCTCAGTCCTCCTCCCAGCAGACAGCAATGCATGCTGAATGTCCCATCAGACCTTCTAGATGAGGACATCTGTGCAAGTTACAGACACTCATTAGTCCAGTGTCTTGTGGATAAGAAAAAGACCCCAAAGTGGGAAAAGTTTTGTTCATTTCTCTTTCTTTTAACATTCAAGAATTTCCTTTCTGCAAAAGACATGCACTCCGGTGGAATCCGAGGACACTATGTCCCCCACTCATCCCAGATGGGAGCCTTTCCATCTCCATTGTAGGAAAGCTTTGGAGGGATAGTCCTTTTGCCTGTTTGGAAGTTTGGTTTAAGGAGGAGACCATTATTTCTAGCTATAAAGAATTAGGTTGTTAGGTTGAATAATTGTAAAGCCTGTGCCCGAGCCGCCAGTTGGCGATGCAGGTGGTTGAGGGGAGATGTGGGTGGTATATAAGAAGCAAAGGACTCTCAGCCCCTGATGTGCCCCGCGTGGTCTTCTTAGGGAGGCTCAATGCATAAAGACAGAAGAAAATGGGATCCTCCACAGAGATTTAATCTGTAGAAGATCAAACACCTGTTGCCTGGTCACCTTAGTCTAAAAAGTAGTGGAGTTTTGTTTTGTTATTTTTTTAAAGCATGATTCTACCTGAAGCCATCAAAAGCCTCTTTTTAAATTTTTTTCTTTTTTTAATCTAAGAGGAGAACAGATGCTAACAGATGAGATTTCACTGGCTGATTCGTTTGTTTCAGATGCTTGAACGGATGCTTTAGAATTTTCTGCCTGAGCTACGGCACCAAGCTGGTTAGTCGGAAGGCGTTTGTGGCTAAGGCCTTGAAAGGGAAAAGTCTCAAGTGGGCTTATTTCTACTGAAACAGCATTTCAGAAGAAATGCAGGAAAAAGCAGACCCAAGGCCCCAGGGAGACCCCTTCCAAGCAAAGCACTCCTCCGGAAGGTGGAAGCGGGGCCGTGGCTCATCTGCGGAGCCAGGGCTGCCTGTCGCGGACGTTGCTCACGGTGGTTCTTTTTCGTGAAAGGGAACGTACAAAGCTTAACAGTTTTCCCTTCCAAGCAGAGACTCAGAGAAAGGGAAAGAGTGAGAGAGAGCAAAGGAGGGGGGCAGCTGCCCCACAGAGAAATGAAATGAACACAACTTCCTGATGCTGGCCAGTAAAACAAAAAATTAAAAATAAAAATAAAAAGATTAAGCAGACCTGCCTAAGGTGGGTATCTGACTCCATTCCAAAGTCCTGCATCCCTAGTTTGCCCGAACTCCCAAAGACTGACAGGCCCCTCGGCGCTGAGCTGACAGAGTTCCTTTTGTATGCCAGTCCGCCATGACCTCCTGAGCGTCCGGCCCTGCTCTCTGCAGAGACCCAGTCCAGAATACAGTGAGAAGTGGACAGGCCAGGAAGCTCAGATACACCCATTGAAACTAACACATACACCCGCATGCCAAAACCAATCCAGGCAACACCTCAGGTTCCATCTTAACGTGTCCACAGGAAACACCACCACACCCAAACCTCATCTAACATTGTCCGTCTTTAATTCGTGCTCAGAGCCAGTCTGGGGATGCCTCTTTGGAAGCAGTGTGGTCTAGTTTCAAGGACACTGGGAGTCAGGGAACCTGGGTTCTAGTCCCAGTTTCAGCATTCACTTGCTGCGTGACCTTGGGCAAGACACTTAACCTCTCTGTGCCTCAGTTTCCCCCATCTGTAAAATGGGGTTAATA
This sequence comes from Homo sapiens, assembly GCF_000001405.40. Taxonomy (NCBI): domain Eukaryota; kingdom Metazoa; phylum Chordata; class Mammalia; order Primates; family Hominidae; genus Homo; species Homo sapiens. The sequence continues at coordinate 53,791,965 of NC_000003.12, forward strand.
ATGTCGACCTACCTCACAGGGCTGTTGTGAGGAATAGCTAAGTGATTGTAAAGCACTTTGAACGTATAATTGCTTATTAAGACTACAACAATAATAATATCATATGCCTGTTTACTACCAGAACTTTAAGAAATTCTTGTTTTCCTTTGATCTCTTTTCTGTTCTGTACCATACTTACCCATTGAGAAGGAAAATTCCCCCCTTTTAAAGAAATCTAGGCAATGCACAAAGATGTCAACAGAGGTAACCCTGCAGGTTGCATTTTCACATCTTAAGAATAGCAGATTTTTGCCCAAGATGTTGGTCGATAAGGGTGTCTGATCTTGAATTCTCAGCTGATTCCAAGTGGTGGTTGGAGTCTGTACATCTGATGCTGAGCCCAAGACACCCAAAGTGGCCAGTTTGGGTTTTAAGATCAACATTCAAAGTAGCCATAGTGCAGAGGTAATGCAGAAGAATCTAAAAAAATTGAAGTATCTGAAGTGTATAGAGAAAAGAAGGGCTTATGAGCCCCTTTCACCTGCCCTGATGTGTACAGGCTGGAAGCTGTGTGTGTGTGCGAGTGCGTGTGTATGTATGTGGGGTGTGCGGAGACAGGGGAAGAGAGAGCCAGCAAACTCTGGGGGGCCCTATTCCTGTAGAAGTGGACACCCTTCCAAGCATCCTGGGAGGGCAGGAGTCCCAAAGGCTAGGCAGAGGGTGGGAGCAATGTCACCAGTGGGAAGTATGCTTTCTGCAGGCTTGTCCTAGGTGTGACTGACAGGGTCAGTCCCAGCCTCAGGGTCTTTTCCAGTGGTGTCTTTTGTGCCTATGACATTTGCCCTTGGCTGCAGTCCTCACTGTACCGAGAGGTCTAACCTACCTGGACTTCAGTGGACCTGCTGTCCTCATTATGGAAATGGGCCTAGCTCCCGACTCTGCCCCCATGTGTATAAGTGTGCAGACTAGTTAACATCCAGGAGCTCACAGTAGGTGTTGTGGGTTCTCACAGCACAGTCCACAGGGCCCAAGGGCAGGTTTGACTGCTTCGTGCTGCACCACATGGTGATGTGGGGGATGGGGTAGAAAGCCAGGAACACTCCAGTGTGGCCAGGCCACTTGTCAAGATGTTGAAGCACAGCTGCACCTGGTATCAACCGCTGTTACCCTAGCACCTGAGTCTCCTTCCCCACTGCCAGCAGCCCAGCCCCTCCTGAGACTGCTCTGTGACCCAGCAGCTACAGGTCTAGTGCCTGGCATTGCAGGGAGCCTCCAGGACCCTGCTGTGATCCAAAGGCCCACTTCTGCTCTGATTGGGCAGCACCTGGGTATATTAAGTTATAAGAATTTATGAAGAATGTGATGTATCGTCCCTGAAAGGGAAGCCCGTCAGTCCTGTGGGGGTCCGTCAGTCCCTCTGTCTGTCTTTGACCCACCCGACGTTGAGTTGATTCAGTGCTGAAGGATGGCACGTGCCTACCCCCTGTATGTGTCACTCTGTCTCAGAGGGCCGGTGTGACCGACCTTCTAGATCCAAGATTCCATACACTCAGGCCTCGGCAGAAAGGCCCCAAGCGATTCAAGTGGGCGGCGTTTCCATGTGCCTTCTCCACGCTCCTCAAATAAGTAAAAACTGACAAGTGACCACTTTCTAGATGGGACTTAGGGAGTGATTTAAATGGAACAAGAGAGTCTTCTCCACTTGGGCCTGGCTGTGTTGCTGGGGAATGGCATTGGCTAAGGTTGGTAGCCAAGGCCAGCTTAGGAAAGACAGCCAGGAATCAGGAAAGCTGCTTCCAGCTTCAACTCAAAAGGGAAAGAAGGCTTCCTGAAACTTGATTTGCAGTCAAACTGCAGAGACACCGCTGTCGTTTCTCTTAAAGCCTTGGCAGAGAAGTGTAGCTTCTAGTGTAGTCAAAGTTGTGAGAGACGACTCAAGTTCATTATTTAGAATCTTCACAGACACACACAGCAAACTTGGCACCCCCAACACCAGCATCCATAGGCTAAACTCTTCAGCTCCTGGATAGAAGATGAGAGGCAGGCCAGTATACATTGTAGGGAGGCTCTTCTCAAATAGCTTATACTGTTTAACAACCCAATTAAAAATTAATCCACAGGACTATTGGGTACTACATTCTATACTCTTTCTGAAAGTGGGGAGATCTCATTCCTTTGAGAATAATAATTATGTTCAGGAGTCTTTGAGAAGAAAGACTGCAAAGAAGTTAAGTGATGTGACGTAGTAGTAAAAGGTGGTAATTATCGTGGCTTGTTATTTAGTACCATTCACCTAGTGTCCTTTGGCAGCCCAATTGTGTCATGATTAGATGATCTGTGCGAAGGAGCTGGCTAAGACTTACTAACAGTTCTAGGGTGGGTAGAAACCCAGGTGAGTTCATTCTCCTTGGCACCTCTTAGACCTAAGGGACACAGCTGTTTGAGATCTTGGAAGGGCACATAATTCTAAGGCATGGTGAAGGCAACCCATTCAGACGTCCCAAAGGCTGGCTCAGGGAAGCCATAGGAAGGCCATTTCTTCCAAGAGTGGAGAAAGGTCCACAGAAGAGTGGGAATCCTAGATGGGGTAAAAAAGTCTACACCTGAGGAAAAAGTAGTAGTGCCTGTTGGAGGATAGATTGATCAGCAGTTATCAAACTTTTTGGTCTTCGGACCCTTTTATACTCTACATTATTGAAGACCCTTGTGTGTCAATATTTACTGTCTTAGAAATTAAAACGGAGCAGTTTTTAAAACAAGAACATGCAAGCACAAAGACGCCAGGGTGATGACATCATGCATCAGGCAGCCTTTGAAAACCTCACTGTGCTCTCATGAGAGGATGAGAGTGTTGAAGGCAAAGAACATCCTTATGTTATGCAAATCACAGTGACCTCATGGACCCCTGACAGTGTCTTGGGATGCCCCAAGGTCCCCAGAACACACCTGAGAACTGCTTTGGGGGAATGCTACTAGGTCCCCCTAAAGGCAGAGGGTGCTGGAGCCTTTTAATCATCTCCCTTGTTAAAGAGGCTCCTGTGCAGTGGCACTGCCCTAACTGGAGCCCTTCTCCCCCTCCAGCCCCTTCCCAGTCTCAGCCCACTCCCCGGAGGCATGGAGCTGCCTGTGTCCCCATTCGTCTAGCATGGCCGAGTCTTGCGGCCTGTGCTGATCTGCAGGTGTGATGGTCTGAATCAGGGCAGGATAGAAAGTGTTTTTAAAAATCAGCTCCCCTAAGTGCACAACTGGGACCAAGGATGTGTGCCAAACAGGATCCGTTTCAGGGATAACTTTTGATCATTTGTCATCTCCATGCTGACTTAGGAATATAAGAGCTCTGCTAGGGTAGTCAAAAGAGGGTTAGCCTTGATCAGGTGGCACCCCACAGTCGTGACTATAGGTGAGTAAGTGTGTGATTCAGACTCCAATCCAGCGTTCTTTCCCAGTAGGTGCAGTGACTTTGCCTGGGTGGTGGTTGAGGTGGGGAGTTTGGGAGAGGTAAGGCAGCCCAGTGTCACAGGAAGAACAGGCTTAGGGGCCAAGAGTCCTCACTGAGCCTTTGACTCATTTGGGCACATAATTTAACCACATGGGAATAACTTTGGCTCTCCCTTCCTCCCAGAATCTAGTGGAATATTTGTATGTAAGCTCACAATGACTGGTATAAAGATGCTATCAGAACAGAAGTTGTGTTTTACAGCTTCTGCTAAGCCTAAACTTTACAGAATGCTCTATTATCAGGAAACTGGCAAGACTTTTTTTGATTCGGTTGTTAAAATTACAACGAATCAGATTCCTGATTGCACCAAGAATCAAGGTGGAACTGAAACGGAGAGCTCTCAGATTGTGTGCAGGCAAAGGTCATATTTTAGATAATTTCTTTAAAGTTTCCTTTATCTTTCCAAGTGATGGGAATAGCGCAACCCCTAGGGGAGCTTGTGGGGGTCATGTTACCCCTGACTTTTCAGTGAGGGTTGGAATCACTGTGGATGACTAACAGAGCGCCAGGATCCCAACCCTTTATATCTGACACAAGGACCATTCACAATGGACACAAAGGCTGCCATCACATTATCCCTGGAGGAGAGTGGTGACAAAATAAGGGGTGTGCCCACGTGTGATGTGCTGAGGAGGCGGACGGCAGCTTGCAGATGAGCAGGTTTATTCCATAAGAACTTAATCTCATTCTGTTTTCTAATGGAACTAGTCTAAAAAGGTCCCCTCTCATTGGGTATAGACTGAATCCTGCTAAAGGGTTAACCAGAACTTGTCACCAGCGAGACGACTGTGTGCAGGGCCAGCCTAGGCTGAGTGCAGCCTGCCTGTGATGGGGAACAGGCTCTGCCAGGCAGGGTTCTTTGGCTGGAGTCTCAAAGCCTGGCGCTTGTATCCTGAAGATGAATGGCCTGGCCCAGTCCCGACTAGAGACATGCATCTCTTATCTCCACTGCTACAGCGTAGGTCCAGGGCGGGGCTCTGGGCACTTGTGCATGCTTGCTGTGGCGCTGTGAGGGCTGGCAGATGGCTGGTGTGTCTGATGGAGCTAGCTTAGGGACACAGGCAGCAAAAGCATTGCAAATGCATCTAGGCAGGAGAAACTTAACCCTAAAAGTGGGCAGGAGAAAGAAAGGTAAATGGGTGTTCATATTTGATGTCAAAATGTCATCATATTATGCTATTCAGAAGTGTTTTGAGACATTTTAGTTTTTTTTGGTAACTTAATCATTCAATAGAATATCTATGAAATTCCAACTAAATGGTGTCTAAAATTTTAAGCAGCAGTCTACAGGCAAAGCGCCAACATTTCTTTTCTAAAAATTATTTATGATAACATCTAGCATTTTAAAATCAACCAGAAACTAGGCTTGATTCTGTTTAATATTTTATAAGATTGGACATCTTAAAATAAGTCAATAATGTTTATATTTTATAGCAACTCTGTGTTTCTTCAAAACCATATTTCTGCTGTGATGTTAATGGAATGACTTTATATGGCTTTAATTGTGTTGGTTTAAGTGCTAATGACCACTTTTCAAATTAAAATAGTATTTTGCTGATAGAGGTAGACACAGATATGAGATATGAAAGAATAGATAATTTTACTGTTTGTAAAGTGTTTATCCCAAGAAAAAAAATGTTCTTTTTTTTAGGGCTGTGGAAAAGTAATTTTTTCAAGAGTCTAAGATAGTTTTCTGTATTTCTGGGGATTGGAACTTGTGCCTATGGAATTTTGGGAGCAGCCTAAGCTACCTTTTAGCTTGATATGTGTGCTAGAAAAACTTCATTACCATGTTTTGTGATATGTAATAAATTCAGGGTGCTGTGCTTAAGCTTCATGTCAATTCTAGTTTGGGAACATCTGTTTCCCTCACTCCCAGTCGTGGGGGACAGCCTGACCTGGCCCTACCCAGAACACATGTGAAAAAGTAGAGTCAGTCCCTGACTCTTATGAGGTCTGTTTTTTCCTGCCTGGAACAAGCAGAATATAATCATGATTTCTGACTCTCTGCTTCTGTGTCTGGGAAGAGCGATTCTTCTCTCCTCCTCTAATGTCTCTTTAATAAATATGTTGTCATTATTTGTCTTTGGAAGTGGCAACTTGGGCCACCTTTCAACCTTCTCCATGATTTATGTTGCAAACAAATTCTCTGTCCCATGTCTGTTCATTGCACTATCTTGTCGACTAAATCCTAATCTTGTGTATCACTGAAGATGTGCTGGAGACAGTTTTTGTTTCTATTATGCAATTATGTTATATGTGTATTTCAGTGAAATGTCAACCCGTCAACAGAGGATGATGTTAAAAATTATCCAAATAAATAGTTTTCTATTTCTTTTAATCAGACCTAGTCCAATCAGTTGAATGACAGTAAATAGGATTATATGTTGTTTAAACTTGGGAGCATTTCTGGCCTTTACTGCCTTGTAATATGGATTAATGTACCAAATTTACTTGGGGGTGTTGACTTAAGTGCATTATAACCTATGTTTATTTTGTGGAAGCAGCAGCAGGTGTCTTAAACCTTGTCTTTTTGTTTGGGAGCCTTAGATATGTAACCGAGTTTTCTTCCCAGTTGATCCAAAATCAGAAGTGAACCCCTTGCTTAGCTCACCATCCCTTGATGATGTACCCTAGGAAGCTCTGAATGAATGAAATGCGGCTGTTTAGTACTGCCGGGTATGACCTTTCTTCACGTTCCTGCAGCTGTGCTGTGTAAGAGCTTTTACCAACATAGCATTACAGTTGCCTTCTTGATGTTTCCATGAGAATGGCAGGTGGGTCCACCTCAGAACCAAATGACTTCCCAGGCTCAGATGTGCTGAACTCGTGGATCCTGAGAGAGGGAAAGTGTGTGTATGTGTGCGTGTGTGTGTGTGTGTGTGCGTGTGTGTGCGTGTGTGTGTGCACGTGCACGCACGTGTATGCACAAGCATACCCACATGTGCATATGTGTACACACATGCATCCTGAGCCTGTGATCAGAGGGACAGGAGAGCAAGAAGCAGCCTCCCTGACCACCCCAAGAACTGTCTTGGTTTGACCCGGGACATGACTGTCTGTCCCCTATAAGATCTCAGCATTCCTAGTCAGGAAGCTTAAAGCTTTCATTCCCAGCTCTTCCTTCACCTTCAGAATTCACTAAATGGAAAGATCTGCTGCTCTATCTTCACAGAATGGTTCAAACCAAACCCAACCTGGCACCATTTTTAGCAGAATTGTCTCAAAGGCTTGGTGCTTTTGTGCACCAGGCTATTTTTATAAGGGCCTCTTGGGAAGTTCCTGTGTGACTTTACATTCTAAATTATCATCACCAGCACTGGCATTGGCAACTGCAGGAGACCAGTTTTGAGCATCCCCAGACCAGTGGGACCCAGCCCTGATGGATCTGGCCAGACTGCAGCCACCATCCCCTCCTCCTCCCTGAACCACTTCTGGGCATCTGTTCTACCCCATGCTTGTCTCAGGGATGGTCATCATGCCTATCTGTCCTTGCCACAGCTGCCCACATGCTAAGAGGTGTTGTGGAGGAAGGACAGGGAAGCGGTCTCCTCTCCGAGGACCCACCACTTAGTCCAGTTTTCCTTTGCAAACCACCCTGAGGTTGAAGCATTTGCTGCACATCCATTGTCTTAGCTGTTCTCCAGGCCTTTAGGGCTACAGAGCTGTGGACAGACTGCCAGTGAGTGAGGAGGGGCTGCCTGGATACAGGACCGTAGACCCAGGGCAGAGAGGACATGCCTTCTTCAGATGCAGGACTTTCTGTGGAAAAGAATAAAGTTGCCATACAGTCCCTATTAGTCTTTAACTCAGCATACTGTTTTCCTTCAAACTGGTGGTCAAAACATCATCATTCTCTCAGAGCTGGAGCAGTACCTTCCTCCATGCACCATGCATAAGCATCTTGGAATGCTTCCCTAATGAAGTCATGAACAATGGAAGGGCTTATCCTGGGCCCTGTCTCAACATAGCAGGGACCACAGTGAGGAAGGCAGCTGTGAGGGCGCCAGGGGAGATGCAGAGTATCTGTGACGGGCCCAGAGGGATCTACCAGGGGTGTCTTCTGGTGGGTCTTGCACTGCCTGCAAAGGCTGATAAGCCACTTTCAGTTTGTTGTGATCTTCAAAAAGCGGACCCCCTGTTGGTGAGTTCTCAGCCTGCACACAGGCTACAGGCCAGGGTATCCTGATGACCACGGTGGCCGGGTCGGTGTGCGTGTCAGTCTGCTCCGTCGTGGTCCGAGTGTGCTGGTGGTTGCAGTGTGTTGTGTCACTCACTCGTTCCATGGCTTTTTAGCAGAACCAGTGGCCTGAGGACTGCTTGGTCTGCTTGTGCCTCTGGCACCTACACCTAGGCTTCCTCATCCTAGATGCAGCAAGGGAGTCCACATCAGCCTCCCTTTAGATCGGCCAGGCTGTGCTCCTTGCCCTGCTCTGGGCTTGGAGAGATAGGGCTCTTGTAGGCGAGCCTACTGAAGACTGTCACTGAGACAGGGGCATAAGCTCTTGGCCTGGCAGATCCTAGCACTAGTAACCAGGCAGTGTTCCTTGGAAGTGGGGGTTTTGCAAAGGAGGTTACGGGGTTGCAGGCCTCAGGCATCCTACCTAGGACCTTCTTGACCCTCTGGATGCCTGACCATACCAACAACCCTTAGACTGCCTTCAGTGACATCAGTCAGTGCCCTGGATTGGCTTTTGGGGAAGCCTTCCTCCCCACCGCTGAATCAGGAAGGAGCAAAGCCAGGACCCAGGCTGGCCCCAGGGCCCATGTGTGGTCTAACCTGTTCTGCCATTTTCATTGATCTAGGCGGGATTAAGGACACTGCATGACATTGGGCCAGAAATCCGGCGTGCTATATCGTGTGATTTGCAAGATGACGAGCCTGAGGAAACAAAACGAGAAGAAGAAGATGATGTGTTCAAAGTAATTATTCCACGCCTAGCTACACACTGGCCATCTGGAAATAGCAGGGCAGGACTCCAGTTTGGGCAGTTAATCATCCACAGAAGAGTCTGGAGAATGCAGCCCATCCCCAGGGCCTAGAGGGGCTTTCAGACCACACCCTCCCCCTCTTACAGACCCTCCCCAGGCATCAGCACCTCTTCTAGGGCCAGGCCAGCTCTTTCCCTGAGCTTACCCAGCTTCCCCTCACTGCCTGCTTCTGAGGAGCTCGGCCACAGCCGCTGGCCCTGTGGATGAGCATCCTGAGTCCTTCCGGCAGCTGCCTTTGCTACCCTCCTCCTTCCCGGGCCAGCTCTTTGATCTGCCAGCTGGCTGTCAGTCCCCCAGCCCAGAGAGCATGCCCAACCTTGGGGCCACCAGCCAGCCCAGCTGGGTATAAGTCACCCCAACTTGGAGCAACTGGAAGAGCACACTCGAGTGACAGCCGACAGCTTGCTCCCCAGCTCAGGAAATCGGTAACCTTCCTCATCTCGGGGGGACCAACTGCCACACAGTCACATTCACCCTGATCATTGAGACACTCAGATTGTTTTACAGGGATCCTACGGAGCTTGCCTAGAATTTGTTTTTCATGTAGAAAAAGTTACCTAACATAGCTAGTCTGCATCAAATACTTGTTAAATTACCTGGTGTTGTCTCCCATTATTTTGCAGAGAAATGGTGCCCTGCTTGGAAACCATGTCAATCATGTTAATAGTGATAGGAGAGATTCCCTTCAGCAGACCAATACCACCCACCGTCCCCTGCATGTCCAAAGGCCTTCAATTCCACCTGCAAGTGATACTGAGAAACCGCTGTTTCCTCCAGCAGGAAATTCGGTGTGTCATAACCATCATAACCATAATTCCATAGGAAAGCAAGTTCCCACCTCAACAAATGCCAATCTCAATAATGCCAATATGTCCAAAGCTGCCCATGGAAAGCGGCCCAGCATTGGGAACCTTGAGCATGTGTCTGAAAATGGGCATCATTCTTCCCACAAGCATGACCGGGAGCCTCAGAGAAGGTCCAGTGTGAAAAGGTAACCTTGACAATGTGTTTGGACTTGCTCATGTGGTGTCTGCCCGTGTTGCGTCTAGTCCCAAGGAGCAAGGCGGGTCTGTGCTCTGTGCTCTGGGGCATGGAGGAGGTTCCCCGTAGGCATTTGTGTCAGGATCTGTGAGTGCCCCCCAGGTCACTGCTGCCTCTGACACTCTCCACGTGATGGACCTAAAGGATAAGGGCCACGTGCCATCCTACATCCTGTGTGGGGTGCCGAGGGACCTTAAAACAGCAGCAGCCACAAAATCCACCTCTCAATTGTGCTCACATACTGTGCGACAGGGGTTGGTGAATTGTTTCTCTAAAGGGTCAGTGAGTCAATATTTTAGGCTTTGAGAACCATACAGTCTTGCACCTTCTCAGCTCTGCCGTTGCAGTGTGAAATATGTAAGTGAATGGGTGTGTGGCTGTGCCCATTAAAATTTCCCTATGGTCACTGAAATTTGAACTTCATATATTTGCATATGATGAGATATTTTTTGTCTTCAGATTCTTTTTTATGTTTTTCAATCCTTTATAACAATAAAACCCGTTCATAGCCCATGGGTCATACAAGGCCAGGTGGCAGCCCCTATGTGGATGGCGAATCATAATTTGCTAACCCCTACTCTAGGAGGTAGCCTGATGTTTGCATTGTAAATTTGGTTGGAAATTAACTTTTATCTTCTCCCTCCTTCCCATGTTATGCCTTTCCTGGATAGAACCCGCTATTATGAAACTTACATTAGGTATGTGCTCATTACCTGTTTTTGTGTTAAATACTGTGATGGTATGTTACCAGCTGGCCTCTCTGAGTGCTGAAGAATGAGAAACACTTCTTTGAGCCAGCCTATTAAAGGTTATCATAATTCATGGCTGTGGACTCAGAGGTCAGAGGTTGTTGCTTCTAAGCAAAGGCACCTTCAGATCCATATCTCTGTCGACTCTGTTGCCATCCAAGGACTGGTGTCCACACACAAGGTGCACCCCATGGGCTGGCTCCTGCAGGCCTCGCGATGGCACTAGGAGCATCCATTGTGCATTTACAGGGGCCTCAGCCTGTGTGGCTGGCAGCTCCGGCTGCTCTCTGGGGTCAAGCTTCTTGTGGGTGCTTTGCAGCATGACCCAAACCTCCTGAAGGTCAGGAATGGGATCTTGTCATTTTCCCTGTAGCCCTCAAGATATGTGTAGTATATTCCACTCCACATGTATTGACCTGAGTTGAATTGTGGGCGGAATGCCCATTTTGTTGGGGGCCAAGGGAGGATGGGTCTTCCTGTGTCATGTTATGAAGTGAAGTCGGGAGCCATGTGGGCCCAAGTTGGGTGCAAGAAAGTGGAGAAGTCAGAGGAAGTGCCATCCTTCCTTTGGAGAGAGGATTGACATCACCACGTCCTTCTCTGAGGACTGAGGCCAGGATGAGCCGGGTTTCAGGGAGACTTACCACATTCCTGGGGCAGGGCAGCCTTTGGAAACATGGTGGACATGTTCTGTGACAGTTTCCCCTGTGGCACTGTATCCAGAACTCACTCGACCTTCCTGATTTGATACAGCAGGAGGTCAGTGGCCAGGAAGCTCCTTTGTTCCAGGTTCTGAAGTCACACTGGGCTGGAGCTGGGGGACTAGAAGGAGAGGGAGGGATCAGAGCAGATGCCCTGGGAACCCAGGGTCTTTTTCCCTAGGTCCATTTTTTTGTTCTGTTCTCCAAATTGCACCTATTCCTTTGGCTCCAAGGCCTCTGGACACAATGGTTTGACACCAACATTGTGCAGGGCACTGAGAGAGACCCTATCCTGGCCCGCAGGCACACCACACACACAGACACACACACGGTGCTGTTGCCAGAAGCCGGAACAGTCCAGTGCTGCCTGAGGCAGGTGCGCGCTGGGAGAAGCCAGGAGCACCCGGGCAGGGTTGCCGGCCACAGGCAGAGGTGCAGCTGCAGCAGGAATTATCTGCCGCCTGCCCAGGTTCTCAGATCCTCTCTCCCAACTGCAGGTCCGACTCAGGAGATGAACAGCTCCCAACTATTTGCCGGGAAGACCCAGAGATACATGGCTATTTCAGGGACCCCCACTGCTTGGGGGAGCAGGAGTATTTCAGTAGTGAGGAATGCTACGAGGATGACAGCTCGCCCACCTGGAGCAGGTGAGCTGCTCTGGCTCCTGTGGAGAGCGGGAGGCCGCCCTGCCCTGGTGCTCGGCCCACTCCGGAAGCCAGGGCCACCGGCAGCTGCACTTGGGCTTCCCCTAAAAAGCAAAATGGGAGCAGAAACTCCAGGCCAGAGGGAGAGTGGAGCTGGAGAAAGAGAGCCGCAGAGAGGCAGGGTGAGGGCTATTCTTTCAGACCTGTTGCCTTATTTCCACTAGGGGCCTCTGAGGCCTTTTAGTGAAGGCTTGGGAAATGGGAGATGGGCCTGCTTCGTGGCTGGGTTAATGCCTTTCCACCACCCGTCTTTGGAGAGATCAGTTTTTGCTGAATTAACACTTGGAGCTCTGGCGGCCCCAGGGCTCTGTGTGGACGGCGGCTTGGCCAGCCTGGAGCTGGGCCAGGTCCTCATGCACAGCACCTGCCTCCTGCCACTTCAAGGGGTCTCTCGGGGAGATGAAGAAATGAGGGGTCACTCAGCAGAGGGGTCCATCTTGCTTCTGTCCTACAGAAAGAATGTTTGTTAGTACAATGGGCACTCTGCTTTAGGAGGCGTAGCAGGCGGCACAGGCGGATGAAAATCGCCCTCCACCCTCTTCTCTGAACCGCACCTCACTGTGACCAGGGGCCCAGTGAAGTGGAAGTGGAATGGCAGTGAGGTGGCTTCTGGCATCTGAGCCACAGCCTGACCCTCACCCTCTGCTCCCGCAGCCCTTCCCCGTGCCTCTCTCAAATGCCTGACTTCTGAAACCACTGACTCTGAGCCAGATGAACTCGTGTTCCCTTCTCTAGGGCTTTTGCTCACACTGTGGCCCCTGCTTGGATGCCCTCACTCCGTCTGCTGGCCTCATCCCCCCTGTCGAGGGCCTGCTCTAGGGCCTTGCTTTTTATTTCCATGACTGGAATTGAAATCCCTCCCCCAACCCCCAGAAAAGAAAACCTCACGAACCGCATGAGTTCCTCTCTTCCAGCACTGGCCCTTTCCAGCTCGCATTTGATTTCTGTGTGCTCATGGCATTTTCTAAGCCCATTGAGGGTGGGGCTCATGCTTCATGCATCTTGGTGTCCTTGGTGCCCAGCACCTGGCAGAGGGAAGGCACTCAGGAGAGGGGCTCTCACGGAGGAAATGAGTGGGTGAGAGCCTGGCTCACAGGACATCTGCGATCCACATTTGCCCTGGAGCTGAGGGATCAAAACTGCCAGCACATCCCTCAGCACAGGCCTCCAGTCCTGTAATGGCCCTTGGTCTCCATCTGGAATCTTCCATGAAACTGAGGCCAGCCTTGTTCTCAGCCAATCCTACTGTGTCCAAGGGAGGAGGCGGGGAGAGGAGTATGGATGTCAGTCTGGCAGGGTTGAGTGACAGAGCTTGTTACCTAGAACCTTACTGCCCTCCTCTCTGACCTCCAGGCAAAACTATGGCTACTACAGCAGATACCCAGGCAGAAACATCGACTCTGAGAGGCCCCGAGGCTACCATCATCCCCAAGGATTCTTGGAGGACGATGACTCGCCCGTTTGCTATGATTCACGGAGATCTCCAAGGAGACGCCTACTACCTCCCACCCCAGCATGTGAGGCCAGATTTTTTGTTTTGGGTGGAACCTCCCGGGGAACAGTGTACCTCTCCCCCAACCCCCGCTCTGGGGGCCGGTGATGGATGTGTGCTGCCAGGTCAGGATCCTTAGTCCTCAAGACCAGCCCCCAGCCAGAGAGTGTGTCTGCTTTCCTTCCTTTCTCATCCATATCTCACGTGATAGAGCTCTAGCCTCTTCAGTGCTATGCTTGACTCTCTTTGAGAAGAGAGAGGCTGTGGGGCCCTAAGATTGCACGCACACATCTGGTAAGGGGTGTTTTGCATACATAGCATTGTCTTTGAACCTGGGACCATCCTGAGAGGGAGGCAAACCACACACATGCTTTTGCTGTTGTCAGCCCTGCTGCACTCTGTGATGGGGTGACTGAGCCCCCAAAGGGGAAGAGTGGGCTCAAGTGCAGAGCTGGCTGTGCCGCAGGCCTGTCTTGCAAAACCCCATGCCTCTGAGGGCCACCTGGGCATTCTGGTGTCCATCTGTCCTCAGGCCCCTCCAAGCCTTATCCTCCTCCCTCATCTCTGCTCCTCCTCCCTCCCTCATCTTCCCTCCTCCTCCTCCATCTTCCCTCCTCCTCCCTCATCTTCCCTCCTCCTCCCTCATCTTCCCTCTTCCTCCCTCATCTTCCCTCCTCCTCCTCTATCTTCCCTCCTCCTCCTCCATCTTCCCTCCTCCTCCATCTTTCCTCCTCCTCCCTCATCTTCCCTCCTCCTCCTCCTCCCGCATCTTCTCCTCCTCCCTCATCTTCTCCTGCTCCCTCATCTTCCCTCCTCCTCCTCCCTCATCTTCCCTCCTCCTCCCTCCCTCATCTTCCCTCCTCCTCCGTTCCTCCCTCATCTTCCCTCCTCCTCCCTCATGTTCCCTCCTCCTCCTCCCTCATGTTCCCTCCTCCTCCTCCCTCATTTTCTCTCATCTTCCCTCATCTTCCTCCTCCTTCGTCTTCTAGCATCTTCCTTTATCTTCCTCCTCCCTCATCTACCCTCCTCCTCCTTCTTTTCCCTCCCCCTCTCCTCCCTCCTCCTCCCTCCTCCCTCCTCCCTCATCTTCCCTCCTCCCCCTTCCTCTCCCTTGCCTTCCCTCCTCCTCCCTCACTTTCTCTGCTTCTCCCTCATCTTCCTGTCAAGTCTGTCAGTGCCCTCTGCTCACGGGGCAGGTTCTGGACTTGTTGGTCCCCTTCACTCTGGGGCCAGGAAACCCATCCCACCTAGAGGGGCTGGGGCTGGGGCTGGCTGCTTCCACCTGCTTTCCCTCTGCAGCGGTGGGTGGCAGGAGCTGGCGGATCTGGGTCATCCTGAGCAAGGAACTCCAGCTGGGGGAAGAGGTGCAGCCCTGGCCCCTTCCAGCCCTTGGCTGAACAGTTTCATTTTGGACATGTGGGCATTTTGCTGATGGTTAAGGACTATCCATTTCTGGAATTTCTGAGGAATGAAGCATATTTTTGAACAGGACTCTAATCAGTAACCAAAAATAGCCGTGACACATCGGCTTCTGAGTCTGCCAACTGCATATACTATAAAGAGCACCACTGGGAGGTGCCCAGGGCCCTCTGCCTCACTCCAACTGTCACAGCCCCACTGGGGAGTGTGACCAGACCCATTTCCATGGTTAATATTTAATTCCTCAGCCCTGAACACATGCAGCTAAATGAAGTCACTCCTTTCCCATAAATACTAGATGAAGCAGATGCAGGTGAGGCCGGGTGATGGCCCTCGCCCTTGTGAGTTCCACTGCCTTCCTCGGGCCTCGGCCTTTGTCTACTGCCTACTTGGCCAAGCAAGCAAGCACATGAATCCCACCAGCCACAGTGCCAGAGAGGAGCTGAGTGGGCAGGAGTGGCTGTGCTCTTGATTCATAAGGTGGTTTTGCTTTGCTGCCCCGCAGCTCAGACCTTGGACAGGAAGAACATTTCCCTCCTCCACCTGTGTTCTCAGCTGCAGGGGGATTCCCTCCTCCTCCAGAGAGTGTTGTGCAGAGCACATGAGATGGTGGGGATCCCTGGAGCATTTTAGAAATGGAAAAGCACCACATACAGGAGAGGGACCGCTGCTCTCCTTTCCCAGCCCCCAGCCCGGCCATTCGATCTGGAAACCTATGCTCCACAGCACAGTTGGCCCCTGGGTGGTGCGTGGAGGGAAGGCTTTCTGATGAGGCAGCCGTGTGTGTCCCATGTAGGCAACTGAACCAGGAGGCCCCACAGTGCGCACTGGGCACGAGAGACCAGGACTGGCTGTCTCGTTCCTCTCTGCTGGGCAGTGCCTAGCCAAGGACTCAGCCCGGTCTCTTGTGTGCAGCCCCAGTGTGCCTGGGAGTCCTCCCCTGGCTAGGCCCTGGGCTTTCCAATAGCGGAATGAGGGGCATGTGGAGTTTTGCCAGGGCTGAGAAAGGAGGCCCTGTGATCCGAGAAAAGCAGCGGTCAAGATAGGAGCCATAGAAATGCCTTGTAAACGATAGGTGTGCTCTCGACAGAGGCCCCTGCAAGGGGTAGGAGGTTTCTGGGAGGAGGCTGCTGGCTGTGTCTTAGGGCCCCAGAATTCAGACTGATCTCCCGGGCCTGGTGCCCTGTGAAGCTGGGAGCTGTGGATTGTCTTGTTAACCTCTGTGTGAGCCTCTGTTGGAAGAGCTGTTAGCAGGACAAGCATTTTCTTAAAATTAGAGGTGTCCTTTGTTTGTATTCAGTGCTAGAGAAGCTGAATCTTTCCCAACAAAAATAATTTGCTTATTACCTGGTCAAGCTGATCAGTGCAGGTAAAGTCCCTCCCTTTAAAACAGGTGTAAACACAGGAGCCCCAGCAAGATATGTCAGCTGCTGGGGACACTTAGGGTATCTGGAAGGTGACAGTGGGAAGTGTCGTGGGGTTCTGGCAGGACTTGTGTTCTTGCACTGAAGTGCTGTGCGCTCCCCACAGTATGCAGCGCCAGGGCTTCTGACTCGGATCAGTTGCCCTATGGGCTGCCTTCACTCCTCCTCCTGAGAACAGGCGAACGTTTAAAAGTAGTAAGTTCTCTTTGGGAGGCTGAGGCGGGTGGATCACGAGGTCAGGAGATCGAGACCATCCTGGCTAACACGGTGAAACCCTGTCTCTACTGAAAATACAAAATAGTAGCCGGGCGTGGTGGCGGGCGCCTGTAGTCCCAGCTACTCGGGAGGCTGAGGCAGGAGAATGGCGTGAACCCGGGAGGTGGAGCTTGCAGTGAGCTGAGATTGCGCCACTGCACTCCAGCCTGGGCGACAGAGCCAGACTCCATCTCAAAAAAAAAAAAAAAGTAGTAAGTTTGTACTTTAAAAAACATCCCTCACTGGGGCTTCTGCCTTCATCCTCTCCTACTAAAGTTTGGAGACCTCACTACCTAATCTTTCTCTTGGACAAACCGCATGCTTCTTCCTGGGCTCGTTGCTGAGCATCCGGGGCCACCCTGACTCTGAAAGACGGTGTCCCGGCAGAGAACTTGCTTCACAGCTGTGTGATGCCCTTTGCTTTCCCAGCCCACCGGAGATCCTCCTTCAACTTTGAGTGCCTGCGCCGGCAGAGCAGCCAGGAAGAGGTCCCGTCGTCTCCCATCTTCCCCCATCGCACGGCCCTGCCTCTGCATCTAATGCAGCAACAGGTGAGCGGCCCACCTGGCCTTGCCCCCACACCTAGGGGCACCCCACATAGGACCCCCATCAGGTCACTCCCTTCTCCTTGGCCTTAAGCACCAGGAGGGAAGGAGAGAATCTTCACCTACAGTCTAGTTAATCTTTGTAACAATCCTGTCAAATAGCTATGGCCATGAGTCCCATGCTGCCCAAGCTCACACAAGTGACTGCTGGCATTTGAATCCAGGGAGCCAGCTGCCAAAGCTGGCCTCACTGCCCAGGTGCCTCCCTGCGATCCCCACCACCTCTTCCTGGCATTGAATACAGAGCCTGATGTGATCTGAGCTCAGGGAGTGGGGGCCACTTGGCTGATTCTGAACAAGCGGTGCAGCCCTTCATTTTCTCTAAGAAGTGGTTCCTTCATTAAGTTTATGGGTCCCTCCATGGGCAGGGCCCTGTGGGTACTATGCAGGGTTAACCTCCCCTGCCTACAAAGGGAGCAGTCTGGGGAGAACAGTTTGCCCACGTTGAGGGCGGCTGCACAGGCAAGAGGGTGGGGCCGGAGCCCACTCACTAGGGCTTTCCCTCAAGGATAACAATATGGCGCTTTTTCTTTCTGAAAATATCACATCAGAGATGCCATTCATTCGTGCACGACAGGGTGGTGGGCATGGACCTGTGCTGTTTACAGACAGCGTTCCCCGTCCCTCTCTGCAGAGTGTGAACCCCAAGGTGCATCTGCCGTGGTGGGATTGTAAGACCGGGGCTTGTACCCAGTGCTTTAGCACATGCCAAATGCCGGCTCTAGGATGCATTACTCCAGAGCAAAGAGAACCAGCTGTTTTCCTATAAGTGCTGGGAAGTGGTAGTTTCCCCTGAATGTACTTCGGTATTTAAACCCAGCATGAACTGGGTGGTGTGTTCACACCCACAGCTTGTTGGGCTTCCCTGATTCTTCATTCTGAAGCAATTTCATGAATTAGCAACTGATACCTCCTTGGGAAAAGCCAAAGGAAATGCATTATGGATTCGGGGTAAAAGAAAGCACAGTCTGCTAGAAAACAAAGTCATCACCGCCCATTCATTCAGCGTACTTCAGTGTGCCCATGTCCTTTCCAAGTCCTTGCCTGGACTGCCCCTGGCGAGCGCAGCGCCGGTGCTTGGTCTGTGCGCAGAAGGTTTGAGGCCCGGACCTCTGAGAACCTCTGGTCTCCCAACAGTCCCCTCTTTCCTCAGATCATGGCAGTTGCCGGCCTAGATTCAAGTAAAGCCCAGAAGTACTCACCGAGTCACTCGACCCGGTCGTGGGCCACCCCTCCAGCAACCCCTCCCTACCGGGACTGGACACCGTGCTACACCCCCCTGATCCAAGTGGAGCAGTCAGAGGCCCTGGACCAGGTGAACGGCAGCCTGCCGTCCCTGCACCGCAGCTCCTGGTACACAGACGAGCCCGACATCTCCTACCGGACTTTCACACCAGCCAGCCTGACTGTCCCCAGCAGCTTCCGGAACAAAAACAGCGACAAGCAGAGGAGTGCGGACAGCTTGGTGGAGGCAGTGAGTACGGTTCTTGGCCGTGGTGGGCAGGAAGCACCAGGAGCAGCAGAGGTGCAACTGTAACAGCAGGAAGGGCAGTGGTGGGAGGGCGGCCAGGCTGTGAGCTAGGCTGCCTCAATCAGACACTTCTGAGCAGCAGGAATGTACCTGAAGCATGAGTAAAAACTGGTCACCACCACTGGCTGCAGTGGCTTACGTCTGTAATCTCAGCACTTTGGGAGGCCGAGGCGGGTGGATCACCTGAGGTCAGCGGCTCAAAGACCAGCCTTGCCAACATGGTGAAACCCCGTCTCTACTAAAAATACAAAAATTAGCCGGGCGTGGTGGTGTATGCCTGTAATCCCAGCTACTCAGGAGGCTGCAGCAGGAGAACTGCTTGAACCCGGGAGGTGGAGGCTGCAGTGAGCCGAGATCACACCACTGCACTCCAGCCTGGGCCACAGAGCGAGACTCTTGTCTCAAAAAAAAAAAAAAAAAAAAAAAAAAAACAAAAACTGGTCACCACCGTCAATTCTCATAAATGAGCTGTGCTGGCATTATGGGTGCTGTTCCGGCATATGTTTCTAGTTTATACTAAATGTCTTTCCCCAGTGGGTTTCACTCTTGTTGGGCCATGTGTAGTTTTTTAGCTCCAGGACATTTTCAAAGCCATTTACACTAGTTATTATGTATGAGGTCTAGAAAACATGATTGAGCTGCATCCCCAAAGCACACGGTGCAGTTAAGTTAGCACTGGAGTTGATTTTTCTGTCGTCCCCCTGCCCTGCAAAGCCTTATAACACCCCCATGCCATCCATCCCTCTTTTCTGTACAGGTCCTGATATCCGAAGGCTTGGGACGCTATGCAAGGGACCCAAAATTTGTGTCAGCAACAAAACACGAAATCGCTGATGCCTGTGACCTCACCATCGACGAGATGGAGAGTGCAGCCAGCACCCTGCTTAATGGGAACGTGCGTCCCCGAGCCAACGGGGATGTGGGCCCCCTCTCACACCGGCAGGACTATGAGCTACAGGACTTTGGTCCTGGCTACAGCGACGAAGAGCCAGACCCTGGGAGGGATGAGGAGGACCTGGCGGATGAAATGATATGCATCACCACCTTGTAGCCCCCAGCGAGGGGCAGACTGGCTCTGGCCTCAGGTGGGGCGCAGGAGAGCCAGGGGAAAAGTGCCTCATAGTTAGGAAAGTTTAGGCACTAGTTGGGAGTAATATTCAATTAATTAGACTTTTGTATAAGAGATGTCATGCCTCAAGAAAGCCATAAACCTGGTAGGAACAGGTCCCAAGCGGTTGAGCCTGGCAGAGTACCATGCGCTCGGCCCCAGCTGCAGGAAACAGCAGGCCCCGCCCTCTCACAGAGGATGGGTGAGGAGGCCAGACCTGCCCTGCCCCATTGTCCAGATGGGCACTGCTGTGGAGTCTGCTTCTCCCATGTACCAGGGCACCAGGCCCACCCAACTGAAGGCATGGCGGCGGGGTGCAGGGGAAAGTTAAAGGTGATGACGATCATCACACCTGTGTCGTTACCTCAGCCATCGGTCTAGCATATCAGTCACTGGGCCCAACATATCCATTTTTAAACCCTTTCCCCCAAATACACTGCGTCCTGGTTCCTGTTTAGCTGTTCTGAAATACGGTGTGTAAGTAAGTCAGAACCCAGCTACCAGTGATTATTGCGAGGGCAATGGGACCTCATAAATAAGGTTTTCTGTGATGTGACGCCAGTTTACATAAGAGAATATCACTCCGATGGTCGGTTTCTGACTGTCACGCTAAGGGCAACTGTAAACTGGAATAATAATGCACTCGCAACCAGGTAAACTTAGATACACTAGTTTGTTTAAAATTATAGATTTACTGTACATGACTTGTAATATACTATAATTTGTATTTGTAAAGAGATGGTCTATATTTTGTAATTACTGTATTGTATTTGAACTGCAGCAATATCCATGGGTCCTAATAATTGTAGTTCCCCACTAAAATCTAGAAATTATTAGTATTTTTACTCGGGCTATCCAGAAGTAGAAGAAATAGAGCCAATTCTCATTTATTCAGCGAAAATCCTCTGGGGTTAAAATTTTAAGTTTGAAAGAACTTGACACTACAGAAATTTTTCTAAAATATTTTGAGTCACTATAAACCTATCATCTTTCCACAAGATATACCAGATGACTATTTGCAGTCTTTTCTTTGGGCAAGAGTTCCATGATTTTGATACTGTACCTTTGGATCCACCATGGGTTGCAACTGTCTTTGGTTTTGTTTGTTTGACTTGAACCACCCTCTGGTAAGTAAGTAAGTGAATTACAGAGCAGGTCCAGCTGGCTGCTCTGCCCCTTGGGTATCCATAGTTACGGTTTTCTCTGTGGCCCACCCAGGGTGTTTTTTGCATCGCTGGTGCAGAAATGCATAGGTGGATGAGATATAGCTGCTCTTGTCCTCTGGGGACTGGTGGTGCTGCTTAAGAAATAAGGGGTGCTGGGGACAGAGGAGCAACGTGGTGATCTATAGGATTGGAGTGTCGGGGTCTGTACAAATCGTATTGTTGCCTTTTACAAAACTGCTGTACTGTATGTTCTCTTTGAGGGCTTTTATATGCAATTGAATGAGGGCTGAAGTTTTCATTAGAATGCACTCACACTCTGACTGTACGTCCTGATGAAAACCCACTTTTGGATAATTAGAACCGTCAAGGCTTCATTTTCTGTCAACAGAATTAGGCCGACTGTCAGGTTACCTTGGCAGGGATTCCCTGCAATCAAAAAGATAGATGATAGGTAGCAATTTTGGTCCAAAATTTTTAATAGTATACAGACAACCTGTTAATTTTTTTTTTTTTTTTTTTTTTTGTAAATAACAAACACCACTTTGTTATGAAGACCTTACAAACCTCTTCTTAAGACATTCTTACTCTGATCCAGGCAAAAACACTTCAAGGTTTGTAAATGACTCTTTCCTGACATAAATCCTTTTTTATTAAAATGCAAAATGTTCTTCAGAATAAAACTGTGTAATAATTTTTATACTTGGGAGTGCTCCTTGCACAGAGCTGTCATTTGCCAGTGAGAGCCTCCGACAGGGCAGGTACTGTGCCAGGGCAGCTCTGAAATTATGGATATTCTTATCCTCCTGGTTCCTTCGGTGCCAATGGTAACCTAATACCAGCCGCAGGGAGCGCCATTTCTCCTAAAGGGCTACACCACTGTCAACATTATCCTGGACTCTGTGTCTCTCTCTGTTGGGTCTTGTGGCATCACATCAGGCCAAAATTGCCAGACCAGGACCCTAAGTGTCTGATAGAGGCGATGATCTTTTCCAAAGTCAGTACTTACAAACTGGCATTCTTACAGGCTGCACCATTTCCTAGTATGTCTGCTTTAAGCCTGGTTCAACCTCTCATCGAATATTAAATTTTTCTTTGTAAGAAAAATTTGAAGTTGTAGAGCATGGTTTTTTGTTTTCCCTTGTCTTAGGAAAGTTTTAAGATGAAATGTTTTTCCTTTTTGGTCCCCTCCCCATCTGAAAAACACACATTTTTGTGTCCACAGGAATAACACATTTAGTTTCTTTAGTCTTATGTTTTTCATAATCTCACAAAATGTAAATGGCAGCTATGATTTCACCGTCAACTGGCAGCGAGAACCTCACTAAGAACCATCTCTGCTCAGCCTATGGACTCCGACATCCACCCAGACAGCTGGATCTCGCTTCACCATGTGGCACTTTCCAGCTCTATCCTACGAAGTTTCAGAATTGGGCGAAGGCCAGGCGTGGTGGGCTGTGAGGGCCACGTTACCTCTCGGTGCAGTCTCACCTGTGTGAGATGGGACCAGGGGCACCACTTGCTTTCCTGCTGACCCTGCTATGAGAAAAACTGGAGCAGTTTCACCTTGTGTACTTCTCAGCATCGTAAGTGTCTTTGCCAATTGCATTTCCTAGAAAAGTTGTACTGTTTTGATAGGCAGCTGGCTGGTTTAGAAAAACCAGTTAGCCATAGAACTGACATCACGCAGAGAGCCCCGACTCCCTGATTAGCCCACCCCAACTCAAAATCTGACTCCAGGGATGTTTTGTTGAAAATGTTATTTCTCTAAAACAGTATTTCTTTTCCTCTCCTGGGGACTAGGAGGGCAGGAGACAATGAGGAGCAGGCCTGGGCCCTGGTTCCAACATCAAGAGTGACAGGGTGGTCTCAGGGATGTCCTGTGAGGGCAGCCTGAGCCACTAAACAGGTCCAGTAGAGATGGTATTTTATCTTTAAAAAATCTGTATTGGATCTGATGTTAAGTTGGCTTATCAGTAGAAGCATGAAACCACTTCTGAGTGGCGGGACATGGTTGGGTGGAGAAGAATCTGTTTTTTTGTTGTTTTTTTTTGAGACAGTCTCACTCTGTCACCCAGGGTGGAGTGCAGTGGTGCAATCTTGGCTCACTGCAGCCTGCGCCACCCAGGTTCAAGCGATTCTCCTGTATCGGCCTCCCAAGTAGCTGGGACTACAGGCGTGCACCACCATGCCCAGCTAATTTTTGTATTTTTAGTAGAGACGGGGTTTCACCATGTTGGCCAGGCTGGTCTCAAACTCCTGGCCTCAAGTGATCCACCCACCTCAGCCTTGCAAAGTGCTGGGATTACAGGCGTGAGCCACCATGCCTAGCCAAGAAGAATCTATTTGAATTCGTGGAGATGATGCCTGCAACCTTCGCTACAAGCAGAAAGACTAGATGTTTGGGTGCCTACAACTCCTGCTTCAGGAACTCACCATCTCCAGTCAGGCTGCCAGATGCTCTTGGCTCCCACACAGCCCACCCCTATCCCCTATTCCATCAGGAGCTGCCTTCTACTAGTGCAGCGGCTTCAACACAGGCTTCTGCAATAGGTCAGGGCTCCTGAGAGCACTGGGCACATGGACAGCGCATTCTGTTGTGCTCTTTGAGCCATTTTTGCAAAGCACGTTTCTCTGTTTTTAGGTACTGCAAGCTTTTGGCCAAGGGGCCCAATTCCCTATGAGACTGAAGATGGGGGGGTACCCTCTGTGCACCCCACTTTGTAGCAAGTGCCTTTCTCCCCCATGCTGGCTTCCTCAGGTGACAGCCTCTCCTCCTGGGGTGAATGAAAGACTCCCTTCATGGCAGGGGAACGCTCAGGTTCTGGACATGTGACACTTACCATCTTTTCTTTTAAACCTCATTCCTGTTTATGGCCAAATTGTGCGATTGTGTAGAACATGGCTAAGTATTTGAGAGTGAAAGAAGGGCCTGGGTGCAATTGAGCAGCATCACCAATGGGCTCCTCTTACCATATGACGTTTTGCTTATTTTAAAATACAGCCACCAGACTGAACCCACCATGGTCTCAGACACTGACACACCCATGGGACACAGAGATGGTAGAACTAAGTGACTGTCACCCTGCCATATCCATACCTGTTCCAGAGAAGAAGGGTCAGCACAGTCATGGTTGGTCCAGGACTATCCCCTGCCCCTGAATCCACACACGCTCCAGCAGGAAAGCTGCACGAGGCCCTCCAAGTTACGGGGCTGGCACCTGAACTCCTGTTTCTGCACTCTTGCAGGCAGCCCCGAGACCCAGGTGACTGATGGCCATGGACTGCTGCTGTGGGGCAGGTGGGGACCCTCCGTAGGAGAAATAAGTCTCTTGGCCGGTTTAGAATTTTCTTTCTTGACCCTCTCTTCGAACAAAAATTTTAAAAAATACAGGTAAGATTAAACAAGAGCTGCTTAAGATTTTTAAAAGGAGAGGTGTGATGGGTTTCTTCCTGCTGCCTCTCTCGAAGGTTTTTCTCAGAAAACTAACTTGTGGCTGTCGGACGCCCCCCCCCCCCGCCCCAGTCTGTAAGCCGCCCCAATCCTCTCAGATCCGAGCAAAGCCTGGAATCCCCCAATTTCCTCCCGTCCTTATTCTGGGCCTAGTATAGCTGCAGGTTTCCACGCAACAATGCTTTTCTTCCCAGCCCTTGACGGTGGATGTGGATGTCTGGAAAAATCCAAGTGCATTTTATTTTCATTACCTTGTCAGAACAGTCTGGAGAAGGCATCTCAGTTCAAATGTGAGTGACTGGATCACTTTATTGAATGGTAAGAAATTTAAAGAGCAAAGAGCTGTTGTAAATGCTACTTGTATTTTTTTTCCTCCAAAACTCCAGTCTTGAATTTATTTTTCTTTCACACAGGGGCATTTCTACAGCCACAGGGTGCATGGCTGTGCTTAACTGTGTTTTCCATCCTAGTCTGTTCCTGTGGACGTCTACAGAATAAGAATTAACCATCCTTGTCCACTGCTGGGATGGCTCAGGCTGCCAAGTCATTTCCCAAGACCAGTATGAGAGAGTCCTTTCTCGGGCTAGCTGCTTCAGTAGGAATCAGTGATCTGGTACGTGGGGTTTGCTCTTGGTTTCTGCATTTCTTGGTAAAAGGAAAACCTTTTAAAATGCTAAGTCATAAAACCTTTGGTAGTGAAGCCAAGCGGCATTCCCTCCAGACTCCTCTCCCCTTGAATAAGGTCCAAAAAAATCTCAGGTTTTTTTTTTTTTTTTTTTTTTTGAGACAGGGTCTCACCCTGTCACCCAGGCTGGAGTGCAGTGGTGCCATCAGGGTTCACAGGAGCCTCAACCTCCTGGGCTAAAGCCATCCTCCCGCCTCAGCCTCCCAAGTAGCTGGGACTACAGGTGTGTACCACCATGCCCAGCTAATTGTTTTCCAGAGACAAGGTCTCACTATGTTGCCCAGGCTGGTCTTGAACTCCTGAGCTCAAGTGACCTTCCCAAAGTGCTGGGATTACAGGTGTGAGCCCTGCACCTGGCCCTGGTTTAATAAGAACCAGAGCCACAACCCTCTCAGAGTGACCCAGTGGAGCCCCAGTTACCTGCCTCACTCTGAGAGTGAAATTAGGCAGCGAGAAAGGAAAAGCCAGTTTTTCAACCAGCAGGCAACTTTCCCCTCTCAACAGGGACACTGGGGACTTATGTGCCAGCCCAGGCTGAACTAACTACTGTGTGACTTACTGCCTCAGCTAAAGCTTGCAGCTCAAGAAGGAGGATGCCCCTTCCTTCGCGAACCCTCCGTGGGTCTGGCAGGCACCCAGCCTCTGTGCATGGCCTGGGAAGGAACCACTGCCCTGGGTTAGAGAATGCCACGTGAACACAAGAAAAAGGATGCGGCAGGAGTTAACCATCCTCCCCTTCTGTCCCTCCAGGAGGCAGGGAGGAACATCTCAGGCTGAATGCTGGCCTTCCCCAAATGGCCCACAGGGAAAGGCTGGGGAAAAGGAGCTGGATTCACTGCCCAGTACTTGTCTCATTTCCCAAGACTTTATCCAATTCTCAGCCACTGAGTAGGGTACCACCTGGGTCCTAGTGTGCTAGATAGTTTCAGGCAGGAGCCTGGGAGCAAGGGCTGTGCTGGCCCTCTTGGCTTATCAGGGGGCTTCCCTGGTCATCCTCCAGCAGCAACTGTCTTAGCGCTGGGTGGCCAGCGTCCTGGGCTTGTAGACAGGGACATCTTTGTCCCAGAGTGCAGGCTGCCCCTTGATAATGTCAGCTGCCTTCTCTGCGATCATGATTGTGGGGGCGTTCAGGTTGCCGCTGACCATGCTAGGCATGATGGAGGCATCGACGACCCTGAGGTTTTCCACCCCGAGGACCCTTGTCTGCGGATCCACCACGGCAGTGGGATCGGAGGGCTGGCCCATCTTACAGGTGCACGAGGGGTGGTAGGCGCTGTCGGCTTTTGCCCGCACAAAGGCATCTATCTCTTTATCTGACTGAATGTGGCTTCCTGGCTGGAGCTCTTTCCCTCGGAACGGAGCCAGGGCTTCCTGTGCAAAAATTTCTCTGGTGAGCTTCACACACAGACGGAAATCCTCAATATCAGTTTCTGTCGAGGAGAAGAAACAGGTGAGGACCCCTCCTTTTGCCCGTGCTGGCCTCACTGGAAGATTCACGGCATGGAGAGGCTCTGTAAGCTGTCTGAGGGGATGGTGTTTGGGGACAAAGTTCAGGGCCATGGGGGACTGAGCCAGCAGGCTGCTTGTCCCTGCCCACAGCGGGTTAGACTGTACCGTGTAGCTCAAAGGTAGCATCCTACACGGACACAGCCCACCCAGAGGCCCAGGTTTAAATCAGGGATCTGACTTATCTGTAGGGCAGGGATAAGTACACACACCCTGCCCCTGCTACAGTGGGGCTGTGAGCACCCTGCAGCCACTGCTGGGCAAAACCTGCCCAGTGGGTAGTGCTCGTTTTTGCTGCATGCAAAGAGGCAGGCCCAGGAATGGAATTTGCTTTTAGAGACTGCTCAGAGTGACAACAGGAAAAATGCTCTACCTACAGACCTGGCACCTGCATGGCGTGGTCTCCCTGCACATCATGGCAGATTGTTCTGAAAGCTGAAAATCTCCCCTACTGTCTAAACCCTGGGACTTCATTTATCTCATGTGTCCCAGGACACTACGGGGCTGCCTATGCAAGTTTACAGCCTAAAGTGACACGGTGGGGGACGACAGAGGGTCACTTGTGTCCTAGAAAGTGTAGTCCAAGGGTATGATTCAGGGATAAACAGGAACCCCACAAAGGCATTCGTTTGTTCAAGCCCAGGAAGACACAGGTGGGTGAAGTACCTGTTGACAAGTAGTTGGGCTGGATCACAGGGTGGTCTTGGGGATTGGCACTTCTCAGTTTGAGCCAGCCCACACTCGTGCCCCGCATGGGCCCCACATGTACCTAGAAGAACACAGAGGAAGCAGTGACGGTCCCTCCATAGACATCCACAGTGACCTCTGTCAACCCTGGTTTACCTGTAGGGTGGGCCTCTGCTTCCAGAATCAGTGGGGAACAGATGCATGTTAGCATTTGCCCGCATGGTACCCACCTCCACGAGTGATTACAGACCACCTCAAGGAATCACTCTTTCATCCTGGCCTCATACTCCATGGCTCAAAGCTTTCAGAGGTGGTGATCCCAGAGCCAAGTCAGCCCCTCTGTTTGTCCCATTTCTGGTGCTCGGTACCTAGCCTGCATGAAACAGTCATACCATTGGCATGCACCACGCAGACTGACACGCTGGGCAGCTGGAAGGCAGGGGACAGGCCTCTGTGTCCCCCACTCTGCAGCCATATGGCACCAGGGAGAATGCTGCCTTGGAAGATGGGAGCATCTTCCTTCCTGGTGGGAAGGAGACATCCTGGGAAGCCGAGGCTCTTCCACCTGCTCACCTGGTAAGCCTCCTGCTGGGTGGGGACCCGCCCGTGGTCAATCACTTGGGATGGCAGGAAATGGAACTGGATGTCCGGGTGGGGGACCCCAGGCTGGCTGCGGATGAACCCACCTGTTTCCAGATGGGCAGTGGCTCCCTCCCCTGAGAAGCAGAAGAGGATGAGGCAGAAGAGCCAGTCAGGCCGTGGCAGGTGGGCCGGCTGCTCCTGGTTTCCCTCCTTTCTCCTGGCCGCTCCTCTTCCTTTTCCCGGACTCCACTCTAGTGCCTGGACCCAAGTCCTGTCCACATCTGTTCACCCCTCACAGGGGGCTCACCCAGCACCACACCATAAAATGTCAGCTATTTGCCAAAAGGATGGCATCAGCTCTGCTCTCTACCAGGGCCAATTCTGCCACTGCCCATGCCACCTGCCTTACCGGCTCTTCCCACTACCTAGCACAGCACACAGCACATACTAGGTGTGTGAGAAATACAGACTGAGTGGATGGGTAGGATTTTAAACTACCATTTCCTGGCCCAGGCACAGCTAGAAATCAAATGGAAAAGGTTGAAAGATGAATGCTGATTCTGCAGTCTAGCCCCAAAGTCTCCTCTCTCCACCTTTTCTCCTGGCTCCTTGGACCTCACCTGCTGTCCAGCACAAGGCCATCCCTGCTCATCCGTAAGGAGGAGCAGCCCCTAAGCCCCGAGGAGTCTCACCTCCAGCAGGCCCTGGGCCAAGCTCCTTGGCATGTGCTATTGTTTCTGGTCCTCGCTTCAACCTGTCAGGTTGAAACTGTGCATCCCCATTTTGAAGATGGAAAAACTGAGGCTCAGGGCTAAGGTAAATGGCATAGTTCCGCATCAAACCCAGTGGCCAGAACCCCTGTTCAGCTCCTCAGGAAGGAGGTCTCAATGCTTATAGGCAGTCTCCTCCCAGGTTACTGGTAAGCGTGCTCACCTGTGAATTTCCAGAGCCACTCCAGACCAATGCAGACCTTCCGCAGGGGCTTCTGTGCTGAATGGAGGGTGATAGGGCGGGTGCATGCCTGCTGAATGTAGATCTCCAGGTGGTCTTGCAGGTTCTGGCCAACCCCTGATACGGGAAGGAGTGGTTTAGAAAATGGCTACCAAGGGGGCTCAGCTGCTTCTCAATATCCCCCCGGTTTTGAAAAATTCTTTCCTATTCCCTTATCTTCTGGACCAGCTCCTGCTCAGTTCCCTGGTCTCAGCTTAAAGGCTGCCTCCCAGAGACACTATGTGTGCACTCCTGGCCAAGTCTGGCCTGCCTCGGATGCTGCCAAGGCCACCTGTCCTTGTCACTCACTCCTACGGCAGCCTCTGGGTGCCCCTTGTCAGCCCTGCTCAGCAGCCCCCTCTGTGAGGGCAGGGCCTACGCCTTCAGCAGGCACTGCTTGGTGAGCGGTTGCTGGATGGTGATGGCCAGAGGGGCAGACAGCAGCCCCACCCTCACGCCAGCGTGGGGAAGGAGGAAGCAGCCCTGTCGTGCTACACCGTCCTTGCATGAATTCATCCAAGCCTACTGGGACACTGGGCAGGTCAACATCATGAAGCAGCACTTCCCCGGGCCCCTCATGATGAAGCCTAAAGGCACAAAGGCCTAGCCCTCCCGGAGTGGGGTTATCAAGGAGGGCAAGAGACAGAGCCCGACCCTCAAGAGCATCAGAGACAGTTTATAAAACAAAGTTTACATCTTAACATGAAGAGCAGGCTCTGGAGCACGGAGCTGACCTCATTCATGCTCAGGGCAGCCAGCGAGTCCTGTGGATGGAAGGACGAGGCCTGGACCCCTCTCGCCATAGAGCTGCCCTGGTGACACGCCCATGCCCGACCCAGTGGGGCTTCAGGGCAGATACTCCCTGCTGCAGGGTGCCCTTCTCCAAATGAAATAGGGCAGCCGGAGGAGGGAGAAGGAAAACAATGCAAGACTCGGGGCCCAGGGATGACAGTGTCCAGTGAGGCCTGGGAAACCTTCGGGCTCTCGGGGACAATGTGATAGTTCCAAGGATCACTGACTGCCACCACCTCCCCACTTCATGCTAATAAGATACATACACTAAGCCTTTTGTTGAGCAGAGACAGCCTCTGGGGAGCAGTAAAGAAGGGGACTCACCAGGTAGGTGGCACACCACAGGGATGCCCAGTTTCTTGAGGTCATCAGCATTCCCGATGCCAGAGAGCATGAGCAGCTGTGGAGAGTTGATGGCACCTCCACTCAGAATCACCTCCTTGCTGGCATAAGCCTGGAAGAGGTCCAGCCAGGTCACTCCCTGAAAAGCCAGCTGTTCTCCTGACTCACAGACCAGCGCCCTACTCTAGCCAGCACCATGAGAACACAGCCTTGGGATGTAGAATCCTGTGGCACACCCGGGACAGGCCCCAGAGCTAAGGAGAGGAAACTCACTGAGTCACTACTTGAAAGCAACCAGCAGGTGCAACTACAGCTGGACAGTAGTGACAGCCTTAGAAACAGGAGGGGAGGGCTTACACGAGATAAATGAAAGCAGGCATTCAAGTGGGTGGTTTAGAGAGAGCAAGCGGTGAACCAGATCTACACATGAAGCTGCAAAACAATCAGACCCCCTGCCAACAACACAGAAATAGAGTACAATCACATTTATGGGTTTTAAAACCTCTAGTGTAAACCTATAGCTTTAAACCTATAGCTTTCTGTGACATCGGTGCCTTGAAATGGTGTGGAAGGTACTGGGGGAGAGCTCTGAATTAGGCATGGCACACAGGGGCACTGACACCATAGGCCCTTTCTCGGTGGCAGGACTAGGGGCTTCTTCACCTCCACCAGCCCACTGCCATCAGCTACTCGCCCCTCCCCCCGCCATCACAGGGATGAGCACGTGGGTCTGGGGGTGAGGGCGTGACTCCTGCCCACTCTGAGCTGGACCACCAGGGTCACTGCCCACCCCCTTCTTCCAGGACCCCAGCTGCAGTCCACTCACCCTGTGGCTCTGGCCATTCTTGACATACTCCACGCCCACTGCACGGGTGCCCTCAAATAGCACCCTGCTCACAAGCGTCTCGGCCTCGGCCTTGAGGTTGGTGCGGCTCAGTGCTGGGTGCAGGTAGGCACAGGCCGCGCTCCACCGTTTGCCTGCAGGATGGAGTGAGGTGGTCAGGCATGGCTCCGCCCTCCCCTGGCACCTGGGCAGGAGGAAGGAGCTGGAGAAAGAAAGAGTGGATATGCCCAGCTCTGACTGCAAGTCCCGCCTTCAAAGTAAAGCTGAGACGGAAAGACCCTGCAAGACCCTGCCCTACTGAGTCCACATCTGCCTGGGGTCCCCTGGAGGCAGGTGGAAAAGTACCCTTCACCCTCAAACAGGAGGACACAGAGACCAGGAGCACAGCCAGAGGGGTGAGAGCCTTCAAGAGGCAGGCAGAAGCCCCGGGTCAGCCCTGGCTCGCCTCTGTCCTGCTGTGAGCAAGGCCCTTCACCACTCTGTGCCTCAGTTTCCCCATGTGCAAGTCCCTAGAGGAGTTAGGCTCTCTGTCCAGAGAGCTGATTCTCTGTTATCCACACCAACAGGGGCCAGAGGTGCAGAGAACGCCCAGGGTCACCATCCTGGGTCACTCTCAGGGCTCCGGGTTGTACTCTTGGAGGGGTATACTAAGCCAGATCTCTTCCCGGTC
Source organism: Homo sapiens (assembly GCF_000001405.40). Taxonomy (NCBI): domain Eukaryota; kingdom Metazoa; phylum Chordata; class Mammalia; order Primates; family Hominidae; genus Homo; species Homo sapiens. Next base: position 53,823,179 of record NC_000003.12, read on the forward strand.
GTGCCAGCCTCAGTCTGCCCATGCCTCCTGACCATGCTGGAGCCAGGAGCCTGGAGCCACGGGCCAAGATGGGTGGGGGCTGGGGTAGGGGGTAGTGCTTTTTTAAAAAGAGAAGGGAGACCACTACCTTCATGGATGGTCATGTCCATCCAGCCGAAGCCCTCCTGCTGGAAGCCATTCATGTCCTCGGTGAGCGGGTAGCCGGCCTGCTGCGTGGCCTCCAGGAATGCGCAGTGCAGCGGGTGGTTGGTCTTGCCCCGGGACACCCGCAGCGGGCCATCGGCGCCCCGGTACCGGCTGGCGCCCAGCTCGTGGCCCTGCGCCTTGCGGAAGTAGGGCAGGCAGTGCGCGTAGTCCCAGCCGCGGGCGCCCTGGCGCTGCCAGCGCTCGTAGTCCTCGGCGTGCCCACGGACGTAGACCATGGCATTGAGGGATGAGGAGCCACCCCAGACGCGGCCGCGTGGCCAGTACAGCACGCGGCCGTCCAGGCCCCGCTGCACCTCTGTGTGGTAGCACCAGTTGTACCTGTCGTCGCACAGGTTGGCCACCAGGGCCGCGGGCATGTGGATCTTCCACGAGAGCCGCTTGCTCCCCGCGAGCACGTCCTTGGGCCCGGCCTCCAGCAGCAGCACGCGCTCGGCGGGGTCCTCCGTGAGCCTCCCAGCCAGCACGCAGCCCGCCGAGCCCGCGCCCACCACCACATAGCTGTACTCGTCCCGGCTCTCAGAGCCTGCGCTGGCCAGGGCCCGGGCACCCAGGGATTGCTGCTGCCCCAGGGCTCCCCGTGCCAGGGCTCCAGGCCGGCCCAGGCCTCGTAGGAGACACCACATGCTTCTATCTAGTCCAAGTCCTCTGATCCACGGAGGGGAATGAGATGACTCACTTCTCCCTAAAACAGGAAGAGGGGCTTTAAAAATCTTAACTCCGCATATCCAGGGTATGCTCACCAACGGCCTGCCGGGACAGGGTGCAGCAGGCCCAGCCTGATGTGGCTGCTCAAAGGAACTAGGAGGAGGAAGTGAGGGACACACAGGAATTTCAGAACTGTTTTGTATGTGCCAGGATGGACAGGCACAGGCCAGGGGATGGGGCAGCAGAAAGGCCCCTCCCCCAACTGAGGGGTAAAATGCTTCCCTGTGCCCTGTGTATGAACCTGGAGACTGGGCTGGAGTCTGCCTGCTGGAAGGCAGGGGGGCAAAGGGCTTTCCAAGGGAGAAAGAAAACAGAGTATTTGTACTCATCCCTTCAAGACAGTGGGCTCAGCCCCTACCATGTGCTAGGCACTGTTCCCTGCCCCACCCAGTTCCTGCAGCAATACACAGAAAGACATCTGCTCTCAAAACGGATGGTTTAGGGCCTGGGAAAAGGACAAGACTTAAATAACTGAAGGAAGATCAGCATGAGAGGCACGAGACTGTAGAGCTCAAAGCCTTTGACCCGAGGGGCCATGGGGAGCACTAGAGGGATTTGAAGCAGGTTCAAGATCAGAGCTACACTCTTCAAAGATCACTCTGTAGAATGCTAGCGTTTTAACAGAAAAATGGCAATAGCTTTGAAAGGGCCCTTTCCTAACAATGTTCAAATCAATCCCAGCATAGTGCACAGAGGTAGAAAAGAAACAGGATATGTCATGAAAACCTCCATTGAAAAGAACACCTGAGAACACCCCACCCGTGAGGCTCAGACCAACAAGGCCTGCCCAAGACAGGCTGAAACAAAAGGAAACCCTGATAAATCTCACCACCCCTTCCACAAGCCCTGCACCAAGTAACAGCAGCCTACCACTGGAGTGCAGAGGCTCTTTCTCCTCCTCCCGTCCACCGTTGCACAGGCATAGGAGACAGAGGTGGCGGGGCCTCCTGAATGGTATGTCTGAGGCTGCTGGAACACTGAGAAGAACTCTTCAGAGCTCCAGGCCCCACACCACTCCCCACCAGACTGACAACACTCCACACTAACAACCCAACAGAATGAAAGACAGGTCCTTTGCTAGGTATACTGTTTACCTCAGTCTCCACTATCCCATTACACACAAGGTCTAGCATTCAATAAAAAATTAGGATACATACCAAAAAGCAAGGCAAATAATGACTCCTTATCAAGAGATAAAGTAGTCAACAGAAACAGACCAAGGAGTAATGCACCCAGATGTTAGAACCCATCAAACAGGGACTTTAACCAAGGTGAGCATTATAAAAGATATAGTTGAAAAGGTGGACAGATAGGAAACTTCAGCCAAACAATGAAAACTATAGAAAAAAACATAAATGCAAGAAAAAAATACAATGTTAGAGAAGAACAATTTTTAATTGGATATAGCACAGAAAAGAATCTGGAAATATAAAGAGGGGAAGAGAGAAAAAACAACCAACAACTCTGGGACAATATCAAACTAAAGTACAGATAACTGGAGTCTGAGGGGGAAATAGTGGGGAAGGAGGGCAAGGCGGAAAGAAGAGACAGAGAACAAGGGAGGAGAAATATTTGAAGAGATAATTGCTGAGACTTTCCCAAACGTAGTGCAAGACAAAACACTATGGATTCAAGAAGCTTAGAGCATCCCAAGCAGGATTAGTACAAAGAAAAACACATCTAAGTACATCATAGTTAAGCTGCTGAAACTTCAAAATAAAGAGAAAATCATCACTGTAGCCAGACAAAAAACATATGCAGAGGAATAAATATAACAATGACAGTAAAATTCTCAGAAAACATGCAATCCAGAAGATAATGGAGTGACAACTTTAAATATTGAAAGAAAAAAAAACCTCTAGTCCTAGTTTACTGAAATTGAAAAATTATACCCAGGGAATACATCTTTAAAAATAAATTAGATGATAATTTAGATGAAATGGACTAATTCCTTGAAAGATACAAGCTGCCAAAACTCACACAAGCAGAAAGACACTCCAGATAAGCCTATATCTATTAAAGAAATTGAATCAATAATTGATAACCTTCCAAAACAGCACCAAGCTTGACTAAGCTCACTGGTGATTTCTATCAACCATTTAAGGAAGAAATTATACCAGTACTCTACAGTCTCTTCTAGAAGATAGAAACAGACGATTACTTCCTGACTCATTCTGTGAGGCTAACATCACCCTAATAACAAAACCAGACAAAGACATTACAATAAAAAAAAAAAACCACTACAGACCAATATCTTTCATGAACATAGATAAAAACACTCAACAAAAATACTAGAAAATTGAATCAAAGTATGTATAGAAAGAATTATATACCACAACCAAGTGGGCTTTATCTCAAGTATGCAAGACTGGTTCAACATTCAAAAATAATCAACAGGCTGAAAAAGAAAACTCACATGATCATATTAACAGATGCAGAAAAAGCATTTGACAAAATTTAACATCCATTAAATGATAGAAACTCTCAGTAAACCAAGAGTAGAAGGAAACTTCCCCAACTTGGTAAAGAATATCTACAAAAACCCTACAACTAACATCATACCTGACGGTAAAAAATTCAAAGCTTTCTCACTAACCAGGAACGAAGCAAGGATGTCCCTTTGAACCACTCCTTTTTAGTATTGTACTGGAAGTCCTATCTAATGCAGTAAGACAAGAAAAGGAAAAGGTACAGATTGGGAAGGAAGAAATGAAACTTCGTTTGCTAATGACATGATTGTCCATATAGAAAATCTAAAAGAATCAACAAAAATTCCTGGAACTAATAAGCAATTATAGCAAGGTTTCAGGATATAAGGTTAATATATAAAAGCCAATTGCTTGCCTATATACCAGCAACAAACAAGTGGAATTTGAAATTAAAAACACAATATCATTTAAATTAGCACCCCAGGCTGGGTGCAGTGGCCCATATAACCCCAACACTTTGGGAGGCTAAGGTCAGAGGATCATTTGAGGCCAGGAGTTTGAGACCAGCCTGGGCAACATAGAAATACCCCATCTGATATGGTTTGGATTTGTGCCTCCACCCAAATCTCTTGTCGAATTGTAATCACCAATGTTGGAAGAGGTGACTGGATTATAGGGGCAGGCTTCCCTCTTGCTGTTCTCATGATAGTGAATTATGAGATCTGGTTGTTTATAAGCGTGTGGCACCTCCCCTCCTCTCTCTCTTCCTACTGCTCCAGCCATGTAAGACATGCCTGCTTCCCCTTCACCTTCTGCCATGATTGTAAGTTTCCTGAGGCCTCCCAAGCCATGTTTCCTGTAAAGCCTGTGGAACCATGAGCCAATTAAACCTCTTTTCTTATAAATTACCTAGTCTCAGGTAGTTCTTTATAGCAATGAGAGAAAAGACTAAATATACCATCTCTAAAAAAAAATAACTAGTAAAAAATAAAGTAACTGGGTGTGGTGGTGCATACCTGTAGTCCTAGCTTGAGGCTGCAGAGAGGTATGATTGAGCCACTGCACTCCAGCCTGGACTACTGCACCTCAGCCTAAGTGACAGCAAGACCCTGCCCCTAAATAAATAAATAAGCATCACAAAGAAATACTTAGGTATAAATCTAACAAAATATGTGCAAGATCTATATGAGGAAAACTATGAAACCCTGATGAAATTTAAAAACTAAATAAATGGAGAGATATTTCATGTTCGCAAATTGGAAGGCTCAATATTGTCAAGATGTCAGTTCTTCTCAACTTCATCTACAAATTCAATGCAGTCCCAGTCAAAACCACAGCAAGTTATTTTGTAGATATTAACAGACTGGTTCAAAGTATATATGGAGAGGCAAAAGACACAGAATGGCCAACAAAATACTGAAAGTGAAGCGCAAAATTGGAGGACTGACACTAACCAACTTCAAGATTTACTATAAAGCTACAGTAATCAAAACAGTGTCATATTGGTGAATAGATCAATGGAACAGAACAGAGAGCCCAGAAATAGACCCATATAAATGTAGCCAACTGATCTTTGACAAGTCATCAAAGGCAGCACAATAGAGCAAGAAAGTCTTTTCAACAAAGGGAGCTGGAATAACTAGACACACACACACACACACACACACACACACACACACAGAGTAAATATAGACAAAGACCTTATACCCTGCACAAAAATTAACTCAAAATGGATCACAGACCTAAATGTAAAATATAAAACTATAAAACTCCTAGAAGATAACACAGGAGAAAGAACCTCTAGATGACCTTGGGCTTGACGATGACTTTATATATTATGACACCAAAGGCACAGTCCATGAAAGAAATAATTGATAAGCTGGACTTCAATCAAATGTGAGTTTTCTACTTTGCTAAAGACACTACCAAGAGAATTAATAGACAAGTCACAGACGAGAAGTAAATCTTTGCAAAAGATACACCTTATAAAGGACTACTATGTAAATACACAAATAAATATATTCTTAAAACTCAATAACAGATAACCCGATTAAAGAATGGCCCAAAGACCTTAACAGACACCTCACTAAAGAAGACAGACAGATGGCAAAGATGCATATGAGAAGATCGTCCACATCATATGTCATCAGGAAAATGCAAATTAAAACAAGAGTGAGACACTACTATACACATATTAGAATGGCCAAAATCCAGACACTGACAACATCACATGCTGACAAGGATGTGAGGCAACAGGAACTTTCATTCATAGCTGGTGGGAGTGCTAAATGGTACAGCCACTTTGGAAGACAGTTTGGTGATTTCTTGTAAAAATCAACACACTCTTACCACATGATCCAGCAATTGTGCTCCTTGGTATTTACCCAAAGGAACTGAAAACTATGTCCAAACAAAAACCAGGAAATAAATATTTATGGCAGTTTTATTCATAACTGCCCAAAGCTGGAAGGAACCAAGATATCCTTCAGTAGGTGAATGGATAAATAAACTGTGGTACATCCTGACAATGGAATATCATTTAGTGCTAAAAAGAAATGAGCCAGAAAGCCATGAAAAAACAAGGAGGAAACTTAAATGCATAATTACTAAACGAAAGAAGCCAATCAGAAAAGGCTACAAACCGTATGAGTTCAACGATATTACATCCTGAAAAAGGCAAAACTATGGAGACAGTAAAACGATCAGTGGTTACCAGGAGTTGGGAGAGGGATAAACAGGCAGGCCACAAAGGATTTTTAGGGCGGGGAACTAATCTGTTTTCTGTACAGTGGTGGATACAGGTCATTTTTGTCCAAACCTATAGAATGTGCAATACCAAGAGTGAACCCTAATGTAAACTATGGGCTTTAGGTGATAATGATGTGCTAATATAGGTTTATTATTTGTAATAAATGTACCACTTTAGTGCGAGGATGTTGTTAATGGGAGGATTATGCACGTGTAGGGGCAAAGGTTATATGGGAAATCTCTTCACCCTCCTCTCGATTTTGCTGTGAGCCTGAAACTGCCTTTTTAAACAGTATTTTAAAACTATAATAGAGCCTGACTCCATTTTTGATGTTTGACTACCGATAGCTTTCAAGCTCCATCCCTCCCTCTTCCCCTCTTGCCCCACACCTGGGCAAGTGAATAAAAAAGCTCTGGCATTCCTGCCTGGAGTATCAACAGGGAGGTTCAAGTCATGCAAATCCAATTCACGTGTGGGATTCTCACCTTGACTCCACTCCCTAACTATAATAATAACCAGGAACACTCACCTCTTCCTTCACAGACAAGCCTGGGTGCTTGCCCTCCTCACCCTATAAAGCTCCATTATGTGAGCAATAAACCTTATGGTAGCCACTTGGTGTGTGTGTGATGTCATTAGTCTCAACATTCAAACCAACTTTGGGTGGTGGGGGGTTGATCCCACCCTCCATGGGCAACCACAAGACAAAACAATAACACTTACAAGAGCACCAGGAAACATGACATACTTAGTAATAAACTTAAAATATATACAGGACCTATATACTGAAAACTACAAAACATTGACAGAAGTTAAAGATGACCTAAATAAATACTACGAATAGGAAGACCCAATATTTTTATGATGTCAGTTTTCCCCAAATTGATTTATAGATTCGATGCAATGCCAATCCCAGCAGGCATTTTTTTTTTTGGTGGAAATTGAAATGCTGATTTCAAAATGTATGTGGAAATATAAAGGACATAGAAAAAGGTATAGTTCAGTTGGTCAAAGAAACCCCAGACAGCAGTGAAAATGAAGGACACATAGCACCTCACATCAACATGGATGAATCCTAAAAATATATTCAGCACACAAAAAGAATATTATAAGAGGCTGTGGCCTAAATGAGATTATATATATATATATATATCTTCACATATATTTGTATATATGTGAAGTTTTAAAACATGCAATTCATATATGCACCAAATATCAGGGCCCCAAAATGAAGCAAACAATGACAGATTTGAAGGGAGAAATAAACAGTCCTACAACAATAACTGGAGACTTCAATACTCAGATTTCAATAATGGACAGAAGCTAGACAGAAGATCAGTAAGGAAACAGAGGATTTGAATAACACTATAAACCAGTTGGAGACCTAACAGATATATACAAAACATTCACTACAACAAGAGAATATACATTTTTTCCAAGTGCACATGGAACATTCTCCAGGAGAGACCATATGTTAGGCAACAAAACAAATCTTAATACATCTTAAAAGACTGAAATCAGGGAGGAGAAGAGCAAGATGGCAAATCTCTATTTGCTCCATCAATCATCCCCCTCGCCCCCCACCCCCACAGGAACACCAAGTTTGACAACTATCTGCACAAAGGGAGCAATTTCATAGCAACCAAAAATCAGGCACCAGCTTGGCCACAGTGGAGGAGAGCACCAAGAGGGCTCTTGGGTTCCCTGATTCCAGGCCTTGGCTCTTAAGTGGCCTTTCCGGACCAACCCTGGGCCAGAGGGGAGCCCACTGCCCTGAAGGGTGAGTCTCAGGCCTGGCAGCATTCACCACAAGCTGACTGAAGAGCCCTTGGGCCTTAAGTGAATGCTGGTGGTATCCTGGCAGTCCTCCCTGTGGGCCTGTGGTGGTCGCCATGGTGTGAGGCTCCTCTGCCTGTGAAAAGGGAAAAGTGGGAAGGACTGTGTCACATGGTGTGAGTGCCAGCTCAGCTACAGTAGAATAGAACACGAGGTAGCTTTCTAATGTTTTTGACTCCAGTACCTGGCTCCCGGAAAGCATCTCTATCTGCCCGGGGCCTGGGGAAACTTGCCGCCCCAAAGGGAAGGCCACAAGCCTGGCTGGCTTCACCGCTGGCTAACTGTAGAGCCCTGGGGCCTTGTGTGAATACAGGCGGTAGCCACATAGTGGTTACAGCAGGCCTTGGGCAAGACCCAGTCCTGTGCTGACTTCAGGTCTGACCCAGCACAGTCCCAGTGTTGGTGGCCACAGGGGTGCTTGTGTCACCCTACCTGTAGGAAAGTTATATTTCATCAAAATCAAACACTTTACTGCATCAAAGGACATTCTCAAGAATGAAATGACAATCCATAGGAGAAAATATTTGCAAACCATATATCTGATAAGAGGTTAATATCTAGAATGTGTTTAAAACTATAACTCAACAACAAACAACTCAAATAGAAAATGGCCAAAGGACTTGAATAGACATTTCTCTAAGAAAGAAACACAAATGGCCAATAAACACATGAAAAGATGCTCAACATCACTAATCATTATGAAACTATAAATCAAAATCACAGTGAATTGCCACTTCACACCCATCCTGATGGCTATCACACCCATCAGGATGGCTATAATAAAGGCTGCAGTGAGCCGAGATGGCACCACTGCACTCCAGCCTGGCAACAGAGCCAGACTCCATCTCAAAAAAAAAAAAAAAGAAAGAAAAGTAACAAGTGTTAATGAGGATATGGAGAAATGGGAACCTTTGCACATTGCTGGTAGGAATGTAAAATGTTGCAAATTCTGTAGAAGACAGGTTAGCAGTTCCTCAAAAAGCTAACACAGACCATGTGATTCAGTAATTCCACTCCTAGGTATATACTCCAAAAACCTGAAAGCAGAAACTTGAACAGATATTCTTACACCAATGTTTACAGCATCATTATTCACAACAGCAAAAAGGTGGCAACAACTCAAATGTCTATCAACAGGTGAGTAGGGCCGGGCATGGTGGCTCACGCCTGTAATCCCAGCACTTTGGGAGGCCAAGGTAGGCGGATCATGAGGTCAGGAGATTAAGACCATCCTGGATAACATGGTGAAACCCCATCTCTACTAAAAATACAAAAAAATTAGCCAGGCATGGTGGTGGGTGCCTATAATCCCAGCTACTTGGGAGGCTGAGGCAGGAGAATGGTGTGAACCCAGGAGGCGGAGCTTGCAGTGAGCCGAGATCGTACCACTGCACTCCAGCCTGGGCGACAGAGCGAGACTCCATCTCAAAAAAATAATAATAATAAAACAAAAAAAAACAGGTGAGTAGATAAAATGTGGTATGTACATATAATGGTATATTATTCAGCCTTAGAAAGGAATGAAATTCTGGCACATGCTACAGCTTGGCTGGACCTTGAAAGCATTATGCTAAGTGAAATAAGCCAGACACCAAAGGACAAATATTGTATGATTCTATGGAATAGGCAAATCCATAGAAACAGAAAATAGATTAGAGGTTACTAGGAGACGAGGGGAAGGGAAACAAGGAGTTATTGTTTGGGGGAACAGAGCTTCTGTTTGAGGTGATGCAAAAAAAATTGGAAACGGATAGTGGTGATGGGTGTACAACATTGTGAATATACTTAATGCCACTGAATTACGCTTACAATGGTTAAATCACCAACAAAATCCTACATGCGACTGAATTCTGGATCTTGTTAAGTAAATCAAATCTATGAAGGGGAAAGGTATAAAGAAACTTGAGGGTAGTAGTAACCTCTGAGCAGGGAGGCATTCCTGGGGGTTTTCATTTGCACCAATCACATTTTATTTCTTGATCTAGATGACAGGCACATGTGTGTTTGTTGTTGTGTAGTTTTACAGAAGGTCTGCAGTAAATGACAATAATTAAAATTGACAAGATCAAGAGGCAAAACAGGAGCTTCGCCAGGGGGCAGCAAGCCTACCCTGCAGGAGTGAAGACAGACGCCTTCTTCCTGAGGTGGCGGCAGGTCATTTACTCTTCCGGGTCCCAATCATTTGAAAACCCCACCCCGTATCACAACTCTGCTCCAACACCTCCCCTTGATACTCCCACCCTCCCCACACAAGGGAGGGGCCTGCTACCCAAAGGGAACTCCTTGAGGACAGGGACTCCTAAGCTGCTAGCGTAGTGCCCTCTCAGGCCCGCAGGCTGGGTGGGTGGGCAGACTGACTGGTGTGAGGTAGGAGTTCCAGGGAAGCAGCCCCTTCCACTTCCCTGGGCTGCCTGGGCAGGGAAGGAGCTGCCTGGCATTGGCAGGATGGAAGGTGGGCAGGAATGGGAGCAGGGAAAAACAGGATAGCATGCGTGTTCATTTCCATGTGTTGGGGTCGGAGTCCTCCCTGCCATGGGTGGGGTCTGAAGTTGGTGAGGTAGCATCCAAGGCTTCCCTTTTGACTCTGGGTGCCTGCACTCCCAGCCCACTCTGTTTCCTGAAACCAACCATGTCCAGGCCCAGTCTAGTGCCTGGACCAGAAGAGGAAGATGTGGCTTTGCCAACTGACAAGCACGAGGAAGAACAGACTTTTGCCTGCTCTACCTTCCAGTCAAGAGGAAAAGACTCATGTGACATGAGTCCTCCCGCGGCACTGGGCAGCCCCACCAAGCCACACCTTCCATCTGGCCGGCTGGCCTTGGTGCTGGACACCTGGTCCCTGTAGCACCACTGTGTGGGAGGCAAGGCTTTGGTCAACTTGAAACCCCCACCCCCAATGCCAGTGATGGCCACAGTGGGTGGATCAAGCAGAGAGAGGAGTAACAAACATGGGGGCCACCACGTCCTACTGGTTATGGCTGGTGGCTTTCATTGCCATAGCCCTTTGTTGCATCAGCTAACAATTCTCATTTCAAATTCTCAAATCAGTAGTCAAAAATTGGCCAGGTGCAGTGGCTCAGGCCTGTAATCCCAGCACTTTGGGAGGCCGAGGTGGGTGGATCACTTGAGGTCAGAAGTTCAAAACCAGCCTGGCCAACATGGTGAACCCTGTCTCTACTAAAAATACAAAAAAATTAGCCAGGCATAATAAGGCATCTGTAATCCCAGCTACTCTGGAGGCTGAGGCAGAAGAATCTCTTGAACCCAGGAGGCAGAGGTTGCAGTGAGCCCAGATTGCACCACTGCACTCCAGCCTGCAGGGACACAGTGAGACTCTTTCAAAAAAACAAAAAAAAGGAGCCAAAGACTGCTATTGACAAGTTTGCTACATTTTGTGGTCAGAAAACGGATTGCTTTATACGACAAGACAGATTTCCATGTAATTTTGAGCATGTGGCCAATTGCACAAGACATTTTATAACTTTGGTAGAGTGAAGTTGCAAAAGGATCATGCCCAGAAGAAGATGCTTACGCACCATTCCAGGAGTACCCATACTTGCAACATGTCTGCCTGCAGAGTCGCACAGCTAGAGTACTGAGGAAGCTTCCTGAAAGGGCCCTTCGCACAGGCCTCCCAGCAGCACTTTCTTCCTCACCACATCTTGGTGTGCACACATGTTTTCTTTCTAGCTCTTGGCCAGTGCAGTGTACTGTGCCCTGTAGGATTAGATCCTTTGGCCATTACAGTCCTAGCTTTCACTGGTCACCCAAGAGGAGAAGACAGAACTCTGGAGAGAGGCCGAGCCACACCAGCCTAGTCCTGCATGCAAAATGATGCCTCAAACTTGCTCAGCCTTTGAGGAGCTCAGGCTGGACAAGGCCAATGATAAATAATGATTCCACTTTGGGGACAACCTGGGAGCATGTCAACATTTCCAGAAAAACAGATGCAATTTAAAGGTATAGCCCTTTGTCTCAGCAATCCTGCTTACAGGAATTTAATCAAGAGAGTGCTCTGCACAACCATAGAAAAACAAGCACAAGGGCCCTGTCCCTGTGTTGTTTACAGTGGCAAAGAATTATAAACAACCTAACACTCCCCTAATAGGGTACTGCCCATTAAAAAGTGAGTCCATCCACATGAAAGGACCCTGTTAACACATTTAAAAAGTGGCCACCATAGCCCATTGTGGACAAGGCTCAGGTAGGCCTAGCACAAAGCTCAGCTACTCATGAGCTTCAAAGCCCAGAAAGTTACTTTACAGCCCTGAATCTTGGCACCCTGAAGTCAGCACTGCCCCAGGCTTGCACTTGACCTTCACACCTGTCACTGTGCCCACAGGCCAGGCTGATGATGACAGTCTTTTGGGGAAACTGCAAAACATGTGGTAAGGGCCATGGCCACCTGTGCCCATCTGGGGGTCATTTGCCAAAGGAGGATTCAGGGCAGGTCACCTGCTTTTTTCCATCTGGCCTTCTAGTACTGGCTTTGACCTGCAATCTCTGTGAGACCTCGAACAAGATTCCCTACATGCTAGGCTGGGCTTTGTGTGGGTAAGAACACACTGCTCTGTGGCTGCCTTTATCTGATCATACAGCTCCATTAAACCATGGGACCAAACTGAGTTATATTAACAGGAGCAGCTACCCCTGCTGAGCACGTCACATGGGTTATCACATTTAAGTCACCAAAGATGCTGGGTGGGGTGGAGGGTCTTCATCATCACTCCGTCACCATCAGCCCCATGTCACAGAGAGGGAAACGAGCCTGAAGAGGTCGAGCCCCTGCCCCATGTCAAGCCAAAGGCTGGGACCCCCTCCACCACAGGCCCAGCCAACAAAGCCACATCACAGAAGCCAAAAGGTCATAGTCAGCATGCAAAAAGGTGCAAGACACCAAGTTCCCATGCCAGGGGTCTCAAGCCAAGAAGGCTTGGCTGCTTTCCTACAGCCCAGCAGAGCCTCCCAGGAGCACAACCGTCTGAATACCCAGCCCTGTGGTGGGCTGAGGGGAGTGCAGTGCAGTGGCCCAGGGTGGGAAGGATCCCAGTTTGAGAATGAGACCTGGCTGGGCCCAGAGGCGGTGGTGGTCCAGGGAGTAACCCTGGGCAGCTGCTCCTCCTCTCTCAGGAATCTCATGCCACCCCCAACCCAGGCCTCCATCTCCCTAAGACAGTGGGACAAGCTTCCTCATGGCCCCCCAGGCCCTCTTGTCCTAAGCCCGACCAGGCCAGGCCCCGGCCTCTGTAGCCATCATCCCACTGTGAGCATCGCTCCCTGGGATCCAGGTGCATGGTCCACCTTCCCTTCCTCCCCAGGGCCTTTGCACATGCTGTTCTCTCCTCCAGGTACAGGTGCTAACCTCCTTTCACCTACTCACTCCTCACCTTCCCTCAGGCATGGATTGCCCTCCTCACCACTGACCACATCCATCCTGGGACTTCTCTGTGCCACTTACTGGGACCTCAACAGGCTAATAGTGAGATGAGCTGTGGAAAGCCCACATCCCTGGCTGAGGGCTCCACGCCCTTGCCTCCCACCATGTGCTGAGCTTGGCCTGAGGCTGGCGCTGCGTCATGCTGGCCAAGGGGACACATGCAGGGGATGAGGCTGCACGTGGCCTACAGCAAACCCAACCTGCGCAGTCTGAGATGTGGATGCTGAGCTCATACACCTGTGCCAGGACCAACAGAAGGCACCCCCTGGGAATGTTCTAGATCCAGACCTGGTGATGGTTACCCAGGCATACACACAGATCAAAACCAACATGATGGACACTTCGTATGTCTGTTGCACCTCAATTAAAATGTTTAAAACAATTTTTTGAAAGCATTTTCTGGGCTGAGGCAGGATTGCTTGATGCAGTTGAGGAGTTGAAGACCAGCCTGGGCAACATAGCAAAACCCAGAAATTTTTTCTAAAAAAAAACTTGTTTTTTAATTAGCCAGGCACGGTGGTGTGTACCTATAGTCCTAGCTACTCAGAAGGCTGAGGCAGGAGAATCACTTCAGCCCAGGAGTTCAAGGCTGCAGTGAGCTAGCACTGTTCCACTGTACTCCAGCATGGGCAATAGAGCAAGACCCTGTCTCTAAAAGAAAAAAAAAAAAGGGCATTTTCTTTAGTGTCAAGTTTCTCTTTCCAGGAATCTCATCTCCCACATATTGATACATAATTAACAACTGAATTGGAAACTGCTACCTGGGAGATGATTCTGGACAGTGTGGACGAGGCCATACCACTTGGCCCCTTGTGCCCTGGCTGCTCGGGCGTAGCCCACCTGCCCTCTGGATCCTCTTGGTAAAAAGGGGCAGATGGGACTGGGCTGAGGCTACAGGCTGCCAACAAAACCCGAGGTGGAGCCCTGAAGTCTGACATCGCATCAGAGCTCTGCCAGGCCGCACCGTGTGACCCAGGGCAGGGTTTCCTGTTGGTAAGGCGTGGGCGCTGGCCTCTGCGGGCACCTCCGATGCCTGTGGCTCCTCTGAAGTAAGTCTGCCCTCCTGCCTCCCCTCTGCTGCCCCACTGTGGGTGCTTCCTCAGCCTGGGAACCTTGTGCTCCACATTCCAGGCCTCTGCCCTCTGCACACATCCCTCCACTCTCTAGCTGCTTCACCACTTTCTAAAACCTTCACGGTGGTCTATACCAAAAGCAGAGTGTATGTAAGGTGGGAGGCCGGGCGCGGTGGCTCACATCTGTAATCCCAGCACTTTGGGAGGCTGAGGTGGGCAGATCACCTAAGGTCAGGAGTTCAAGACCAGCCTGGCCAACATGGCAAAACCTCATCTCTACTAAAAATACAAAAATTAGCCGGGTGTGGTGGCACACGCCTTGTAGTCCCAGCTACTCGAGGCTTAGGCAAAAGAATCGCTTGAACCTGGGAGGCACAGGTTGCCATGAGCCAAGATCGTATCACTGCACTCCAACCTGGGCGACAGAGTGAGACTCTGTCTCAAAAAAAAAAAAAAAAAAAAAAAAAAAAGAGACTGTAAGATTGGAAACCTGGAGTTCTAACACCCAGGCAAGGGTGGGGGGCCCAGGCCGCTCAACCTCCACGGATGGCTCCTCAGGGTAACCTACTATTTCTTCTCCCTTGCAGGCGTGTCTGTGGATCCAGTCTGTGCAGGTGCTGCGGGCGCCCAGCCATGGGTAGGAGGCAGGGTACAACAGAGGTCGCTGCTGGGGAGACCCGAATCCCTTAGGGGCCCCTCCCAGAGTCAAGCACCTGATAGACTAGGGGATGGGGGATACAGTGCCTCAGGCTGGCCCCTGAGGAAGACTGGCCACTGTGCTCCAGATGTGTACTCCCTGCACTCTGGGCTGCACTGTGCCTGGGTGAGTGGCATCTGCAGCACAGAGGGCCTCGGGTGAAAGTAGGGAGGTGGGTATGGGTAACCCGGAGCACAGCCAGAGGCAGACCGAGGGGATAGAAGGCGCTGGTGTCCCAGCTCTTATGCAGTCACATAGCAGCAAAAGAAAGACAACTGCTGTTCCCTCTCCAGGGGAGATGAAGGCTCTCCTCATGGGCAGGCTTCAGAGGCCAGGAGTTACCAAGCTCCCACCTGGCAGAGCCCATCATGGAGCTGCTCTTCCTGCCATGTGCATTCACTTACAGACAGCAGTGGGGGAGAGCTAGAAGCTCCCAGAGCCACGTACACAGCAGGCACTCAATAAACGCTTGTCATGTGACTGGTATATAAAAATGCACTATCCGGGGAGGAAAAGCAGACACAGAAGCAGAGGCCTAGGGGGTAGTAGCTTCTCTCATAAGGATGAGGCTGGTGCTGCAGAATCTGCCCACTTTTGTCCACCCCTTGGACACCACCTGGATCAGGCCCCATCATCTCCACTGGGACCCTCCTCACAACATACTAGCAGTGTCCCTGCTACTAGTGCTGCCTCCTCAGGCTACCCCAGAACCAACTCTCCACAGAGTAGCCAGGGTGATGTCAGAACAAGCGGGGAGCCCGGACCAGCAGAAGGAGAAAAAGATATGGGCGAGGGTCAGCTGGGGACTCACCAAGGTGACTTCACACACATGAGGCAATTAAAAGACCGACTTCTCTGTATAGTCCAGGCAGGGGTCTGAACGGGAGAATGCAATACCACCTATAAAACATCCTTGCCCAAAAGTTCAAACCTGAATCTGATCACACTTCTAGATCAATCCACCGACTCACAAGAAACGCAAAGGTCAGAGCAACTTGCAAAGGTCCATCATCAGCAGAATCCAAGTGCAGGGAAACCCCACACAGTTCTTCAACAATAAATCCAAGTATAGAATGGATAAATGAGAGAGAGATGAGAGAGAGGAAGGGAAGCCTACAGGCTGTGAGAGGAACAAGATCCAACCATGAGAATGTGCTGCTCTTCACTGGACCCTGCTCATCTGAACACTGAGTGCGTATGTGAGGATGTCAAGATATCATTATTTGTCAGACATGACTATGATTCTGCAGTTATGTTGTTTAAACTCACCCTTTCAGGAACCTTTGTACATTGTTTGTGGGAATGCAAATTAGTACAGCCACTGTGGAAAACAATATGGAGATGCCTCAAAACACTAAAAATAGAAATATCATATAATCCAACAATCCCACTACTGGGCTGGGTATATAGAAGAAAGGAAGTCAATATATCAAAGAGATATCTGCACATTCATGTTTACTGCAGCACTATTCCCAATAGCCAAGACATGGAATCAACCTAAGTACCCATTAATGGACAAACAGATTTTTTAAAAATGTGATCCATATACACAATGGAGTACTATTCAACCATCACAAAGAATGAGTTCCTGTCATTTGCAGCAACACTGATGGAAATGGAGGTCGTTATGTTAAGTGAAATAAGCCAAGCACAGAAAGTCAAAAATCACATTCTCACTCATGGTGCGGAGGCTAAAAAAGTGGATCTCAGGAAGATAGGGAGTAGATGGGTAGTTATCAGAGTTCAGGAAGGGAAGGGAGGATGGAGGGTTAAAGATAGACAGTTAGATAGAAGAATTATCTAATATACAGTTAGATAGAAGAAATGAGATCTAGTATTTGACAGGTCAGTATGGTGACTGTAGTTAACAACCTGTTATACATTTCAAAATAACTAGAAGAGAATAATTCAACTATTTCTAACGGTAAATATTTAAGGGTGGCTCACACCTGTAATCTCAGCACCTTGGGAGGCAGAGGTGGAGGTGGGAGGACTGCTTGAGGCCAGGAGTTCAAGACCAGCTTGGGAAACATTGTGAAACCCCATGTCTACAAAAAAATTTTTTTATTAGCTGGACATGGTAGCAGACACCTGTAGTCCCAGCTCCTTAGAAGGCTGAGGTGGGAGGATTGCTTGAGCCCAGGAGTTCAAGGTTACGTGAGCTATGATCTTGCCACTGTACTCCAGCCTGGATGACAGAGAAAGACCTTGTCTCAAAAAAAAAAAGTTATCTAGGATTTGGCTTACAATCACCCTAGGGATTAGGGGGACATACAAAACAGGACCCCCACGAGGTGAGGCTAACAAAGTTATGTGAAGAGAACACAAAATTCCCATCTCCATCATCTCTTCTGGCTAATTTTATACAGGTTTCAAATCTTCCATGATAAAAAGGATTTTTGTAGTTGTTGTTTGTTTGAAATCTCAGATCCCACCAGAGGAGTGAAGGAAAGCAGAAAGGTGGGAACATCTCTGTGGCACAGGGCCTGGCCGACAGCGAGGGATTTCCAACGATTCCCCAGAAGTTTGGGGTGTTCTGCAAATGCTCATTGCCAGCTTCCTTTTTCAAGTAAACTTTTAACCCATCTTTTTGAAATCTCAGTTAAAAAATACCCACCTCACATCCAGAAGTGACAGGATACGGTGCACTCTGTGACCGGGGCTGGCCTACACACTCTTTGTGATTGTCTGAGAGAGATAAGTACAGAATCAAAAGTCAGAGGGTAGAAACTTTTACAGTTTTATCATTTGACACAGCAACCTATGTCTGTTGAGTCTAATAAGCAGATAGTGGGCTTATCTTTTTTATATATCTTCCATTTTATTATAACAATTTTCATCATATTTTAAAAATTGGCCCATGAAAGATTAAAATTTTAAAAACAGTCATCTAGTCTTTCACCATGGAGAGCTTGAGAAGCACTGTTATGGACCAGACATGGAACCCCTGCAGACCCCAAATCCACCAGCTTAGGAGGTTGGCCACAGATGCCAGGACAAATCTTCCCTTCCCACTGTCTGCTGCGCCGACTCCAGTACTTCCTATAAACACATCACAGGCGCTGCAAAGCCTGTTTGATTTTCTGCGCTCATTGGCACACTTCCACACCAGTACAAGCAGAGCCACTTCCAGCAGACACCTCTGTCACCCAGGCTGGAGTGCAGTGGCAGCTTCACAGCTCACTGCAAGGTCCAGGTTGTGTGCTGGGTGCCCCTGCTGGTCAAAGCACCTTGGCCAGCCAAGGTTAGCCAGCCAATTTTCACACACATGCCCACTGCTGTTTCCTCTTCAGACTTCTGGGTGGGTTTAACCGCAGAGGGTCCTAAGATTGCAAGGTGAGTGTTTGAAAAACTGACTGCTTCTTTGTATCAACTGGAAATCACTCTATCACTAAAGTACTGAAATTAATCAGGAGCTGGGACTAGTGTAAGACATCAACCTGCACCCATGGCCCTAGGTTTCTAGTGTGCTCCTGAAAATGGTATCGCTGTTCTAACTATGATACACACACACACACAAATCACAAATATAAAGTTATAAAATAAACTCACAGGCTGGGCGCAGTGGCTCACGCCTGTAATCCCAGCACTTTGGGAGGCCAAGGCAGGAGGATTGCTTGAGGCCAGAAGTTCAATATCAGCCTCAGTAACATAGCAAGACCCCATTTCTAAACAATAAAAAAAGAAAGAAAAAATTAGTCAGGCATGGTGGTGTGCACCTGTAGTCCCAGCTACTTCAGAGGGTTGCTTGAGCCCAGTGAGCGGATTGCACCACTGCACTCCAGCCTTGGCAACAGGACAACACTCTGTCTCAAAAAAAAAAAAGAAAAAAGAAAAAAAGAAAAGCGCAAAGCTAAAACCAAACCACATAGTGATTTTATCAAGTTCACAGCTGGCCTGAGTTTCATCCTCCCTCTTCTTACATAGCCTCACTCATCTTGTTTCTTCCTCCATAAAGTGTGGAATGTGATGCTACATCTACGACCCATATATTATTAATAACAAATAAATTCAAGTATCATGGATCAAAAAATATACCACCGATCCTGTTGCATGTGCCCAACATACGGCCCAACGTAGGGTGACAGGGTGATCCTCCCTGCAGCCCTATGAGGCTAACTTCATCACCCCTGTTTACAGATGGAGCTTTGAGAGAACGACAACAGTACCTGTCTCCTCTGCATCCGAGGCTTTCTTTGAGACCCCAGTGTGATAACAACAATGTAAAAATCAATGCAAGTACCCAGGAGACAAGGCACAGGGACCACAGCCATGAACAGAACACATGTATGTGACCTCAAGGGGTTTCTCCTAGGAACCAGGAGGAGTGGGATTAACGCTGAGTTAACACCTAGCCTGAGTCTGCGGGCTTTCCTGGGCCAGCCCCTCCTACTAGAGCAGAGAAAATGTGTTTTGTAGCCCTGCTGGGAACAGTGGGGTGCAAGCCCTCAGTGTGGCTTCAGGGTCTTTCCCTCAAAGCAGGCATTAAAATTGACCCTGCCAAGCTTAACCAGCTGGAGCAGAACATGGGGTTGAGGGAGCACCGAGGCCAGGAGTGCTCCCAACAGTTCCTCTCCCAGCTCCGGCTCACCACCAGGGGCCCTGGGAGACAGCCAGTATGTGCCAGAAACGGCTCACTCTTCACGAGACAATGAATCCACTGTTGACCAGCCAGGGCCTTGATTAATATTTGCAAAAGAACGAACTGGAAAATTCCACCTGTGTGGGTGGAGGCTGGACCCGCAGGACTTGTCAACAACCCTGATGGCCTTGTTCTCCCAGGGATGGATCAGGCAAAGAAGCAAAGGTCGGAATAACAATGACAGAATCTGGGGATTACCGTGACTCTTGGGTCCTAGGGAATTTCCCCCCCCACCTTTTTTTTTTTTTTTTGGTTCTGCCTCTCCTGCCCCTAAATTTACACAGCACTCTTAAATCCTTCAACTTGCTTTCCTATCTGCTGTTTTGCTGTTTCTTCTGCGTTTCCTAACAGCCCTGCTGGGGAGGCAGAACTGATGTCAGCCCCATGTTACAGATGGAGAAACAGGTTCCAAAAGACTAAGAGCCTCACTCAAGGCCAACAGATGGTGAATGAGCCGCAGAACCAGGTGGTCTGGAAGCCAGGCATCTCACCGCGCTGTGGCTGCACAGAGTCTGTGCAGACCCTAGGGTCTGGGTCAGGGCCATAGGTACTTGACCCAGTGATCTTCCAGGCTCTGGCAGAGGCCCTGACCTTTGCTCTGCTTGTGAAGAAAGAGGAGGAAGTTCAAACCAGCTCCCCTGGGTGGGCAGGCTCAGGCACTGGCCTTGGATGAAGGTAGGTGTTAATTTATTCATCCATTCAAGCATTTAATGAGCACCCCCTACAAAGCCCCCCCGGACAGGAAGGCACACTGGCTGGTAGCTCTTTCAGAAACCCAGACCTAGCAGAATTTATGACTGAAGGGAGAAGGTCAGAAAATGTCCAAAGGTCGCTTCTCTCATAGACTCAAATCACTTCATCGCCCCTATCACCACCCCATTTTACAGAAAAGGAAACTGCTCTGAGAAGAGCAGTGACTTGCCAGAGCCTCCAGTTCAAAAAGCCACAAAGTCATCAGGCTTAGGCAGCCAAATAAATTGTGTGCCTTCCGGCAGGCCACCTGGGACCTCTCATGCAGGGCCACTTGAGGCATGGCCTTCTGAGCTAGGGGGGAAAACCCCCGAGGGGACAGGCAGACACACCTGTTTGCCCACCTCAACCTCCAGTTGTGGCTACAGGGCCCTTCACACCCTCTCCTCCACTCCACAGCCCCAACTACGAAACTGAACCAGGTATCACCCCATCCCTAAGCCCCAGGGGGCCAGGGCAGTGTCATTCTGAACCCAGAACAGCAGGAAAGCCACTTGGCCTGGGTCTTGGGTCTCTGCCTGGCAGCCCCTGCCTGAGTACTCCTCCTTCTTACAGCTCAGCCACCTCCAGACCACCCTCACCTGACACTTCTTCCCCTGGGGGGAGAAAGAACCTCAGCCCTTCTCTTTTTACAAAACCCCCTCCCCTATCCTTTTGCCAAGGCTTCCTGTGACTGCCACCAACCAGCCTCAGTGCCCTTGGTCTCTCTGCCCCATCTGACCCCATGAGCTCCTCCCTCACTACTGGGCTTTCCTGCTGCAGCCCCTTAGACCTCCCCACCTCCTCAGGCAAGCTCTCCTCCCCAGGGCTCTATCCTCCTCTCCTCTCCACTGCCCCCTGAGAAAGTCTGACTCATGAACCCTGTCTCCAGGCCTAACCTCCGCACCCTGGTTGTCTCAAAGCCTGTGTGCCGAACAACACCAAGCTCACAGCAGGGCCTGCCCTGGCACACAACTGAAAAGCCAGCACAGCCCAGAGCCTGGCCCACAGCACAGAATCAGATACTCACGGAATGAACGCATGTTAGTGAATGGCTGCCTGCTCGCTCGTCTCAGAGGGACTAGCCCTCTATTTTGCCCTGCAGAGCCAACCAGGTGGCCTTTCTAAAACCAAAAATGGATGACCATTTAAGCCTGTACCATTGTTCCTCAGCACCATGGGACAAAGTTCACAATCTTGAGCTTGCAGACGAGGCTGTTTTCATCTGGGCTTCCGCAGCAAGGCGGGTACTTGTGTCCTTGAAAATAATTCTCACTGCACTCATCCTCACTCCAGGAGTACCCATCAGCCAGCACCCATGTGTGGTTCACCTTTGCACCCAGCAGGTATTTGCTGAACAGGAAGATGACTATTAGAGCTGAAAATGTTCTCAAGGGCCACAGGGCCCAAAGCAACTCAGAGAGGTGGAATGAGGGGCTCAGGGTGGCCCAGTCCCAGGCAGGGGTGCGGCCACAACCTCAACTGAGTTCCTTGGTCAGGAAACAGAGCAATTCTCTGAAAATGCTACCTGCAACTCCACACGTATGCATGCCAGAGCCCAAACCCCTGGCTGATCCCCAGTCCATGCAAGCCTTAATCAAGCTGGCAGGTGGGCCAGGCCTGGCACACAAGTAGGGCCTCAGCTAAAACAGCTGCTTGACTTAGTACAGCCTCTCACCAGCTGACAACACACCCCTAAGTTCCATACCCCTCTCTAGGCCTCCGTCTTCTCATCTGTAGAATGGAGCTAATTCTGCCTACAAGTTTAAATGGCCCTGAGTTGGTCACCACAACCCTGTCGTTTGCAAACCGAGGGGGCTGAAGCAGCAGTTCCAGCCTCTGTGACTCCACTGTTAGCCCAGCTGATTTTTGTGAACTTTCCCCCAAACCCACTGTGTCTCAAAGGATGGTCCCTGGGCCACCCACCCACGAATTACGGGGGCGTGGGTGGAGGCTCGTTAAATGCAGATCCCGGGCCTGACCCGGACCTGCCGTCTGGATCTCATTTTAGGCGGCGCTAGAGATCCCGGGCCAGGGAAACTTGAGAACCGCAGCTCCAAATCGCCAGTGCTGACGGCTTCCGCTTTGGGAGCCCCAGGTGTTGCTGTCCGAACTCACTTGGTGGAAACAGACATTTACCAGAAAGCCTGGGGTCGGGCAGCGGGCACTCCTACCGCTCTAACCCCGCGTAGCTGAAAGAATTCGCTCCCTCAAAGGAGTCAGTGAGCTTCGGCAGTCTGCGTTCCACCCGTTTCGCTTCGCGCGGCGGGGCGATTGTGTAAAGCGGGCCCGGGTCTCGGCGTCCAGCCCGGCCCCAAACCTCCGGCCCCCAGGCCTCTCCGGGCTAGCGGCCGGGCGGCGCTGCTGCGGGGTGGTCGGGGCGCCTCCGCGGCTACTCACCCGGGGCGACTCGGCCGAGAGCCCGACAGTCGGGACCGGAGCGGGAGGAGCGGGTGGCCGCGGCCCGGCCCCTGCCCCGCGGCACTTTAACCGGCGGCGCCGGCGCCCCGCGCGCTCTCTGCGTCCGGAATGGGGACGCAGCAGTTCCGACCCGGTCGGCCCCGGAGCCGCGAGGCTAGCTGGGCTCCAGCGGAGGCGCGCGAAGCCCGAGGGCGGGTGCAGCTGATGCACCTGGCTCACTGCATGCACGTGTGCGCGGGGGTAGGCGCGCGCCGCGGCGGCCCGTGCTCCGCCAGCGCTCGGACACGGCCCATCCCTCCGAGCCCCAGCAGGCGAGGGCGCTGCGACCTGCCCCAGCCTGGGAGGGGGCCAGCGGGCCCGCCCTCTGTTCGGGTGGCGGGAATGGGTCGGCGCTGCGAGAGGCGGAGCCGAGAAGGGGCGGCCCGGCGGCGCCGGGATAAAAGCGCAGCGTGCGGGTGGCCTGGATCCCGCGCAGTGGCCCGGCGATGTCGCTCGTGCTGCTAAGCCTGGCCGCGCTGTGCAGGAGCGCCGTACCCCGAGAGCCGGTAAGCCCCCGCCAGCACCTCTTCCCTCATCTCCCGGCCCTCGAGCCCAGATCCTGACGTCGTCTGATCCGCCAGTCCAGGCTGCCCCGAAGGCGTGCGCGGACTGCCGGCTCAAGGGGCATGCCTGCACCCTCAGGGCAGCCCCGGACATCGGCGTCAGGTTGCTTGAGTCAGGGGCGTGGGAATCAGACAGACCCGGTCTCAGATGCCACCCTGTACTGTTGGTTCTGTCATTTATGCTCACCAAGTTCCAAGTCCCGAACGGTAAAACGAAGGGCAGTACCGAACCCACCAGGGTCTCTTAAGGTATAACGACATGGCCTGCAATTAGCGGCGAAGGGCCTGGCACGTAGTTATTGTTACTTGGGGTCTGCTCACCTGTTGGGGCACAAGAACTGTTTCTCCATTAGTACCCCCTCCCTTTTTGGCCATATTGATTGCCATGTTCACTCGTGAAGGCAGTTGCCTTTCTTCCCCAGTACCCTGAATGATCGAGGGAATCTTCTGGGTCACTGAAGAGAAAATAGCTCATCCCCCAAATAACCTTTGAAATGATACCGCTGCCCTCTTAGAATAGCATATAGCATCAAGCTCCGTAGTCACCTGCTGGTGGACAAACCCCATTCACTGTTTCCTGATGTCTTCAGCTCCTATCCTTCCCCTCTGTGTCAGTTCAGAAGCCCTCTTGGCTCTTTGCACTAAAGGGAAGAATTCATCCCTTTTGCTGTAGTTGCTGCAAGGCCAACAATTTGAGCTTGGTAGCATTTAGGGTTGTTGCTTGGCCTCTCACCGGCCGTTTGATAAGAACTCAGCTCCTGGTATGATGGCTCATTTGTTAAAAAAAAAAAAAAAAAGTCAAGTCTGGCCGGGCTCGGTGGCTCACGCCTGTAATCCCAGCACTTTGGGAGGCTGAGGCGGCCGGATTGCCTGAGGTCAGGAGTTTGGGAACAGCCTGGCTAACATGGTGAAACCCCGTCTCTACTAAAAATACAAAAAGTAGCCGGGCATGGTGGCAGGCGCCTGTAATCCCAGCTACTCCGGAGGCTGAGGCAGGAGAATCACTTGAACCCGGGAGCCAGAGGTTGCAGTGAGCCGAGATCTGCGCCACTGTACTCCAGCCTGGGTGACAAAGTGAGACTCTGTCTCAGAAAAAGGAAAAAAAAATCTGATGATATCCCTTAGAGTTCATTTTTTAAAAGACAAATAAATGATTGACAATTTTGCCCAAACTCAAATCATTCAAACCATCAAAAGGAGATCTTAGAAGGTGTTTGGAAATGTGGATGCTCAGCAGCATATTCCAGAGCTGCTGGACGTATCACATTGAGTCTTGTCATTTGAGCTTGCTGCTGCCTAAAGCCCCAATATTTTAGGTTCAGTATTTTATTCCAGAACCAAAGCACAAATTATTTTTTCTTATGAAAAAACACGAGCAGCTAACTTCAAACGATTTAGTACCAGCCTTTCTTGAACACTAATAATTGCTTATGGTTTCGTGAATTGCTCAGTGAGTCCTTTTGTGTTAGAAGGGGAACATTTTAAAGAACCTGAGGAAAGTACCATGGACTGCATTCAGAGCTTTCTTTTGTTTATCTCCTTAGCATAGCTACTCCTTAACCTGGGGTAGCCCAGTAAATACTCTAGGCCGTCCTAAAAACCTAGAGTTAAACATTAGAGTGTGAAGGGGCCTCACATCGGTCCCAAGTCATCCCCTGCTTGCAGCAGGGAAGGATGACATCCAGAGACAGATGGAGACCCACCTGTGGTCTTCAAGTGAGGTTATGCACTGGCTTGAGGATCAGGTATACTGATGGCTAATCCATGGTCCGTCATAGCCTACAGTGGGACAGCTTAGTTCCCCCCTAAGCTGTGAAGCAGAACCAGTTCATCTTTTCTTTGAAAGTTTGTCACTTGTATATGCATTTAAGGGGAAAATGGTGTTCTGCCTAATTTGGCAAAGGAAAGCTTGTGGTTTGCCGGCTTCAACGTGACGCTTGGTTTTTTCTCTCCCACAGACCGTTCAATGTGGCTCTGAAACTGGTAGGTGCATTAGAGAATGGGTATTTGGGGCTTTACATTGAAAGCACAGTTGGACTTTTAGGAAGCCTAATATAGGCAATAGGTCATCGAAGACCAGACACAGGGTGACCCATTGCTTTATTGGCTGATGCAGATGAAGTCTCTGTCTGCTCGAAGCAGAACTCTGGGGCTCTGTGGGAATGAGGCCGTGTTTCAGACAGGCTAGCCTCTTGGCCAGTCAAGATGGGACTTGCCATACAAGGTGGAAAGTGATGCCTGCCACTCTGCAGAGGGAGATCAAGGCCGTGGAAGGAAGGTCACTTAGAGTTGGGACCGAGAAGCAAATGTTTCATAGGAGAGCGGGTGTTTGAGATGGTGGCATTTGAAGAATGGGTAGGCTTCTGCCCAAAAAATGTGGGTAGGAAGAGTGAGCTGGAGGAGAGATGGCACCAGCAAAGGTTAGGAGGTGGGAAAGTGGGGGCTGTGTGGGCCAGCTGGCTGGAATCCAGGGCCAAAGCCTGAGGAAGGCAGGCCTGACTCTAATAAACATGTCAAATACACTAAATATATACATGTGTACATACACAGGTACCTGGAGTGGTCCCACGTGCTCTGTAGGTGAAAGCCAGGAGGTTGAGAGTACTTCTGTTAGATCAAAATTATCTGGGCTATAAATCAGCCAGCGCTAAGAAACATTTGGCCTTAGCAGGAAGAACTGAGGAATTGGGTCAGGCGTGGTGGCTTATACCTATAATCCAAGCACTTTGGGAGGCTGAGGTGGGAGGATCATTTGAGGCCAGGAGTTTGAGATCATCTTAGGCAACAGAGTGAGACCCCATCTCTACAAAAAACATTTTTTTAATTAAAAAAAAAAGAAGTGAGGAATTGTGAATGGGGGAAGGTTTGGTGTGAGTCACTGAGAGGAGATGGCATGGCATCAGACTGGGCTGGGAAAGACAGTGTCATGGAAGTCTTGCTTTTTCCCAGGGCCATCTCCAGAGTGGATGCTACAACATGATCTAATCCCCGGAGACTTGAGGGACCTCCGAGTAGAACCTGTTACAACTAGTGTTGCAACAGGGGACTATTCAATTTTGATGAATGTAAGCTGGGTACTCCGGGCAGATGGTAAGTTTGCATCCATCAGAGATAAGGCCCAAAGTGTCTACTAAATCAGAAATGTGCAGACTATATGAACCATTAATTCCCCTTCTACGCATAACCAACAGAAATACATGCATACACGCACCAAAAGCCACATACTAGGGTGATCGCAGTAGCACTACTTACAACAGGCAACATTAGAAAGCACTCAAATGCCCAACAGTAGAAAGGAATCACCAGATAAATTCCGTCACAGCAACAAGAATGAATGATCTGTAACTACGTACAACAATATGGATGAATGTCACAAACATAAGGCAGATTCAAAAGAGTTTGTACATTTATATCTGTGTGCATGCCTGCAGGCATACATGCCATATGATCCCATTTACAGAAAGTGCCAAGCAAACAAAACCAATCTAGTGTTTAGAAGTCAGGATAGTAGCCAGGAGCGGTGGCTAACGCCTGTAATCCCAGCACTTTGGGAGGCCGAGGTGGGTGGATCACTTGAGGCCAGGAGTTCGAGACCAGCCTGGCCAACATGGCAAAACCCCATCTCTACTAAGAATACAAAAATTAGCCAGATGTGGTGTTGCACACCTGTAATCCCAGCTACTCGGGAGGCTGAGGCACGAGAATCGCTTGAACCCAGGAGGCGGAGCTTGCAGTGAGCTGTGATCGCACCACTGCACTCCAGCAGCCTGGGCAACAGAGTGAAACTCCGTCTCAAAAAAAAAAAAAAAAGCAAAAGACCAGGCGTGGTGGCGCATGCCTGTAATCCCAGCACTTTGGGAGGCCAAGGCGGGTAGATTACTTGAGGTCAGGAGTTCAAGACCAGCCTGGCCAACATGGTGAAACTCCATCTCTCCTAAAAATACAAAAAATTAGCCAGGCATGGTGGCACATGCCTGTAATCCCAGCTACTTGGGAGGCTGAGGCAGGAGAATAACTTGAACCCAGGAGGTGGAGGTTGCAGTGAGTTGAGACTGTGCCATTGCACTCCTGCCTGGGTGACAGAGAGACTGTCTCAAAATAAAATAAAATAAAATAAAATAAAAGTCAGGGTAGTGGTTCCTGCTGGGGTAGGAATAACTGTAAGGAAGTATGAGGAGCACACCTGAGGGAGTTTCTTAACCTGCATACTGGTTGCATGAGTGTCCCGATGCATCAAGTGGTACACTTATGTGTGTACTTTTCTGTGTATGTACTTCATGGAAGAAGATAAGGTAAGGCGAGAGATGATTTTCCCCACCCCACTTCAGTTTAGGGAAAGCACTGGCTTAGATAGATTACTTTTCCACTTCCCAGATGACGTCACGAAGCTTTTGGCATTTCCCCAAGATTGTGCTGCAAGGCACCATATGAGTTCTTTCAGTGAGCTACTCCTGGGATCCTAATGCCCATCCTTTTGGTTTCCATCTGCTAAATTCAGATCGGAAAAAAGTCTACCTGGTCAAGAATCCATGAGTGCCAGGCACAGAGAGAGGAGTCACCTACAGTCTCCACCCAGGAGGATTCAGAGGGGTAGGGGAGGCAGACACAGGCACAATGTCAGGGGAGTCCCAGAAGGGAGCTGTGCTTCATCTGAGTGGGATAGGGCGAGAGGAGCTGGAAAGGGTCTCTGGTGAGGTTGCTTTAGGTGAGATGTGGCCATAAGGGTTTGGGCCCTTACCTGGCACAGAGTGAGCTCTTTGTCAGCTGTGGTTATGGGCTGTGGTGCATGAGTGAGTTGGGCTTTAAAAGAGTGAAACTTGAAGAGGTAGATAATGGGAGGAAAGGACCTTCAGGGAGAAGAATCAGCATGGATAAAGGTGCAATCGGAACAGGTGTGGTTTGGTGATGACAGTCTTGGAGGGTCTTTGTGGGTCTCCCTGAGGCCAGCCTCTTCCTCTTAAAAGAGACCCAGAATAGTGCAGAGCTATAGCCACCTTTGCAGGCATCCTATGAAATTCAAGCTGACCTATGAGGAGGAGGGAGCTTGGGCTTTGGAATCTGAATTCGTATCTGCTACTTGCTGATGAGTTTTCTAAGTTTAAGCAGAGCTCCCTGAAACTTCCTAAGCCTCACGAACCCCATCTGTAAACTGGAGACAGTGGTGCCTACCTTTCAGTACTATTGTGAATATGAACCGAGACATAAAATAAAGCATGCTAGTAAAGCATCTAGCATCAAGTCAGCCACACAGCAAGTGCTAAATAAACCAATGTCCTCTTGCCTATCTCGGCAGCCAGCATCCGCTTGTTGAAGGCCACCAAGATTTGTGTGACGGGCAAAAGCAACTTCCAGTCCTACAGCTGTGTGAGGTGCAATTACACAGAGGCCTTCCAGACTCAGACCAGACCCTCTGGTGGTAAAGTAAGCACTTTTTTGTTTTTTGTTTTGTTTTTTGAGATAGCATCTTGTTCTGTCACCCAGGCTGGAGTGCAGTGGTGCGATCATGGCTCACTGCGACCTCAATCTTCTGGGCTCAAGCGATCGTTCTACTTCAGCCTCCCAAGCAGCTGGGACTACAGGCATGAGCCACCAGACCTGGCTAATTTTTGTAGTTTTTGTAGAGGGGGGTTTCACCGTGTTGCTGGTCTTGAATTCCAGTGCTCAAGCGATCTGCCTGCCTCAGCTTCCCAAAGTGCTGGGATTACAGGTATGAGCCACTGTATCCGGGCATAGACACTTTTATGTATTTGGCTAATTGTTGCTGAAAGCTATGCCCTTTGTTTGGGGAGCATGGATGATGTGCTGCTCACACGGGCTGGTAAATAGCTATGACTCAGAGCTTAGAGCAAGATCCCTTGGTTCAAATCCCATTTTCGGCTACTTCTCTGTTTTGTGCCTTTTGTAAGTCAGCATCTCTGGGCCTCAGTTTTTCCCTACCAGCCAATGGAAGAGAATTGGACTTAAATTATATCCTGGCTTTAAAACTTTATACTTCTCTGATTCTGTAAATTGTTTAGTGCCCATTCCCTAAGTAGACATTGGTTGGAGACCTAAGTTTTCACAGAGTGAGTAATGAAATACAAACTAAAAGGGCAACACACTAAGGTATACTGTTTCTGTACTGCAGTGTTTTGGGAATTGAGAGTTCCTTGCTTTGCCTTTCAGTGGACATTTTCCTACATCGGCTTCCCTGTAGAGCTGAACACAGTCTATTTCATTGGGGCCCATAATATTCCTAATGCAAATATGAATGAAGATGGCCCTTCCATGTCTGTGAATTTCACCTCACCAGGTAAACTTCCTCATTTGTTTATTATTCTTTGTCTTGCTGGGATGCCTGCTTTGCGATATGCACAGAGAGAGCCCAGGGAACCCTGGATAAGGCTTTTGGCCTTGCTAAATCTCAGTTCCCTTATCTAAAGCATGGACACAGTAGTAACCATACTTTACCCACAGAGCAGAGAGAATAAAGTCAGGTAAAATGTAGGAAAAAGTCTGTTCCTGTATGCCAGGCACTGTGCTGAATACTTGATATGCATCATCTCACTTAAGCATCTCAGCAACCCCAAGGTTGGGATAGCTGCATTTTACAGATGAAGAAACTGAGAGGTTAAGTCACTTTCCCTGGGTTATACACACATAAAAGTGAAGCTGACATTCACACTTTGGTCCTTCTAGAGCAATGCACCTGAGCCACTCTTTATATCACTGATGCAAAATGTTTGTTCGTTCCTATCTCAGCTTTCTAGAGTGGGCTGCATATGGCTGGGCCTCTGAGAATCTACAGACTCCAGTTGGCTTGTCCCCAAGCTGTCCATGAGAGGCAGGGTGGTCCTGAGTTGGATGCTGGGCCCTTGCCCCAGCTTTGTGACACAGGACCAGTTCTCTGGTACCACAGCTGCAATGTCACACACAGGGCTGTGATGAGGATGAGACAGGATGGTGTGTGTGAAGGGTCTATCTGAGCCGAGTCACCCATCCCATACCACCATCCTGTCATCTGTCACAGGCAAGGCATCAAAGCCAAACGGTAATTTCCAATTCACTGCTGGTCTTGGAGATTGTGGTCCAGGGTGTTTTTGGTGCTGCACCATTTACTACACGTGGTTTCCAACTTTCTTGATGAGAGCAAACCTCATTTTGTTTTCAAATAAGCTTTTTTATTTTGGAATTCTTTTATTTTATTATTTATTTATTTATTTATTTTTTAGACGGGGTTTTGCTCTTGTTGCCCTGGCTGGAGTGCAGTGGCACCATCTCAGCTCACTGCAACCTCCGCCTCTTGGATTTAAGTGATTCTCCTGCCTCAGCCTCCCAAGAAGCTAGGATTACAGTCATGAGCCACCACACCCAGCTAATTTTTGTATTTTTAGTAGAGACGGGGTTTCACTATGATGGCTAGGCTAGTCTCAAACTCCTAACCTCGGGTGATCTGCCTACCTTGGCCTCCCAAAGTGCTGGGATTACAGGAGTGAGCCACCGTACCCAGCCTTATTTTGGAATAATTTTAGATTTACAGAAAAGTTGCAAAGATAGTACAGTTTCCATATACCTCTCACCCAGCTTCTCCTATTAACGTCTTGTATTACCATGATACATTTGTCAAAACTAAGAAACCAACATTAGTACGTGTCTGTTAACTAAACTCCAGACTTTATTTGGACTTCACCTGCTTTTTCATGAATGTCCTCTTTCTGTTCCAGTTGCATTTAGTCCCTGTGTGTCTCTCCTCTGGTCTGTAACAGTTTCTTAGTCTTTGTTTTTCAGAACGTTGACAGTCTTGAGTTCTGACCAGGCATCCTGTAGAATGTCCCCCAGTGTGGGTTTGTCTGATGTTTGTCTCATGATTAGACAGGGAATTCATACCACAGAGGTGCCGGGCCCTTCTTATCCCATCAGGGGTCCATGGCACCCACATGACACCAGGCTGGGGGTCACCATCAACACTAGATTAATGTGGGGACTGCCAGACTTCTCCATGTAAATCTACTGTTTTTCCCAACTCTCGTTTTTGGAAACAAGTCACTAATTCTACCCCACCCTGGGGTGAGGATAGGGGAGTGTTAGGCTTCATGTCCTTGAAGGGGCAGCATCTACAGATATTACCAAATGTCCTTTTCAAATGATGGATGGTTTTCGAGTCCTCTCTTAGGGATCAAAGATACTGTTTTGATAAAGGCTGTATTTAAATTAGACTCTGGTTATCACGTAATGGGCAGATGTTCTCTGTTTAGCAGTAAAATGTTAGAGCCCCACAAAAAATTAGCCGGGCGTGGTGGCGGGCGCCTGTAGTCCCAGCTACTCAGGAGCCTGAGGCAGGAGAATGGCGTGAACCTGGGTGGCAGAGCTAGCAGTGAGCTGAGATTGCGCCACTGCACTCCAGCCTAGGCGACAGAGCAAGACTCCGGCTCAAAAAAAAAAAAAAAAAAAAAAAAATTAGAGCCCCATTTGAATTTGCCATCTTACATCTGGAATGTTTTGGCAATTTGTTACAGGTGTGGTATGCGTATGTGTGTGTGCACTTGGCAAAGGGGGTGGGGCAGAGATACCTTTTTCTAAAATGTAAAAACTTTCATTCAAATTTCCAGGCTGCCTAGACCACATAATGAAATATAAAAAAAAGTGTGTCAAGGCCGGTAAGTAAATACGGCATTTGCTTTTATTATTTGAAGAAACTTGTAACTTGAGGCAGCATAGCTCTCTTCATCTTTGCACAGAAGAACTGAGCCCTAGGGGAGAGTTGAATATCCAAGCACCCCCGATGGTGGTGGCAGAAGCACCTATGGCTCCTGATCTCCAGCCAGTACTTTGCCCACTGAGTGCAGCAGCCTGTCCAGAAAGGGGTAGACCCTCAGTACATTTATATAGTGGAGCAACAGTCACAAAGAACCACCCCCATCCACTTGGTTAACAACATTTTAGCCCAAATGGCTCAGCAGTGCCAATCAAAGGCTCTTCCTGATTGATGGGAGTCCTACGAGCCCTTCCACCTGCTCAGATGCTAGCACCACCCACCTGTGGCCATGGGGATCCTAAGAACCTTCTGTTTGGATTAGCAAACATTCGAGGTGGGAGTGTGAGTTCGCTAAAGGACTGGCCCACAATTACGCTCTCAATTTGTGTCCTCAAAGAGGATCACTTTTCACAGGCTAGTGAATTTTACCCCTTGAATTTTGTAGTAATCCCCTTTAGGATTATTAGTCCCTAGTGCCCAGTTTCCAAGGGTTTGTGTAAATTTCTGAGTAATATAGTGTTGGAATGCTAATGAGGCTAGTGGTATTTGGATCAGCCCAGAACTCTTAGGCACCCTTCACTGCACAAGGCATCCCTGGTACCCTTTCAGACAGCCGTCCATGCTGTCCTTGCTAGAAGGCAGATTTGGACGCTGAGCTTCCCACCAAGGGTACAGAGAACACTGCAGGTGTGAGGAGGTCAGAGGGCCTTGAAGTCAGTCCTGAACCTGAACTCCTAAAGACAGTTCTGAGCCAGGGCCTCAAATGGTCTCCTCGGTGGAGAAGATAATTTCTGCTGTTATACATTGTTGTTCCTGGAAATCAGTCCAGTCCTTATTTGCAAGTCACATGAATGAAACGACTGACTTTTTCTGCCAGAGCAGACCTATCAGGGTATATCCTCTAAGCTACGAGCCATTTCCTTCTTTCTTTGCATCTAGTGAAGCTGGCAGAATGGTCTGATGGATGAAGCTCCTGGAACACAAAATATTCTAGTGGTTGTAGTCCTGATTGTGAGTTCACTTGCTCTATAATCTTAGACATGTTTTCCAACCTGTAGCTCTTTCTCCCCATCCTGGGAAGTAGAAAATACTGACCCTATCCCTTAACTCAAAAGAGAGGTTGAAAACAGCAGTGAGTAGCAGAACCAATCCGTGCCTCCCACCATACTCAGCCCAGGGAAGCTGTTTTTAGCAAAGCAGCGATGTACGGATCCCCAAACTGTCTTGGGCAGCAAGTACTTTGAGACTTTGGAAACAATGATAAAAAGTTCACTATGTAGCAGCGTCCCTATCTCTTGGACATTGTTCCTGAGAACTTGGGTTTGTTTCCATAAAGCCCTGTGGGGAACTTAAATGAGGGAAGAGTTAGCAAGTTCATCTACATGGTTCTCTCTCAACTCACAGGAAGCCTGTGGGATCCGAACATCACTGCTTGTAAGAAGAATGAGGAGACAGTAGAAGTGAAC
The DNA here is from genome assembly GCF_000001405.40 of Homo sapiens. NCBI lineage: Eukaryota > Metazoa > Chordata > Mammalia > Primates > Hominidae > Homo > Homo sapiens. The sequence continues at coordinate 53,856,906 of NC_000003.12, forward strand.
TTCACAACCACTCCCCTGGGAAACAGATACATGGCTCTTATCCAACACAGCACTATCATCGGGTTTTCTCAGGTGTTTGAGGTACTTTTTCTCTTCGTCCCCTTCACCTCGTCCTCCAGCTTTCCTTAGTGTGTTGAAGGAAAATGGGGACAGTGTTGTCCAAACGTGCTGGGCTACTTTGATGAATTCAACAGATAAAAACAAGTCCCTGTGGGCATCCTGAGAGGTGTCACTGTGAACCTCAAACCATAGAAAGAAGGAAGTCTCCGAAGCAGGAAATGAGCCCTTCTTTACACATGGTCTAGTGAAAGGAGTCCTTTTGGGAAGCAAAGCTGCTTTGCTGGAAGCCTCGAAATCTGCTCACTCCTGTGCCTCATAATTTTTGGGGGGCGGAGGTTGACACAGGGTCTCACTCTGTCATCCAGGCTGGAATGCAGTGGCACAATCACAGCTTAGTGCAGCCTCCACCTCCCGGGCTCAAGTGATCCTCCCACCTCAGCCTCCCCAGATAGCTGGGATTACAGGCATGTGCCACCATGCCGAGCTAATTTTTTCATCTTTAGTAGAGACGGTTTCGCCATGTTGCCCAGGCTGGTCTCAAAATACTGGGCTCAAGCCATCTGCCTGCCTTGGCCTCCCAAAGTGTTGGGATTACAGGGGTGAGCCAGTGCACCTGGCACCTCATAATTCTTGACTCTCTCTCTCTTAAGCCACACCAGAAGAAACAAACGCGAGCTTCAGTGGTGATTCCAGTGACTGGGGATAGTGAAGGTGCTACGGTGCAGGTAAAGTTCAGTGAGCTGCTCTGGGGAGGGAAGGGACATAGAAGACTGTTCCATCATTCATTGCTTTTAAGGATGAGTTCTCTCTTGTCAAATGCACTTCTGCCAGCAGACACCAGTTAAGTGGCGTTCATGGGGGCTCTTTCGCTGCAGCCTCCACCGTGCTGAGGTCAGGAGGCCGACGTGGCAGTTGTGGTCCCTTTTGCTTGTATTAATGGCTGCTGACCTTCCAAAGCACTTTTTATTTTCATTTTCTGTCACAGACACTCAGGGATAGCAGTACCATTTTACTTCCGCAAGCCTTTAACTGCAAGATGAAGCTGCAAAGGGTTTGAAATGGGAAGGTTTGAGTTCCAGGCAGCGTATGAACTCTGGAGAGGGGCTGCCAGTCCTCTCTGGGCCGCAGCGGACCCAGCTGGAACACAGGAAGTTGGAGCAGTAGGTGCTCCTTCACCTCTCAGTATGTCTCTTTCAACTCTAGTTTTTGAGGTGGGGACACAGGAGGTCCAGTGGGACACAGCCACTCCCCAAAGAGTAAGGAGCTTCCATGCTTCATTCCCTGGCATAAAAAGTGCTCAAACACACCAGAGGGGGCAGGCACCAGCCAGGGTATGATGGCTACTACCCTTTTCTGGAGAACCATAGACTTCCCTTACTACAGGGACTTGCATGTCCTAAAGCACTGGCTGAAGGAAGCCAAGAGGATCACTGCTGCTCCTTTTTTCTAGAGGAAATGTTTGTCTACGTGGTAAGATATGACCTAGCCCTTTTAGGTAAGCGAACTGGTATGTTAGTAACGTGTACAAAGTTTAGGTTCAGACCCCGGGAGTCTTGGGCACGTGGGTCTCGGGTCACTGGTTTTGACTTTAGGGCTTTGTTACAGATGTGTGACCAAGGGGAAAATGTGCATGACAACACTAGAGGTATGGGCGAAGCCAGAAAGAAGGGAAGTTTTGGCTGAAGTAGGAGTCTTGGTGAGATTTTGCTCTGATGCATGGTGTGAACTTTCTGAGCCTCTTGTTTTTCCTCAGCTGACTCCATATTTTCCTACTTGTGGCAGCGACTGCATCCGACATAAAGGAACAGTTGTGCTCTGCCCACAAACAGGCGTCCCTTTCCCTCTGGATAACAGTAAGTGCCCAGTAACTTCAACCAGATGATCAAAGTGGCTCACACACAGTCACTGCCCCCCACTCAGTATGTGGAAGGGTTGTGTGTATGTGGGCAGTGCAAGGGGTCGCTGCCTGTGTACACTGAACTGGGGTGCAGAGAAAGCCAACAGTGCTGTCCCAGAGAACCTAGAATCTGAGTAAGAACAGGCTTTATTTGTAAAACCACTCGTGACTCTTTACAAAGCAGGATACACAGAAGGGAAAAAAATACACAGTGCAAAATGGATGTTCTGAGTGCCACAAGGATCTGCTGAAAAAAGCCAAAGATGTAAGATGGCTGGGTATATATGAGAATGAATATTTCACTATATTCTGATTCAATTACCAGTCTCAGTGGCCCAGGATGAGCTTTTGGTGTGGTCACATGGCCAACATTTGGATAACAAATGAGGAATAATGGTACCGCCTCACTAGTGCCTGAGAACAGCATGTTCTGGAAAATGTCTCTGGAGTTAGAGATGTGTTAGCTTTTTCATTACAGATGGAGAAATACAATGTTTACACAACAGTCCAGGGGTGGGGTCAAAAGTTGGAAGGTGTCATTAGACGCAGCCAAATAAAGTGAAGACAACCCAGGTGACTGGCAGCCCTGACTTGTGCGTGGGCGAAGCCTTACAGATTCCTGGGCACTCTGTGCCTGAGCTTACCTGATGTTCTTGTGAGGCGGGTGGCACTATCCTCCATGTATGTCAGTCTAACAAGACGGCCTGTAAAAATGTCATCTATATGTGCTATGTATGTAAGCAGTTGTACCCAGAATAACATTAATTCCTTAAAGAACCAAAAAAACTGGACAGAAACCCTAGTTCCTACTGTGAAAATGCCGGTGCATATCAGGACAAAGAAGCCAAAGAGATTTTAGGACTGTTCTTAACTTCCTGGGTCCCATATCCCTTTTGAGAATCTAATGCAAGACCTGCACACTCTAGGGAAAAAGATATGATTGGCAGACTCTCTAAAGAGCTTCTGACTGATGGTTTTAAAGGGATCTAAATCTCTACAAAGTGGCTGGGCGCGGTGACACATGCCTGTAATCCCAGCTACTCAGGAGGCTGAGGCAGCATTGCTTGAACCCGGGAGACGGAGGCTGCAGTGAACCGAGATTGCGCCACTGCACTCCAGCCTAGGCAACAAAGCGAGACTCTGTCTCAAAACTAAAAAATAATAAAAAATAAATAAACCTCTATAAAGTATACCAAGTCTTAGTTTTTAAATTAAGAGATAAGTGTGGATTTGTTTTCCAAAGGTGAATAAGCTTTGTTTTTTCCAGACAAAAGCAAGCCGGGAGGCTGGCTGCCTCTCCTCCTGCTGTCTCTGCTGGTGGCCACATGGGTGCTGGTGGCAGGGATCTATCTAATGTGGAGGCACGGTAAGGGTTATAATTCTTTAAAGACATCCTAGTAAGGAAATAACATTTTGAATTTTTTTTTAAAGAAGATTCCTCTGGAGGCAATCACATGTTGGCGTTTCCCAGAGTTAGATAGCATTTATGTAATACCTTCAAGTGCTCCTACAGAGACTGATACGAGCATGACTGGATTACACATGCCAGGTGAAAGCAGGGTCAGGACTTCCAGATCTTCTGACTGTCCCGTTTTTATTTTTACCATTGAGCCTTCTACCAGTACTGAAATGGGCAAAAGATGGCTGATAACAAATTACACTTTACCTGTGATGGTTACTCTATGCTAGTTCCTGTTTTTTAAAAAATAGTTCTTATGAGGTGTTAAGAAAAGCTTTCGCTTGGATTCATACACAGTTGACCCTTGAACAACACAGGTTTGGACTGCGCAGAGCCACTTACACCTGGATTTTTTCAATACATATATTGGAAAATTTTTTGGAGATTTGTATCACTTTGAAAAAACTTAGATGAAACTCGGATGAACTTTTCAATTAAAATATTGAAAAAAATGAAGAAAAAGGTATGTCATAAATGCAGAAAATGTATACAGATACTAGTCTACTTTATCATTTCCTACCATACCAATAGTTAACTATTTTAACTATTAAAAGTTAAAAATTTATCAAAACTTAAACACACACATACCAACTGTACATGGCACCATTCACAGTTGAGAGAAACGTGAGCATAAAGATGTGGTATTAAATCATAACTGCATACAATTAATTGCAGTGCGTACTGTCCTGCTGTGAATAATTTCCTAGCCACCTCCTGTTGCTACTGTGGTGAGCTCAAGGGTTGCAAGTATCGACTTAAAACACCCTGTGATGCTAACCATCTCCAAACGAGCAGTTCCTGTCTCCAGTAAATTACATATCACAGTAAAAAGTATCTCCAGTGGTTCTCTGGTATTTTTCGTGTTTAGTGCAATATCGTAAACCTTCAATAACACCTTAGGACCCATACGAAGTGCCACTAGTAATGCTGGCAGTGCTCCCAAGAAGCAGTGTCATGAAAAAAAGCAAAAAAAACTTTTTTTTTTCATTACAAGAAAAAAAGCCAAATTGCTTGATATGTACCATAAATTGAGGGTCTGCAGCTGTGATTGTTCACCATTTCAAGATAAATGAATCCAGCGTAAGGACCATAGTCAAAAAAGAAAAAAATTCATGAAGCCATCACTACAGCTACACCAGCAGACATGAAAACCTTGCACATTTTGCAGAATACCTTTTAATCTTGTATTGAAAATGTAGCTTTTATGTGGGTGCAGGATTGCTGTAAGAAAGGCATATCTGTAGACTCTAATATGATTTGAGAAAAAGCAAAGTCATTATATGACAACTTAAAGCAAAAGGAAGGTGAAGCATCTAAAGCTGGAGAATTTAATGCCAGTAAAGGATGGTTTGATAATTTTTAAAAGTGGTTTGGCTTAAAAACTGTCAAGATAACAGGAGAAGCAGCTTCTGCTGACCAAGAGGCAGCAGGTGAGTTCCCGGATGCCATTAAGAAAATCACTGAGGAGAAAGGATACCTGCCTGAACAGGTTTTCAGTGCAGATGAAAGTGTCCTCTTCTGGGAAAAAAATGCTACAAAGGACATTGATTAGTAAGGAAGAGAAGCATGCATCAGGATTTAAGGCAGGAAGGGACAGGCTAACTGGACTGCTTTGTACAAATGCAATTGGGTTTATGATCAGGACTGGCCTTATCTATAAAGCTGCTAACCCCCTGGCCTTGAAGGGAAAAGATAAACACCAGCTGCCAATCTTTTGGTTGTACAATAAGAAGGCCTGGACACTGAGAAAACTTTTCTGGATTGGTTCCACTGATGCTTTGTCCCTGAAGTCAGAAGTACCTTCCCAGGAAGCGACTGCCTTTTAAAGTTCTTTTGATATTGGACAATGCCCCCAGCCACCCAGAGCCCCATGAGTTCAACACTAAAGTCCTCAGAGTGGTCTCCTTGCCCCCAAACACATCATAATTTGGCCTCTAGATTGGGAGGCCATAAGGACCTTCAAGGCTCATTACACACAGTACTTTATGGAAAGGATTGTCAACACTATGGACGAGAACACCAACAGAGAGAACAACATGGAAGTCTGGAAGAATTACATCACTGAAGATGCCATCATTGTGACAGAGCAAGCCATGAAAGCCATCAAGCCTGAAACAATAAATTCCTGCAGGAGAAAACTGTCCAGATGATGTGCATGACTTCACAGGATTTACAACAGAGCCAATCAAGGAAAGAGATTGTAGATGTGGCAAAAAAGGTGGGGGGTGAAGGGTTTCAAGATACGGATCTTGGAGAAATTCAAGAGCTAACAGATAACCACACTAGAGGAACAAAGAGAAGACAACCTGCTGGAGACGAGTGCTTCCCCATCAGTGTGAGGTGATGATGAAGACGACACAGAAGCAGCAGCATCAGAAAACAAATCGACATTAAACAATCTGGCAGGTTTCTGATTAGTCAAGACTGCTTTTCACTTCTTTTGTAACACAGACCCTTCTATGATACAAGCATTAAACCTAAAGCAAGTGGTGGAGGAAGGATTGGTACCATATACAAATATTTTTAGAAAAATGAAAAAGCAAAAAAGCCAGAAATTATGATGTCTTTCTGTAAAGTTACACTGAGGCGCCCACCTCTCCTGCCTCCTCTTCCACCGCTTCTGCCTCTGCCACCCCTAAGTCAGCAAGACTAACCCCTTCCTCCTCTTCCTCGTCAGCCTACTCAACAAGATGATGACAAGAATAAAGACCTTTCTGATGGTCCACTTCCATTTAATGAATTAGTAAATATATTTTCTCATGATTTTAATTACATTTTTTTCTCTAGCTTACTTTATTATAATACAGCACATAATACACATAACATGCAAAATATGTGTTAATTGGCTGTTTATGTTATTGGTAAGACTTCCAGTCAACAGTAGGCTATTAGAAGTTAAGTTGTGGGAAAATCAAAGGTTATAGGAGATTTTCAACTGCATGCAGGGCCGGTGCCCCTCCCCACTGTGTTGTTCAAGGGTCAGCTGTACTCTCTAAGGGCTTTGCTAACTTCAAAACATGGAGTATTTGAATACAGAAACCAGAGCATTTACATACTCAGCTCAAGGCAGAGCTATTAAAAAAACTCCTCTTCTCCATATGTAGGAAAGGAAATACAAATGCATCCTTTGAGTCATTTGTGATGTTGTAAATAAAATGAGATTAACTCCATGTTCTAAGCTAAGAAAGCCACAGGGGCACCTGGACCTCAGGAATTCTTACATTTAGGGATGCTGTCTGACCTGTATTCGTTACAGTAGTTTCAAACATGGTTTGTTTTACAGCACCGTATAGGGCAGAATTCCAGGTTAAGTTCCAGGGGCTGAAAAGGGGTGCCACTTAACTTTGGGAACTATAAAGAAACTCTACCACCTGCAGGTAGAAGACAGTACAAGCAACTACCTAATTGACCCGACTCAAAATGTGAAGTGCAGAGGTCAAGTGTCCCTGTTCATATACAGCACTAAAAGTACTGAGGTTACAATCACACACCTCAAAGTATTTTTTTTTTTTTTTTTTTGAGACAGGGTCTCACTCTGTTGCCCAGGCTGGAGTGGAATGGTGTGATCTTGGCTCACTGCAACCTCTGCCTCCTGAGCTCAAGTGAACCTCCCACCTTAGCCGCCTGAGTAGCTGGGACCACAGATGCATGCCATCAAGCCCAGCTAATATTTGTACTTTTTGTTGAGATGGGGTTTCGCCATGTTGCCCTGGCTGGTCTGGAACTCCTGGACTCAAGTGATCTACCAGCCTTGGCCTCCCAAAGTGCTGGGATTCCTGGTGTAAGCCACCACACCTGGCCAACAAAGTATCTTAAACCTAAAGTTTCTATGAATTTATCTGAAAAGAGAAGGCTTGGTTGAGAGGATTGTTTTAGTGAGAGGGACTTAGAAAATACTGCTTTTAAAATAAGGTTTAAAAAGTTAAGGTTTAAGGCAGGGTGCGGTGGCTCACGCCTGTAATCCCAGCACTCTGGGAGGCCCAGGCGGGCGGAACACGAGGTCAGGAGATCGAGACCATCCTGGCTAACAGGGTGAAACCCCGTCTCTACTAAAAGTACAAAAATTAGCCAGGCGTGGTGGCGGGCGCCTGTAGTCCCAGCTACTCGGGAGGCTGAGGCAGGAGAATGGCGTGAACCCAGGAGGCGGAGGTTGTAGTCAGCCGAGGTCACGCCACTGCACTCCAGCCTGGGCGACAGAGTGAGACTATGTCTCCAAAAAAAAAAAAGTTAAGGTTTAAGCATCAGTGTGTTTCAGGTGATGTGTTCAAAAGGAACATCAGGATGTTTTTCCTTGCTGTCACTAACAAGGCCCTTGGTGCTCAGCTGACATTCTCTAGCAAGGGATCATTTGTCAGGGATGGTTTACAGAGTGAAAGCCTGCTGTTTGCTGTTCACAGATAACAAATGCTTTTCTCCTCTCACAGAAAGGATCAAGAAGACTTCCTTTTCTACCACCACACTACTGCCCCCCATTAAGGTTCTTGTGGTTTACCCATCTGAAATATGTTTCCATCACACAATTTGTTACTTCACTGAATTTCTTCAAAACCATTGCAGAAGTGAGGTCATCCTTGAAAAGTGGCAGAAAAAGAAAATAGCAGAGATGGGTCCAGTGCAGTGGCTTGCCACTCAAAAGAAGGCAGCAGACAAAGTCGTCTTCCTTCTTTCCAATGACGTCAACAGTGTGTGCGATGGTACCTGTGGCAAGAGCGAGGGCAGTCCCAGTGAGAACTCTCAAGACCTCTTCCCCCTTGCCTTTAACCTTTTCTGCAGTGATCTAAGAAGCCAGATTCATCTGCACAAATACGTGGTGGTCTACTTTAGAGAGATTGATACAAAAGACGATTACAATGCTCTCAGTGTCTGCCCCAAGTACCACCTCATGAAGGATGCCACTGCTTTCTGTGCAGAACTTCTCCATGTCAAGCAGCAGGTGTCAGCAGGAAAAAGATCACAAGCCTGCCACGATGGCTGCTGCTCCTTGTAGCCCACCCATGAGAAGCAAGAGACCTTAAAGGCTTCCTATCCCACCAATTACAGGGAAAAAACGTGTGATGATCCTGAAGCTTACTATGCAGCCTACAAACAGCCTTAGTAATTAAAACATTTTATACCAATAAAATTTTCAAATATTGCTAACTAATGTAGCATTAACTAACGATTGGAAACTACATTTACAACTTCAAAGCTGTTTTATACATAGAAATCAATTACAGTTTTAATTGAAAACTATAACCATTTTGATAATGCAACAATAAAGCATCTTCAGCCAAACATCTAGTCTTCCATAGACCATGCATTGCAGTGTACCCAGAACTGTTTAGCTAATATTCTATGTTTAATTAATGAATACTAACTCTAAGAACCCCTCACTGATTCACTCAATAGCATCTTAAGTGAAAAACCTTCTATTACATGCAAAAAATCATTGTTTTTAAGATAACAAAAGTAGGGAATAAACAAGCTGAACCCACTTTTACTGGACCAAATGATCTATTATATGTGTAACCACTTGTATGATTTGGTATTTGCATAAGACCTTCCCTCTACAAACTAGATTCATATCTTGATTCTTGTACAGGTGCCTTTTAACATGAACAACAAAATACCCACAAACTTGTCTACTTTTGCCTAAAGTTACCTATTAGAGGTCACTGTCAGAGTTCTCAGTTTCTTAGTTACTATTTAACTTTTCATGTTCAAAATGAAAATAATTCTTAAGTTGAAAGCCCTCTTGAAGTAACCTTTTTATAAATGAGTTATTATAATGGTTTACTTAAATAAAAAACAGGGGTGGGTGCAGTGGCTCATGCCTCCAATCCCAGCACTTTGGCAAGGCCAAGGCAAAAGGATCGCTCAAGACCAGGCTACGTCACAAAGCGAGACCTCCATCTCTACAAAAGATTTAAAAAATTAGCTGAGTGTGATGGTGTAAGCCTGTGGTCCCAGCTACTAGGGAGGCTGAGATGGGAGGATCACTTGAGCCCTGGAGGTCAAGGGTGCAGTAAACGGTGATTGTGCCACTGCACTCCATCCTGGGTGAGAGCAGACCCTGTCTAAAACAAACAAACGAAAAAACCCCCACAGAATGACAGAACATAAAAGATGCACATTTTGTCTTCCAACTTTTTACTCTTCTAAAAGCATCTTTTTTAAATTTTTTAAATTTTTTTTTTTTGAGACAGAGTTTCACTCTGTCACCCAGGCTGGAGTGCAGTGGCGTGACCTCGGCTCACTACAACCTCTGCCTTCCGGGTTCACGCCATTCTCCTGCCTCAGCCTCCTGAGTAGCTGGGACTACAGGCACCCACCACCACACCCAGCTAACTTTTTATATTTTTAGTAGAGACGGGGTTTCACCCTGTTAGCCAGGATGGTCTTGATCTCCTGACCTCATGATCCACCCACCTCAGCCTCTCAAAGTGCAGGGATTACAGGTGTGAGCCACGGCGCCTGGCCTAAAAGCATCTTTTTCTTTAATGCAGAGGTTATGTTGTATTATTAGCATAAATGTTTTTTTTCTGGGAATGCTTATTTCACACAGCACAATACTGAATCTTCTCTGGAATGTGGATCGATTTCAGATGGATGACTATTAAAATGTGTATATTTGCAGATTATCCTTAAAGGGCCACCTCATGCCTTCTAATTTATGTCTTACGGATAAAAAATCAAAATGAAGCATAAAGTAAAAACTGTGTCCAGCTTTACAAGTGGACGCTTAGTAATGGCTGAGGCAATATGTTTAATGTAGCAAATTTTACTTATTTGTCATGATCAGTTTTCACAGTGCTTGTAAGTGCTGGTAATAGAAGATGGACATGGTTTAGGTCAAAACTTGGACCAGAAACCAACTTCCTTTGAAACAGCTCTACCAGTTATAAGAGCAATATGCTGTTAGGTGAAGAACTGTTTAACAGAAATATATTATGTTTTTGCAAACAGGCAGCTGATCCAAAATTGTGTTGAAACACCTCAGAAACATAAATGACATCAATACTCTATAAATTAATGCTGTTAACAAATTTAAAAAATAAAACATACAATTTTCAAATTGAAGGCACACATCCCAGTTGGTACTGGCAAGTTTAAATTGTTTCTAATACTGGTGGACTCTTCATTTGTAACCTACTGAGCAGTTACAGAGGGTACTCCCATTGATACAAAATGCTCAGGTACCGGCATTTCTCCACATCCAGAGTTCTTTCTATATTCCCTTCTGATTTCCATCACTTATCTGTTCCCTGCTTTTGTCCTTCCCCAGTCTCACCCCCATCTCTAGCCATGGTAAGTGAGATGGCGGAAGCAGGTGCCTAGAAGCAAGCAGCAGGAAGCAGCATTTTCCCACTCCTCCCAGAGCTCTGGGCTCCCAGACTGTGTTCCTACCTCTGGACAATGCTTTCTCTTCCTCCTGGGCTCAGAGGGCTTCACCAGAGCCTGGACCACCAGTGGTAATAGCTGCATTATTTAGATTTTGCTTCAGGATGCTCAGAGGTTAAGGTTAACTGATCATACTGAACATCATGAACTCCAAAAGCTTTCACTTAATCCTTCAGGTAAAGGAAAATTGAGGCTTGATGACTAAGTTGGTAGTATTAATAACTACATCAGTCACCATATCTGTACAACACAAGGACTCTTAAATTATACCCAAATCATTTCTATTTGGCTTTAGGAAAAAAACAAGATTTCCTTTTCAGCATTTGTTCTGTTTTGGCCAAATAAAAATTGTTTTCTTTCTTCCTCTAAGCTCACCCTACGGCATGTCAGGTAACAAAAGCCAGTCTGCCCAGCCTTCCATCTTTACCTTTGGAAATCGAGACCTGAATGGGTCCCATTCTTTTTCTGTAATCCAACAGAAAATGAAAAAAAAAACAAAAACCACCAAAACTTTTTCCCCCTATTTGGGATTCTAAGAGGACACATGAGTCACATAAGTGCATTTAACTCAGACAACTTTAGATCCTAATGAAATACTAGACAAGAGAGAAAATGGCATGAGTGGACAGTTCTCCCTCGTCACATACTATCCCTCATGGTTGCATGAGGCTGCCTGCTGATGAGATTCAAGCCAACTTAAATGAAGGGCTTCACCACATGAGAACCTTCAATAGCAACGTTTACATCACTGGGGAGTTTATGAGACCCTGAGAGAGGGCAAGAGAGTTTACAACTGAAGAGAAAGTTCCTATTTATTCTCAAATGCCCTGACTAAACTGCTCAAAAGCAGTTTATATTTTCAAACCAATGTCATGTCCTCAACATAAAGTTCAAATTCATTTACTGTCCATGACACTTAAGCATCCAGATCAATAAATTACAATACACATATTCTGTAAGAGTCTTTTATACCAAGAAGCTTGTTTTTGGTCTTCGGCAGTGACATTTCCTCCCCATTCACCACACAAACGCAGCCCGCTCTCGTAACATGCGGACACCAAAGCGCTGCCACTCTCGCTGATAAATCCACAGTTCCTGTGTTGTATCCAAACAAGCCAACACTGCCCCTCCTTTCCATGCAATCAGCCGGGGGTCCATGTCCTACAGAAGGGATGAAGGCATTTCAGCCTAATCACATAAGACATATACTCAATCATTTACTTGAATATGGGGCCGAGAAAAATCCCTGCTGAGTCAATACCTAGTAAGCCAGGCTTTCACCCTGTATTAAAGACAGCAGGATTAAATACAGGCTCACGCCTGTAACCCCAGCACTTTGGGAGGCCGAGGCGGGCAGATCACGAGATCAGGAGATCAAGACCATCCTGGCTAACACGGTGGAATGCCGCCTCTACTAAAAATACAAAAAATTAGCCAGGCGTGGTGGCAGGCACCTGTAGTCCCAGCTACTCAGGAGGCTGAGGCAGGAGAATGGCGTGAACCCGGGAGGCAGAGGTTGCAGTGAGCCAAGATCGCGCCACTGCACTCCAGCCTGGGTGACAGAGTGAGACTCCGTCTCAAAAAAAGACAGTAGGACTTATGAACTACAGGCATCTTTCTGTTTCAATAGCCAAGAAAACTTTTAAATTTTTATAACTGAAGATGCTACTATTTACTACTATTGCACAAATACCCTATTTACCCTGTACACAGGAACATATATAAATAAATGACTTACTTATTTCGCAGTTTGAGTGGAATAAATAGATCCCCACAATCCCTCCCTCAGGATTAAAAAGAAATAGGAACATTTCCAGGAATTGTCAGTGAGATTTAATAAAACACACAAAATCTATTTCTAAATTCCTGGGTTTATCTTTCTTTTCAAGATAGTTCAAACCAAAAAGATCCTTAAAGATCATCTGGTCCAGGGAGCAGAAGGAGATCCTTAATATAAAAAAGAGATTAAAATGGAGCTGTTCTGGCTGGCAGGGCTTGAGAGCAGTTGGTCCTCCCCTTGCCCCACCTGATCCTTTAACAAAGGTGGAATTCAGTCATGCTAGTTTGGGGAGCACGGCAGGGGAAAGCAGCAGAAATCCAGTACCTTAGGCCAGAGCACCTTCCACCACATCTATGGCTTGCTGAAATTAACTTTTCCACTTGCCCTAAGCCCTCAAGAACTCCTCAGACACAAGCCCATGCCTCCCAGGATTTGATCTGTCCACATACAAGGCTGGTTTCATTTGCATACAGTCCAACTTGCACAATGAAACAACCTACCTTAGGCCTTGTGATCACATCCACATTTTCAATAATTCGCCTGAAGGATGGTGGCATTTTGTTGAGAATTCTGTGCTGCAGAAATTCTTGAGCTTTATGAAACATCAAACCACCTCCCACCACTAGGATGGAGCTGTACATCTTCTTTTTGGTGTCGTCAGATGCTGAAAAGACAGTTGACATCCTCCATGCTTTTTTCTCCACATCCATAATTCTAGGCCAAGCCACCAACACCTCTTGCTTGAGCAAGTGCAATAGCCTTCTCAAAGATTTCCCTCCAGCCCACCCTCCACACTGCAGCCAGGGGAACCCTACGAAACACAAATGTAGGCATGTTGCCACGCCACCGCAATCCTACTTGCAGGATTAGGATCAAAATCTTTAAAGGAGGCCGAGCATGGTGGCTCACGCCTGTAATCCCAGCACTTTGGGAGGCCAAGGCAGGCAGATCACGAGGTCAGGAGTTCGAAACCAGCCTGGCCAACATAGTGAAACCCTGTCTCTACTAAAAATACAAAAAGTAGCCGGGCATGGTAGCGTGCGCCTGTAGTCCCAGCTACTCGGGAGGCTGAGGCAGGAGAATCACTTGAACCCAGGAGGCAGAGGTTGTGGTGAGCCGCAATCACGCCATTGCACTCTAGCCTGGGCAATGGAGTGAGACTCTGAAAAATAAATAAATAAAATCTTTAAAGGGACCCACAAGATCCACTACGGGTGGTCGTCCCCTGCTTCTCTAGCCTCATCCTCACACCCTGCTTCCCAGCCACACAGGTCTTCACAGGCTTCTTCCTCTACCCCATCTGTGACTGCTAACTGACCCCTTTCATCCTTTACATCTCTCTCAAGGTCTGCCTTCCTCAAGGAAGCTTTCCCTGCCTCCCACCTTCCATACCATCCCCTAGTGAGTAAAGATTCTATGTGAAATTCCTCAAATTATTACACAAATGTGAAAGTACCACTGGCAGGTGCTACAAAGTTTATCTAAAGGGTACTGACTGCTTAGTAGTGGCCTGCCAGTGGTAATTTCACATTTGTGTAATAATCTGACTTATTTTGGCCTCTTCCACTAGGCTATAAACCCATCCTACTTCGTTAATGTATTCCCAACACCTGGCAATGCAAGCCAAGTAGGCGCTTAATCACTTTTCAATGAATATGTTATACTGCACAAGTATATCCTAGACTGAACCAATTTATTTAACTGCTATCTTGTTTCACTGCTATCTCCCGGTCTCCCCAGATGTGCTTACAACAGCAGTCTATGCTATGGAGGATGGCTTTATCCAGGCCCAGGGCTTTTCCTTCAAACAGCGAGATGGCAGTCTTCCTGGACATCAGTGCAGTGAGGGCCTCCTCGGAATCGTTGCCGGCCATCAGGCCATCTCCCTGTGCAGACCCCAAATCTACCTCCTGGGAATGGAGTCTTTCTGGAAGATCAGAGGACTGGCCACGAAGATCCCCTTCAAATCCAATAGGTTTGGATGCAGACTTTCGGTCAGCAGTAGCTTTTGCAGACTTTAAATCAAAAGGACAATCAAGTATGTGGTATTACAACAACAGAACACTATTGATGTTGTCTAGCTAGATCCCTCCCTACCCTACTACTATAAAACAAAAGCCACACAGCAATACAACAACTGCCCAGCACCCATTCCCAGGTAACTTAGGAATGAGAGACGGTGCACAGATGAAGATGCTTTGACCATTCCAAAGCAAGGTAGCTGCTGGTAGGCAGGGTAGCTCTCAGAACCTTATCATCACTGGTTAGATTTTAAAAGTGAAATACCAGTGCAGACAGACTTTCTTCCCCGTGCCCTGAGTTTTTAAATGGAGTATTCCAGTGGGATTCATGGGCCATGACTGTTAAGGAATTCTTACTTTCAGATCCTATGAGTCCACCTCATGCCTGCCTCTGGGGAGGAACAAAGACTAGAAAATCTAGTCTCCATCATGAGCTGGTACTGTTTCATTAGCAGACAAGACCTTCAATTTGTGCCCCTGTACCAGACATCATATTATGGGGATCCACTTTCAACAAAGGAATTCAGCTCTTTGGCTATGCCACACATCTTTCACAAAATTAAGTAACAGGTGAGATTTTAATGAAAATACTACTGAAAAAATATTCAGAAGTAGATAATGTAAGTAAATGATATACACCAAAAGGAAAGTGTCATTAACTTTTAAATGTATGGACTAGCATTCAGAAAATTAATGTTTGCTGAATAGAGAAATATGTCTTCCAGATTTTAAACTCAGACTTCAGTTCATCTACAATTCTAAAAGCTATATCAGTGTTATTATGCTGGAAGATAGAACTGATTACAATGGCCTATTAACTCTGGACAAATTTCTCCTTCAGGGACAAAACTCTCTCTTCTCCTACCAGAATTGCTACGGACCTGTTCTTGTTTGCTCTGTGTGGCCAGCAGGTAATGTTCATCGTGAGGATCCTCAGGATCGCCCTGAGATCTGTGCTGCAAAGTCGTCATTTTCTGTCCAACGATTCCAAAAGTTGCGGGGTAAAACAAAGCCATTGGAGCCTGTACATGAAGAAAAAGAGTGATCAACAAAAGATACTGCATCCTGAAAAAAACTGATCCACTAAATTCTGTTCTTCTAAAAACAAAACTGGCAGATCAGATTCCCTAAGTTAGACTGGGCAATGTTCTCTTTCGGGAGTGGCATTATTTCTCTGGTGCACCATAGGCCAGAAAACTCACTCATCATCCAACCAGATGGGTGATATGACACCATATGAGAGAAATCTCAAAGCAAATATCAAGTACCTCAAAATCTACTTCATAATTTCCTAGTAAGAATGATACCTTTCTTTCTAATTAACACCTCATCATATAGGGGCTAAATAGAAAGATATTCTTCAGATCCATTCTAGTCTATACCAGTGGCTTAAATGTTGGTTTAGTGGATAATCTACAATCAGTTGACATTCTGATCTCACAATGTTTCCAGCAAGGGCATATTCTCTCAGTTTGATTGAACCTGGATAACTTTCTTTCTACCCATGGAAACAGATACCTATAAGTTACCTGCAGTTTTTCATCTCCTAATCGAAACTGGTAAAGCAGGGCAGGAGAATCAGGATGTCGAATCTGAAACTCATGGTCCTGAAGCCCAGAGATGTCCTGATTCCAGGAAAAGATGCTGTCAGTGAATCAGTAAGAATGCATGTAAACTCTTCAAATTATGCTTCAGCCTCACCATCATCTAAATATCACCTATAAAAAGGCCAACCTACAGCTTTGTACCACTCACACTATAATTTAGTAAAATAGGAATTAAGTTGTACTTTGTTCCCCTATTTAACATTTCTGGAATTTCCACTGTTTGCATTATTTGTTTTCTCCATTATCAACATACATTAGTACAACAATGACCCAAATCAATAAGCAAATTCCCTCAGTAACTGGGAAATTTACAGTATTTTTGTTTCCCCAATTTTTTAATATTTAGATTACCTGAAAAAAGTAAAAACAAGTCTCAAACAAAAAAAGGATACCAATCCATATATAGCAATGATTAAACATTGATTGTTTGCAATATTAAGAAAGTGCTTCAAATTATAACATTTAACAAAATGTCTGTTCTTACATATTTACCTACTATCTTCCTTACACCTAAAGGTTTATCTTCATCTTTTATCAGGATGAGACAGAGAAATTTGCTAAACTTGTTCCCTAAAAAAATCAAACTTTTCCTGAGCCTAAGACACACCCTCACTGCTCGGACTTTAGCAAAAAACTCTCACTCCTTAAGGGCTTTCACCTGCAGGCTTTATCGTGGGTTGAAAAAGGCATTATAATGCTGTTACTTCATTTTATTTATTTATTTATTTATTTTGAGATGGAGTCTCGCTTTGTCGCCGAGGCTGGAGTGCAGTGGTGCAATCTCGGCTCACTGCAAGCTCCACCTTCCAGGTTCACGCCATTCTCCCGCCTCAGCCTCCCGAGTAGCTGGGACTACAGGTGCCCGCCACCACGCCCGGCTAATTTTTTGTATTTTTATTAGAGACGGAGTTTCACCGTGTTAGCCAGGATGGTCTTGATCTCCTGACCTCATGATCCACCCACCTCGGCCTCCCAAAGTGCTGGGATTACAGGCATGAGCCACCGTGCCCAGCCAATGCTGTTACATTTTTAAGTATCTTTTAAATCTCTTAAATTTTTCCTAGAAACAAAAATAATCAGCAATATTGATTCTGCTCCCACCTGATCTAAATGACAAAAAGTTTCTTTAAGGTGTTGCAGAAGAAGACAATCCATTTTATTTGTTAACTGGCATTCTCTGTAAGGGAACCCAGCTCGCTGCATTAGCCAGTAAAAACATCTTGACACATCAGATCCTCCGTATGCCAGACAAAGCCTAAAGTTAAGAGAAAAGGGTAGATGGTTAATCTGTTGGTTAAGAAGGTGCAAAAGGTGTTTGAAGAAATCCATTAATGGCTGGGCATGGTGGTTCCTGCCTGTAATCCCAGCACTTTGGGAGGCTGAGATGAGCAGATCACTTGAGGCCAGGAGTTCAAGACCAGCTGGCCAATATGGCGAAACCCTGTCTCTACTAAAAATACAAAAATTAGCCAGGCATGGTGGTGCACACCTGTAATCCCAGCTACTCGGGAGGCTGAGGCACGAGAATTGCTTGAACCCAGGAGGAAGAGGTTGCAGTGAGCCAAGAGGTCACGCCACTGCACTGCAGCCTGGGTGACAGAGTAAGATTCTATCTAAAAAAAAAAAAGAAACACAAAAAACAAACAAAAATGTCCATTAAACACAGTGATATATAGCAAGTTTCAAGAAATGTATGTTGAAAGGCCAGAATGAATGGATGGAAGAAGGGAGAAAAGGAACTTCAGCAAAAACCAGTGGGGAACACCTACAGTAGTCATGATGTTTGCAAAATGTATCTGAGAAACCCAATACTCACCCATTAAATCCAGCTTACTTCCCAGTCAATATGTGTTTATCATATGACAGTTGTTTGGTGGTCTACACTCACTAGCATGTAAGGCAGCAATGACAATATAAGACAAACTTATGGGAGAATAGCTTAGAGAAAGCTGTCTACTAACTGAAGGTTTCTACAATTTGGGAAGACAGCTGCTATATTATTTTATTGGTAGGAAACCTGGGTCCAGCATTTTCTCCACACTTTGAGAACAAGTGGCATTGGATATTCTAACAATGGATGAGCCAAATAACTCAAAATGGATTTTAGAATGTACTAGAACTTGGGGCGGGAGGCAGCAGATGACCCTTTCTCATGGACGATTTAAGCCCTCTTTTAAAGACTCAAACTACCTAATGTGGAGGACGGGAAGAATGAAAGCATCCTGAGGGGCAGCAAGAAGCCATCTCTGGAGCACAAAATGCTTCAGAGAGCCCATACCTGCATTACCTGAGTGTGCTTACATATGTTAGGCTTGCCTGAAGAAGGACAAGCTGCAAATCTGGTCCTGATAGTTATTTTCTTTACCTGTCTATCATCATAAAGTTACTCACCCGCAGAACACCACTATGACAAAAAATGCAGATATTCAAAACACTGGCCAGAGAATTCAGATTGAAAAGGTCGATTTTCTCCTACATGACTTGCCTAAATAAAGCTCTGCTATAAGGATGTGATTAGTAGCTCTATGCCAAACCACAGCTAAAGACACGAAGCTACTGTTTACGTTTCCCCTATGGGAAAGCGCATAAAACATCCCAGGACTTTCAGGGGCTGCTGATGTAAATTCCTATTAAGAAGTTCCAATGGGAAGGGTAAAATGATTCGTTTTAGTTTTAGCCTTGCTAGAATATGCACTTCCATAATCTTGCTGGTTTACCATGCAGACTTTTGAATTTATGGTTATCTTATAATTTTTAACCTGTGATTTCTTATTATTTACGGTTGAACAGATTATGAGGGAAGAGGAAACAGGGAATGCCACCTTCCAAGTTCCTTACCGAGTATTCCGATGAGACACCCCATCCTCCACACAGCATACACTTGTCTTCTGGTCCCCAACGTCTACAATACACGTGCTGCTTAAGCCACTTCCATAGGTGGCACACACAGACTCCTGATGGACCACAATCCCTGGGGGGGGAAAAGAAAAGGCAGAGTAGTCATTAGCTGTAGCACGGTAAAGATCCCAAAACAGATAATCAGCTGAAGCGGGGAGCCTAGGGACCTCTGGGCAGGGCATCTGAGGAACACTGATCCTTTCAGAATAAGCATTTAAATAAGTCAGTAGGCCCGGCGCGGTGGCTCACGTCTGTAATCCCAGCACTTTGGGAGGCCAAGGTGGGAGGATCACGAGGTCAGGAGATGGAGACGATCCTGGCTAACACAGTGAAACCCTGTATCTACTAAAAAATACAAAAAATTAGCTGGGCATGGTGGCGGGTGCCTGTAGTCCCAGCCAATCAGGAGGCTGAGGCAGGAGAGTGGCGTGAACCCGGGAGGTGGAGCTTGCAGTGAGCTGAGATAGCGCCACTGCACTCCAGCCTGGGCGACAGAGAGAGACTCTGTCTCAAATAAATAAATAAATAAATAAGTCAGTAAATAAGATTAACTCTGTCATTAAAGAAAGAAAATTCCATTTAAAATAGGTTTCACTGGGATATCAGACATACCTGAAAAACCCATCTTCATTAGTATCATATTCACTAGTTCTTTCACATGCTGCTTATTATAGATATCAGGAATTAACAAGATACATCTATAATACTAAAAAGAAGAACAAAGATAAAAGGGTTAGCACTCAAGTCTAGTCAGGTCAAATTCACACTCCTTTTTAGAGAGACTTCCCTCCAAAGGAGTAGCAGCTACGGTTACACACCCAGATTAAAGCTCAAACCTCTGTACTATCCTTTGGGTTTTATAAGGAAAAAAAAAATGCTCAAGTGTTTTTTTTTCCTTGAAATTTTTAAAAACTTGTAAAATCAAAAATAAGACAACTGATGTGTCAGTAAGGTCCAAAGAGAAGACAAAAATGAGCAAGCTTGCTGATTCGAGTAATAGAGACACCAAAGAAACAGAGAAAGAAAAAAAGCACCAGAAGGGAATTAAGTGAAGAAGAAAAGACATCCTCATGCCACCAAGAATCCTCACCCTGAAGGTCAAGAATGTTTCAAGAAGGACACTATATTACAAACAACTCGGTAACGTGTACTTTCATTGACCAAGAATCTTAAAAACAATCCAAATAACTGAGGATTTTAGCTCACCTTTAAATCTTTCAGTGGGATTTCCAAGTATTTTTGTATCGCATGAGACCATATTACTTCAATATCTGCCAGAACAGCTGTAAGAGAGCCCCCAGGGCCTGGGTGAATATTTAACTGACCTCTTCTGATAGGCCAGTGAATATTGTAACAGTCCAGTGGATTAACATACAAGGCCTAGAAAAGGAGGAGGGAGATGAGTACTTTGTTAAAACTTTTCTCTCAAGGTTTTCTGGATTCATATCCAAAAATCTAACTAACGTTTGCTGAATGTGAGAAATGTTGAGAGTGAAGTAGGAGTCGGTGTGACTATCTGGTACTCAAAGCAGGGTTATAGAACGCTAGGAAACAACTAGGACTGGGTGGCAACGTAAATGAATTTTAGGAGGAGGATCAGCTTCCCCTTCTTTCATTCTATTGTAAAGAAGTTTCTTACCTCTTCTCCTACTAAATACTCAGGGTGATGAGATGTGTTTGTCCACTTATTTCCCGAACAGTGATCTAAAATTGCAGGTCGCATCTGCTTATTGTAGGAGCGTGCCTGAAAAGAAAAACCATCAGAAAATTATCTCAATTTATTCAAGGCGGGGGCAACATAAGGGTCTCCTTTTCTTCTCTCTCACATACTAGACACATTGGCAAATTTTAATCACAAATATTTGGCAAAATATTGACTGGCTGCAAAAGGATTCTCTTGTCCTTTTTACAATCTTGGGGTTCTTTTTCCCCCAATTTTAACACCTAGGCTGTGATTCACAGCCAGTCCAAAATTAACACTAAACGCTGCTTAAAGCTGAATTCAAATTTATATGTAATACAGACTCCTGTCCATTCCTATCATATTGGTTTATCATATGAAATTGAAGAATGTAGTAAGAACAGTTTCCCACCAAGATCCTGGAATCACACCTTCTCAGGTAAAGTATAAACTTCCATCAACTTGCCTACCACCACCTTATAAATTATGTGGCTTGCCTAAGCATTTGTAACACTGACTCGGGTATTCTTTAAGTGGTTATGAGGGGTTTTCTTCCTTTTTAAGGAACTCCCATCTTGTATTTGCATAGTGGTATAGGAAGAACATGTGAATGGTATTATGATACCAATAGTGGTGATAAAAGAATAAATCTGAAGAGTTAATCGAACCTGTTCAGGGGACACAGGAATGCGTCTTGTACCATTGGACATCTTTTTAGACCATATTGCTTGATCCACCATTTTAAGGCCATTTTGTCTTTGTTCATTACTTTCTGGTTTCTGGGGAAAAAATGAAAGATGAGCAGTACAAAGGATTTAATGAGAAGACAAAGCAATTCAAAAACTACTAATTTAATCCAATCTTTGGAAATGCTCCTTCATCAACAAGTAGCGTTTCCTTAATCTTTATCACATGTACTGCTCTTAAGAATTCCCTCTAGCCTGGGCAACATGGCAAAACACCATCTCTACAAAAAATACAAGAAATTAGCTGGGTGTGGTGGCACAGGCCTGTGGTCCCAGCTACTTGGGAGACTAAGGTGGAAAGATTGCTTGAGCCCAGGAGGTGGAAGGTGCAATGAGCCGAGATCGCACCACTGTACTCCAGCCTGAAGAAGAGAGCAAGACCCTGTCTCAAGAAAAGAAAAAAAGAATTCCCAGGAATCTTTTATTATAAATAAGTCAAAAGCAGCCCTCACTATAAAACAACTATATGCAAAATTTTCAAGTGATTTTTCATAAAATTTCTCACAGCACTAATCAAAGCATACCTACTTCATGTTTAAAAAATATTTCAGAGACTCTTCCATACAATTATATAATTCTTATGTTTACAGTTTTGACAATGACACATTCCTTCATATGTTGATCAGCAAGGCTTAAACTTTTTGGTTAAGCCATAAACTTACTGGTTCTCGTTATTATAGTATAAAGAAAATGCCCATAAATATCTTTACAGAAATGTTTTCTTTTGATTTTTATTTCTTAAACGTACTCCCTAAAGTAGAATTATAAGATCCAAAGATAAATAATGAAGTGCGGACTCTTATATCAGCAAGTTATATTTAAACTTACAACTAGACTTACGTAGAGTCTGCTTGTTACACTAAAAAATGGAACCCTAAGGCCTACTATCAGAATTAAAGAAACTTTACATTCCCAAAACTATCCTTGACTTAAAACTTCAAAGTAAAATGTGGATTATGATGTAATATATAGATTTATCATTGATCACAAAGAATTTTCCTGATAATTACCATCTGCAACATAGGATAAAGTAGATGCTTACTGCAAGAAAATTTTTTTTTTGCCTTGAAATTATGGTTAATCTAAGACCATAATAAGTGCTTATTGTAACAATCTAATTTGCTAATGGATTGAAAATAAGAGTTTGACTTATTGACTTAAACTGTAAGTATCTGAAAGAGATATTTACAGTTTAAATATGGCTTAATCCATAAGTTTAAGCCTGTTAACAAGGACCTGAATGTATTACTGTGAGTGATGATTTTGTGTCTTCCATTATAGATCACCTTCATCCACACTCAATTCACCCTGAAAGACTTACTTTTGTTGTAACTAATTCTTTACATCTAAAGTCACTAGCTCTGATGAAAAATTAGTGACATTATTAATGTTTTAAAACACAGCAAAGCTATGAAGATGTTTCTTTAAGATTCTGGTGTACTTGTGTCTAAGCCCTCCCAGGGAAACAACCTTAGGCTTTCTCTCCAGGTCGTTTTTGACTTACATTTAGTCCCTCCCTTAGGAGCCAACTGTCCTTGTATAGGGGCTGCCCTTGTTGTTTGTGTCTTCGGGCAATGACGTGAGGAATGCTGGCAGGAAGAGTGTCTGTGGCTCGACCAATCCTTAAAGTTGTTGAACCTGGATGTATGACAATGATGAAGTTGCTCTGGATTTGCTGCAGATATAAAACATAGATGTGTGACTTTGTAAATAATATGCAGGTAACAAAGTTAAACAACATACACATAACAAGCTAAACTAAGAAGCTGACTCAAAGGTATCAAAATAATTCAATAAAGTTCTTTGAGAAGTATCCAATTACCGCTCTCTACCTAAACACAAACTCATTGTTTATTATGTTCCCTTGACCTGAGTTATAGTACATAGCTCAACAAATATTTGTTTAAATAAATGAAACAAAAATTGTCCACTACAAATTAACATACAGTTATTGAGCATTTATGTGACTGAAGAAATGTTGCTATAGAATCCGGGCCCAGGCTCTGAATTCACGGATCTGTCTGCAAATTCAGACTGCCACTTCCTTGCTCTGAATGAAGCTCCTAACTCACAGTTACTGTGAGAATTAAATGAGTTATACATGTAACTCAGAGCTGGGCCACAGGAAGCA
The DNA here is from genome assembly GCF_000001405.40 of Homo sapiens. Taxonomy (NCBI): domain Eukaryota; kingdom Metazoa; phylum Chordata; class Mammalia; order Primates; family Hominidae; genus Homo; species Homo sapiens. Next base: position 53,880,566 of record NC_000003.12, read on the forward strand.
TTCGAGGAATGTTGGCTCTTACTATAGTAAAGCCTTTCAACGTGATCCACTGCCTTCACAAGAGGTCAGACTCTGTGGCTTACACGACCCTCATGATATGGCCCCTGCTAAGATCTTCAGTCCCCTTCCTTAACTCCAGACATCCTAATCTACTGGCTGGGCCTCCAACACTTCACATCCTCTGTTGGCACAAGTGTCTTCCACACTGTTCTTCTTCCCTGAGATTCCCTCCTCCCTCTGGTTAGCTCCTAATCACCTTCAGGACTCTAAACAGATGTCACCTCACCTCCTTTGAAGAAACCCTCCCTGACTGTCGGGGATGGAGGAGGTACTTGCTTGAGTGCCCAATACTGCCCTCTGCACAAGCCCATTCCATGCCATGCTCTGATACCTGTTGTCCTATCTCCAAGTGTGACCTCTCTCCTCCTAATCACCCCCCACAGAGTGGGAGAATCCTAGAGGGAAGGATCTGGCAAGGCCCTTACAGACCATCCAGTCAGCCTTCTCAACTAGACAGATGGAGAAACCAGGCCTGTGCAACAGTAATGGCCACTCTGGGCTTACGGTGTGCCAGGCACTGTCATACTAGTGATAACTAACTAGTAGCTGCCCTACTAGTTAGGTATTATCCTTAACCCATCTACCGGTAAGGAAGCTGGATCAGAGATGTCCTACATGAATTTCTGAGCAGTTTATGCCTCATTTCTTCTGTGAATTGTACACTGCCTGTGCCCGTTTTCCTACGTGAATGCTGTTTTAGTTACTGATCAGTAAGGTTTTGTGTATGTGTATACATCTAAGGTCCTCTGCCAGGCACGCTACTGCAAATAATTTTTTCTGGTTAGTTTAGTTTGGTCTAATAGTGTTGTTTTTGATACACAAGCTCTTAATATATATTTAGACAAATGTCCACCATTTCCTTGCTTTTAAGCTTGAAATGACTTCCATTATCTGAGATTTCCTTAACAAAGGAAAAAGCCTGGACCCCAAACTATCCCTTAACAAGCACAGGCTGACGCTCCCAGTGAGCCAGCCTGGTCCTAAACTCTATCTGCCACCATTTAACCCTCACGGCAACTTGCGAGGCGGCTGGTTATCACCGTGGTCGTTTTATGGTCGGGGAAGCTGAGGCCAGAGCCCGGGCAGGAGCGCACACAACCAGACGGTGGGGCGTGCGGGAGATCGGAGCGGTGTCCCTGCGGGGGCTCCGCCTGGCTCCTGGCGCTCCGCACCTCCCAGCCCTCGGCGTCCCGGCGCGCCACCACCCGGAAAAGAACGACCGCTTCCGCACTCCCCCCACCAGGGGCTGGGGCCTGCAAGGGGGACTCGAAGCCTCCCGCCGCCTCCCGCCCCTTGCCTGGCAGCGGAGGACCCAAGCAAGGGCAAAGAGTTCCAACCCAGCCAGAGCCGCACCTCTTGCAGCGACTCCGGCACCAGCGCGGGCACGATGGGCCGCTTCACGCCGCGCTGCTCCTTCTCCTTCTCGCCGCCCTTCTCCTTTCCGTTCTCCGTATCACCCTTCTCAGCCTGGGTCATTATGGCCGGAGACACCCACCAACCTCTCGCCTCAGCGCTGCAGCCACGACTGCCGGGATGGAAGGGCCACCGCGCAGGCGCACGGCCGGCTGCCCACAGTCAAGATGGCCGCCGCGGAGTCGCCCCAGAGGGCTCCGAAAAGGCGGGGGTGGGGCTGCCCGGCGCAGGGGCTGGGGGCGGGGTGTGCATGCGGATTGATTGGGTGGGTGTTGCTGTGATTAGTCCTGACTGTGTAGATGCCAGCAACATAGTACACATAGCTTTTCGAGCGCCTAGTGGGGGTCGGCTGATAACCCGCATCTTATTTCGTCCTCACAGGCATCTCTTCTCCTGGCTTCCCAGATACCATATGTACTCTTAGTTTTTCTCATATGTCTTCATGTTCAGTCCAGCCTCTGATGTTGGGGTTAGGTCTTTTCCAGGCACACTCCTTGGGTGACTATCCAGTTTCCTGGCTTTAGCAATGAATACGATTCCCAAATATATATATCCAGGATGAACCGCTCAGAGAGATCCGTACTGATAACCAGTGCCTACTTGGTCTCTCCATCTGGATTGTCTACAAGGCACTGCAAACTTAAATATGTCCAAAATTTAACTCTTGATTCCCTCCCCTCTCACTTTCACCATCTCAGTAAATGTCATTTTGATTCTTCACTTGTTGACAGCTTCTACATCCAATCCATCAGTAAATCCTGCAGTCTCTAAAATAGATCTTGAATTCATCCACTTCTCCATTCCCATGCCACTACCTAGCCCAAGCCACTATCATCTCACCTGGATGACTACAACAGCCTCTTAACTCGAACTCCTTGTCCTGTCCCCCTATGATCTGTTCTTATATAGTTGCCCACGTTGTTTTAAAATATTACGTAGTTAATACTACTATGTACCCAGCACTCCACTAAGACTTACCTCAAAAATTAGATGTCACTCATGCTTTAAACTCTAATGGTTTCCCTTTGCTCAAAGAACAGAATCTAAACTAACCACCACCTAAAGACCATATCTAGTTATTGCTACATTTCTAAGTTCACCTCACAACACTCTCCCCATTCCTTGGCATTTCCAGCTACACCTGTTTTATCTTTCTCAGACATGCCAAGCCCTTCCCGTCATCGGGCTGTTGCACTTGCTGTTCATTTTGCCTTGGATGCTCTTCCCTCAGCTGTCTCATTCTCACGTCTGAACTCAAATGTCACCTCAGGCCTTCCGCAGTTATTCTCTCATCATCCTATTCCCTTTGAAGCATGAAGCATTAGTCTGTAATTATCATGCCTGCTCACTGTCTCCCACACTAGAATGTAAGCTCCGTGAGACTTTGCCAGTTATCTTCAGCACATGGTAGGTGCCCAATAAGCATGTGATGACTAAATACTAAATAAAGAACTCTTGGAGGTAAAAATTTAATCCCCGTTTTACAGGTGAGTGAAGTGGGATAAAATGGCATAATTCACTCAAGATCATAAGCTATTGAGTAGCAAAGACAAGAGTTAAGCATAAAGTACTCAAGAACCTGTGTTTTACATTCTATCTGAAGTGCAAAGAAGAATACCTGAATGTCAAATGCAGCCAGAACTCTGGGATAAGACCCGAGGAACAAGTCCTGCAGCAGCAGTGCTAGGAGGCAGAAGAGGACCATGGTTCACATGCTCAGGAAGAGCCATCAGTAACAACAATCAACCACCTACTGAGACTCTGCCATGGTCTCCCCGCTATAGGGTAAGGTGGAGGTTTAATAATGCCTCTGCCATTCACTGGCAATACAATCTAGGAAGCTGCCAAACTTTACTGAACCCTTGCATGTATCTGTATAATGCAAATGTCATTATACATTTACCTCACTTTGTATATATGTATACATTATACATATCCCTCACTTTGTCAGAATTTAAAATGTGTAAAAATTTACAGGCTGGGCATTGTGGCTCACACGTGTAATCCCAGCGTTTAGGGAGGCCATAGTGGGAGATCACTTTAGCCCAAAAGGTCAAGGCTGCAGTGAGCAGCCACTGTACTCCAGCCTGGATAAGAGTGAGACCCTGTCTCAAAAATAAAAATAAAAAATAAAAATAAAATAAAAATTAAAAAATAAATAAAATCTGACACATAATTGAGGTGGCCAGCAAACTGTTATCCTTATCCTGAAACCTGCATTGTAATTGCTTCTTTATCCTGAATATTGGTATCTTATGCCACAACATCCCATTTCCCGACAAACGGGGTTGAATAAATGCTGATAAATCAATATAAAAAGGCTTTCACCTGAACACTTGGTTTCAAAGCCTGTTAAACACCAGAAGAGGAATTATCTGTTTTCGTTTTTCCAATAAATATTTATTTCCAATAAATACTACATGACTATCTTACATGTAGTCACTATTCAAAGGACTGGGGTAAAGACAACAAAATTCCTAGTCTCAGAGCTTCCACTCTAGTGAAAGAATGTGAAAGTTATCAGTATTCAGATGGAGTTTAAAGCCAATAGGCAGTATTTTGAGTGATGCTATAGAGTGCAAATTTGTCAAGATAGCATGGAAGCCCATGGTTTTATTTATTTTTTTGAGACAGGGTCTCACTCTGTTGCCTAGGCAGGAGTGCAGTGGCATGCTCACAGCAACCTCCGCCTCCCGGGTTGAAGCGATTCTCCTGCCTCCGCCTCCTGAGTAGCAGGGATTACAGGTGCACTCTACCACGCCTGGCTAATTTTTGTTATTTTAGGTTTCGTCATGCTGCAGGCTGGTCTCAAACTCGTGAACTTAGGCGATCTGCCCGCCTCAGCCTCCCACAGTGCTGGGATTACAGGCATGAGCCACCGCGCCAGGCTGAAGTCCATGATTTTAAAAACTATTTAGTAAATTTTCATTTTGTAGCTCAGTTTTGTTAGCTATGGTTTTATAAATACCCTGATAATTACATTTGGTAGCAAATTAGACACAGTGTATTAAAGATTGATGAGACAAATATGTTAAAGATAAAAATTAATTCAAGAGCACAGATATGCTATGCATACTACTAAAATAAATACAGTGATTTATAAATGAGAAAAAGTTAACAATGAACAGTGTTTCAGAAGTTGAAAAGGTGACACTAACAGTGCTAAATACACAGGCTTTTATTTGTTTTCTTCAGATTGCTTTTTCGTGAATATAAAGATGAGGAGTCCATTCTGCAACCTAAAAATATTTACTTATTAAAACTATATTAATACTTTAATAAACTATACAAAAAGGTAATGAGACAAACATCTGCATTTATGGAACTGCATGTCAGTCAGGCCAGTTCCCTGCAGAGGGAATTCCCAGCATGACCTCATTCATCTGTGAGGACACAGAGCAGTCCTTGTTTAGACATACACATTCATCTACTGCTCATCATGGTCAGCCTTCCACTTCTTGATGGTTTCCTTCTGCTATGAATGCGCATGTCCGGTTGTCTGCTTCTTAGAGCAGACATTTACCTGAAAGAAAATGTTACAATAATTAGTTACTGGTTATTAATTTGGATCTGTGTGAAAACCTCAACATATTACATGTTATAAAATCTTTCTCAAAAGACATTTTGATAACAAGGCCAGTGAATTTTTCAAGGGTTAAGATAACAAATATATTTCCAAATAATGTCTGAGTAATTATAAGCTGCTGGGCAACTTCTTAAAGAAAACATTACTACAGAAGTGTTTTCAAAACAAAATCCTACAAAAGAATTTCAGATCTGAAGTTACCTTCCTCATCCACCAGCCATTGGAGGGGGACTAGGGCCACGCAGATGATTGATTCTACCCATTCTTCGGGGAGGGTTTCCTGGTGGCCTAATAAAATAAAAAGTTAGTATCTACTGTTTGATAGACACAACTTGAATTGTCTCCTTTTAAAAGCACTCAACTAGACCCTTTTCTTTTTCAGCACCCACATGACCCTAAAACACAATTTAAAATAGAAACTACCATTTTAGGTCAGGAGGCAAAAATTAAAACACTTAAAGGGACCAGACACATAATGCACACAAGGAACTGAGTCAAGAAAGGACTGTGATGAACTGAATAGCACCTCCAGTAATGCCCCACTGAAACCCAGCTCCAGCTGATTTTTGCCAGGTAGAAACATAAGCCTAGCCCAGTGCTACTTGATCTTGATCTTTACGGCTTTTTTTTTGAGATGGAGTCCCACTCTGTCTCCAGGCTGGAGTGCAGTGGCACGATCTCAGCTCACTGCAACCTCTACCTCCTGGGTTCAAACAATTCTCCTGCCTCAGCCTCCTGAGTAGCTGGGACTACAGGCGCATACCACCACACCCAGCTAATTTTTGTATTTTAGTAGAGACGGGGTTTCATCATGTTGGTCAGGATGGTCTCGATCTCTTGACCTCGTGATCCACCCGCCTCAGCCTCCCAAAGTGCTGGGATTACAGGCTCAAGCCACCGTGCCTGGCGATCTTCTAAGTTTTTAATTAGCAACTAGAAATCCAGATGTTAAAATGAAATCTTTAGATTTTAATGGTGGCCATCAGTTTTCACCCTCTAATTTAGACTTTTTCCATGGGATATTTCATGTATATTTTAGCTTTGTCAGATTAACTGATTATTATCAAATCAGAAGCAATTTGACTTTTAATTTACAGTAATGCATTAATTTTGTAAAATAGGATTTAAACTTTTAATTTCCAAAAGTCTAACTCTATCTACCTAAAATATCTAATAAAGGTATACAAAGACATAAAAACAACTATTATCAATTTAAAAAGCTGTACCCTCTTCCATCATCATATCTGGAATCAGATGAGTTTCCATAGCTTCTTCTTTTTTTCACATCTTGCTGAAGCAGAGTTTTGAAACTGAAACAAGGGGCAGAAAACAACAAAGGTATCACTTTTGACAACATTCTAAAATATATTTCCATGTTTTTTAACCATCATCTCTGTGAGAGGATTACTAAACCCACTTAGCTCCTAACCCACATTTCTTGCAGCCAGCTGGACACCACCATCTAACTTAAGCATGTGTCTAAACTGAATGTGCTATGTTGTACACCAAATCTACCCTTCCTTGTATTTCTTATTTGCTAATAACTCCCCTAGACAGAGCATGAAACCAGAGTCATCCCTGACCTCCACTTTAAATCAGCCATCGGGTTTTTACAGTGTCTCATGCTCATTTCCCCTGCAAAAGTCTACCTAACATCTTAGGGAAGGAGGGGCCAAGGGTGGTGTGGCAAAGGCACAGGGCTTCTGGGAATCCATTGAAATGGAATTTTTAAAAATGATATGTAAAATTATATGGAAGGATTTAACTGAGTTTAAAAAGTACTTTTATAAACAACATGGAGTAGGTGAAATTTGTAAAAGAGTTAAGTTTTGGATTGGGTAACTTAGGGCCTCTCTTGTGCCCTGTTGTATTTTTCTATGAAACCATCTCTTCCATTTTACATTCTACACCATCTAGTTTATGCTATATATAGCCATAAAATTAAACTTTCTAAACCACAGCTAAGATCAAATTAAGCATAAAGACCACAGCCTGATACTCAAACTTCTATGCCATCCTTCATGTGGTTTCCTTTATCTGGGATAACTTCCTCTGATGTTCACCTCCCAGTCATGCCCACCCTTGCAATATGAAGATATTTACTGACAGTAAACTCAATGAAAAAAGGGTCTCCCACATCTTTGCATCCCTACAGTTCCCTGATCATGAGACACTCAAATATATATTCAAATTTAGGAATAGGTAAGACTTCTTAATTATTGATGAACAATTCTAACAAACAGCATGTAAAAGACCAAAACATGCATTTAACTAGTAACTGCTTACAATTATGAAGACATTTAAATTTTTGTCTCCTTTACCAATTCTAACCCTTCATTATAAAAAAGTTTACTTCTTTGGAATTTTTTTTAAACCAGGATATAAAACCTTTTATTTACTTGTTATATAATATGGAATGAAAGTTGCATGCACAAAGAAAAAAACAAAACAAGAATAGTAGAGAGAAAGTGAGGTCCAGTCATTTAGCATCAGAATTGACGGACCCAGCCATAGGTTGAAGTAGTTACCACCAAGGTTAAGATGTGGTCAAGTTTACCAATCCAACTAACATATACTCATAATCATAAGCTATCTGGTGGTAGCAACTTTATCACTAACATCTATTTCCCTGTGTAAAGCTATTTTTTAAATTGCAATAGAAAACTGTTTCAGGAAAGTTGAGCTTATTTAAGATCCCTAACATAATGCACATGATGTATACCTGTCAACTTAAATATCAGGGCAATTAAGAGCTCTTCTATACTTACAACAAAACCACAAACTCAGCTATTCCCCAGAAGAAATCTGTTATCAAAGATAATCTCCATGGAGACTGACTCCGGCTGTCCAACACTTGTCCTACAGATAAGAATTAAAGAAACTTTAGTGAGTGCTACAAATCCCTAACCCAAGAGGCATCACATTTAATTATTGAGGTAACAATGATTGGGGTTTTAACTTGCCCATTATTCCAAATGGCCAACACCAGAAGAAATCTGTGAGCATCATTCCAAGGAAAGGTTCGGAGAAGTAATGTTCCATTATCTAGGGACATTCCTCCAGTATGTCAAAAGCCTACTGGTTTATAAACTTGGTGGGTGACTTCATTCTATTCAACTACTTTCTCTCTTTCTATAAATATATAACAAAGGCTGGGCGCGGTGGCTCATGCCTGTAATCCCAGCACTTTGGGAGGCCGAGGCAGGCGGATCATGAGGTCAGGAGATTGAGACCATCCTGGCTAACACGGTGAAACCCCGTCTCTACTAAAAACTACAAAAAATTAGCTAGGCATGGTGGCACACACCTGTAGTCCCAGCTACTCAGGAGGCTGAGGCAGGAGAATTGCTTGAACCCAGGAAGCAGAGGTTGCAGTGAGCCCAGATGGCGCCACTGCACTCCAGCCTGGGCGACAGAGCAAGAAAAAAAAAACAAAAAACAACAAAAAAACACATATATATAAAACAAAAATTTATCATGGTTTAAAAATGTAACAATGGTTACCAATGGTTAACCATTTTAAAGAGTACAGTTCTGTGATATTAAGTACATTCTACATTGATGCACAACCATCACCACCATCCACCTCTAGAAGTTTTTCATCTTCTCCAGCTGAAACTCTATACCCATTAAACCCTGATTCCCATTACCTTCTCCGCCCAGCCCCTGGCAACCACCATTCTACTTTCTGTCCCGACAAATTTGACTACTCTAGGAACCTCATAAAAGAAGAATAATACAATTTCTATCCTTTAGTGACCAGCTTTTCACTTGGCATGTCTTCAAAGTTCATCCATGTTGCAGTATGTGTCAAAATCTCCTTCCTGAAGGTTGAATAATATATCCTTGTATGTATATACTACATTTTGTTTACCCACTCATATCTGTTGATGGACACTTGAGTTGCTTCCACCTTCTGACTACTGTGAATAATGCTGCTATCAACATGGGTGTAAAAATACCTCTTTATTCAAGTACTTTGAAGAAACAAATGGGACGGGTGAATATAAAGGAATGCTCACACCACTTCCATATTCCTAAACATGCTGAGTATTTCTTTTCATTTGCAAAGTCTCTTGCCTGTATAAAAAGATTGCGTATTCATACTCTTACAAGTCTTTGGAATCAGTTATTTTTATAAAATTCTTATAAAGAGTGTGTATGCTCTAAGTACTAAAGAGAATTTGGCTTGTTCTTCATTAAAATAACTACTGTTTTCTATAACAGCATACTCTTAATTCTAATAGACTCTAGCTTTATCTTAAGCAAAACTGGATCTATTTTTCAAACCACTTTAATAGAAGCTACAACATAAGTTGGTACACTATATTTCAGCCTTGCAAATCAAGATGTCAGAATATTTTCGGGGAAGAGTAACTGTCAACTACCTCTCCTTTCCATTATCCCAAGAGTTAACCCCACTCACCTCTACCCACTCCATGAGGGTTTACTTTTCCTCTTTTCTTGACCAGCTTAATTTCAGATACCCACTTGGATCTAAGCTCTCACTGTGCTACTGAGAGCAAGGGGCTACAAAAGTTTAGAGGGTGGGTGACAGGCTTAGTTCTCTGCCTCTTACTAGCTCTGCTTCGTTGGCTGATGTGACATTTTCTTTCTCCAACAAAAAGTATTCCAGGGCTAGCCATCACATAAGATTTTTGGAAAAAAAAAAGTCATCTGACAGCAAGAGAAAGATTTTGTCAAGTGCTGATAATACAGTCCTAAGAAGGTGGATCTAATTGGAACCTGTCATTTCTTCCTCTGTGATTCTATCTTGCTTTTCCACTTTCCCTTTCTTAAGGCAGAATGTCCCTTCCACCAATATCCCCAGAGAGAAGTAAGGTGTTTGAATGCAGTTGTGTTTCTCAACTTTTAAAGTACGATAAAGAGTCCTAATCGGCTACTTATGTGGACCAAATGAAATAATGCGAACACAGTAAGACACAACAAATACAAGGAATTATTCAATAATTCATACAGAAGCTTCCAGCCTTAAGCTTATATCACAAAGGCTATAAAACAGGCTATAAAACAGACTAAAGTCTGAAAGCGCCCAAAACTAAGATGAAATTTTGATGCTTTTCTGTAGTGTCCATCAATCTACTTGTTTCAAAGATTTTTAAGTGGGAGATGAGAAGGGGAGATTTTTAAAAGTCAAGAAATGCAAAAGTGCAGTCAGCCAGAAGGCTCCTCACTGACTACCTTACTCGTCTCTGGAGAAAAACAGATGACTCAAATAGAACCAAGACCTAGTTCCAATGATCCACAACTCCTTGTTAAGACTGTACCAAAGAATTTCACCTGAGTCAAACAGGTGGGCAGGCAGCTCTAGCACTGATCTGACACAGTCATGTCCTTCCTTTCCGGTCATCTTCTTTGTGGGTTCGCAGAATTAAGTCTCTCGGATTCTCCATTCCGGTAATAATTAACTTGCTCCTAGGGGAAGATAGTACTTCTTCCCATGCCCCTTGAAATTCGAGCAAAAAATTCCATGTTTGACTAGCTACCCTTTCCTGGGGAAAAAGCCTATGCAAAGCTTTCATCTAATTATCATCCTAGGTCGGCTCGGTCTTTTTACACGTTGTAGACAGAGGCAGCATAACAGATAACAAGGACGCTGACGTCAGCCTACCTGTGATCGAATCCCGACTCAGCCATTAAGTTACCTCTGTGACTTAAATAGCCCAGGCAAGCTATTTAATCTATCTGAGCCTCAGAGTTTCCACCCGTAAAACAGGATTGAATGTGACGATAAGCAAATAACTGAAACACTGTCCAGGGCACAAGCGCTACGTGTACAGCGTCGGCATCATTGTCCTTACTAGTTTTAAGGATACCGACACCCGAGAGAGGAAAGACCACCCTCGCAAATCCACAATCAAGCGCTTGCTGCACGAAGGCGGGGTTGCAGGGCTCCCAGTACTCAACGTGAGGCCGGCGGGACCTCGGCCCCCGACTGCCGGCTCAGAGACCATCGGCTGACGCGCCGCAAGCCGAGGCGACTTCGGTCCAGCTCCGCCCGGCCGCGGGGCGCTAAGCCCGGGGAAGCCGCACCGGGCTCAAGACTCAGCGAGCGACGATGAAAGGAACCTGGAGTCCGATCTTACAAGTCACCGGTCGAAGCCACAGCCCGCTCTCAACTTACCGTTCGAGATGTAAACCATCTTGTCCCACTTCCCCGCTTCGGAGCCACCGGGCGCCTGGCCCCTGTCGGTTTCTGTATCTCCCTCTGCTCCCCGCCCTTCGAGCGTCACAGGCCGCGATTAGACAAAATGCTGACGAGGACGAAGGTGGGCAGAGCCCATTGGCTGCTGAAAGAGACGCGCCCCCGACGGGCGTTTTTGCATCGTCACATCTGCGACTTCTGGTTAGGCGGAGGCGGCCGAGCTGACAACCGGATATGACGTTAAGGACTGCCCTGTAGTGCCCGCGGTTGCCAGTCCTCTATCCGACTTGATCGTGCAGAGTTGGTTCGCACCGCCCAGTGAGGGGAAGCTGTTTTCTCGTCGATTGATAGGCTCCGGGTCTGGGTAGGAGAGGCTGCCCTGTATGAGGTAGCTTGAAGGGCCGCTGACAGGAGGAAACGCTTCCGAATTTTCCAGACGTGTTGACGTTTGAGGGTGCTGACTACACGTTAAGGAACTTTATTGTCACGCCTTTGGGAATATACTGCCAGGCTCTTCCTAGATATATTCATTCTCTTTAAAATGAGCATGTCTACCTGGGTTCACCAGAAACTAAGTTTTTCTTAGCCTTTTGTGAGGCAACTGAAAAATAAATTGAACTGTAGGCCCTTTCTCTGCTTGTTTCTTATTGATGGCGACTGCTTATGACCACTTTGGTGACAGACGAATTAGAAGACATGTCTTGGACATTCAGTAAATGTGGACCACATACCATGGATATTTACTCTGCTACAGCCAGTGGGCTGCCTCTGTTCCTTGAACGTGGCCATTTCATTCCCTTCTCAAGGCCTCTGCACTTAGCTATTCTTTCAGCGTGGAGACCTAATGGCTGCTTCCTTTGACTTCCCGCCCCCAGTTCTCAAGCCATGTGTCATCTCTTTGGAAAGATTCCTAATCACCTTCCAGAAAATGAAAATTACATGCTGAAAATCTATTTTGAGTTTAACAACTTTGGTTAAGATTTTATGTTCTAATACTTAGAACTGACAAAGATCTAATTTTATGTTGATTTTGGAGAGAGCATTTTCCCCAGAAAAGTTCATAATAGGACAAGACAACATCCTTCACCTCATTTGGGATTTGTGCAGCACAATCATAAAGGATCATTTCTGCAAAAATATTAGGGCAGGGCCGTTAATTTTCCCAAGGGCCTTTCTTAATCTAGACCATGCCACCATCATCTCTCACCTGCTCTACGCTAGTTTCCTTCTAAATGAAATCTCAGGTTCAGTCTTTTACCATCCTTAGGCAGTTTTACAAACTGTAGCAAGATCGATCTTAAAACGGAGATCATCTCGTTCCCTTGCCTAAAACCTTTTGGACACTAAAATTTAGTGACTTCCTATTGCTCTTAAAATCCAGTTCCTTGTCATGGCCTGCAGGCCCAAGGTGACTTGTCCTCTTGATTGCTCCTCTCACTGTACTTCCAGCCACATCTCCCCACCCAGATTATGCTCTGGCAACATTGTTGTTTTAGTTTATGAACACCCCCACCCAGATTATGCTCTGGCAACATTGTTGTTTTAGTTTGTGAACACCCCGGGTTTTACTGATACCTCCAGGACTCTGCCCATACTTGTCCCTCTACCTGGAACCCTCTTCCTCGGACTCCTTGCACATCCAGCTCATTTTATCCTTTAGCCCTCTGCTTAGTTGTCACCACTTCTGGGTGCCCTTCCCTGGCCACTCATCTCCGTGTTTATTTTCTTCATAGTAATTCACATTGTGAAACTGTCTGATAATTGATTTGTCTCTTGTCTTCAAGAAAATATAAGACGTAAGAGGTCAGGAATCCTGTCTGCCTTATTGTCTTTTATATCTTCAAGGTCTGTCATAGTTCTTGGCAAGTAGTAGGTGCTCAGATATTTGTTGGTTGGTTGAATGAGATTTTTTTAGACAATTTTTTGACAATTGCTTAAAATCTCTCCAATTGCCAAAAGAGGAAAGAAACTAACATTGGGATCTCCTGAGTATCGGACATTGTGAGGCTATCTCTTCCTTTCCATTCCTTTATCTAGATCATTTTTGCCTGAGATTTAATGCAGTGATTTCCTAATGAGCTACCTCTAGTTTCTCCGTACTCCATTTCATGCTATCTTCACCTGTTAGTTTAATCCAATCTTGCCTCTCCCATTCACAGACCTTCCGTTTCTTCCCACCACCTGACAAACATAATTCAGCCTCCCTGGTCTGGCATTAAGGGCTTTCCTGATACATCTTAGATTTTGCTCTCTGATTTCTACTTCCCTAGTAGACCCTTTGTTTTCCTGCCTTGTTGCCTCTGCTCATGTGTTTCCTCTTGAAAGGAACTTTCTCCACCTGCTAAAATCTAATCAATCCTTCAAGGCAAGGCATGTTCCTCTCGAATAACAAAGGTGAAAGGACTTTGAAAATTGAAAAAAATTATATAGTTAGTTACAATTATAGTTAGTTACAATTATATAGTTAGTGGTAGAGGACAAAGATAGCATTTCCCCTCTTTCCCTAACCTTTAATGTCTGAAACTAAGCATTAGCCACTAGCCACATGTAGCTGTTGAATATTTGAAATGTGGCTAGTCTGAATTGAAATGTACTGTACAAAATACCAGATCACAAAGATTTAGAATGAAATGAAGACTGTAAAATATCTTGTTTTTAATATTGATATGTTGAAATGATATTTTGGAGATTAAAGAACATATGTTACTAAAAGTAATTTTATTTGTTAATTTCATTTATTTTTATGTGACTACTAGAAAATTTAAAATTACATACTTGGCTCACATACATGGTTTACATTACATTTCTGTTGGATACTGCTTGTCTAGAATGAAGACATTGGCCTGGCAAAGAAGAGGTATTCAATAAATACTTGTTGAGTGAATGAAAGAATTGGTAGTTTTAATAATGGATAATATGTATACAGGGTTACTATGTGTCAGGCACTGTTCTAAACACTTTCCATTTATTCATTTAATCCTCATAACAACGACGATAATAATAGCTAACATTTGTATAGTGCTTACCCTGTGCCAGGGAACGTTCTGATTGCTTTTCATGTATTCATTCATTTAAACTTCAACCCTACTGAGTTCTGTTATTCCCATTTTACAGATGAGGAAACTGAGAGAGAGCTCAAGTGTCTTGCCCAAGATCACACAGTTAATAAGAAGCAGAATTGAGGTTAAGATCAAGAGCCAGGCTCTATAGTTTGTGCTCTTAACCCCTGTGCTATGCTGCATCTCCACACATAACAGAAGTATTGAAATAGTGTACAATCCACCACGGTATTTGTAGTATAGAATGAGAGGTGATTTCTGGAGACTGTTTGACTGTATCTCAGCTTTCTCAAAGTTGCAAAATAGCTGCCCAGTTTTTCTTTTCTAGATTCCCCAGCAAAATTCCCTGAGCATCTCTAAGTGGATGACCTTCATATCTCTGCACTAAACCCTTGGCCAGTGGGATGGGCCATTCTGAATGACAGCTACCTCTGGAGCTGGAGCTTGACTCAATCCCACTTAAGCTAGAGGGCTTGAGAGTTGGAGAGGGGTGGTGGTTACCACGAGATAATGAAGGAACACTGGGTTACATAGAAACAATAAGATGTCCTCAATATTACTGTTAGGAAACATGAAAACAGATGGCATTTATATTCTTTATTGACCTTTTATGTGTTTGTTCTTAGAGTTATTGCCTTTGCATTCTTTATTTCATCTGGACTCAGAATCCTTAACTCTTTAATTGCCTCATTTTTCTACCTTATACTCTTTATTGTTGCTATTCACAGCAACTTTTTCTTTTTAATTTTCAATTTTTGTAAAACTGTGTAGCCAGACTGGACCTGCTGTGCAAATCAGCAATTTTTGAACCAGTAATCACCTCATCACTTCAGCTGAAGTGATGGTTGTACAACTCTACAAGTCACTTTCTTAAACTACCTGAACTTATTTTCTGTATCAAAATGAGAAAATGTTTATAAAAATTCACATTGCAGTCATCCTTGGAGAATTTGATTGGCTTAAAAGTTTAAAAATTTCCTCTGTAGTCTCTAAAGTATTTCACTGAGTTAATTACATTATCAGTTTCACTAGTGAGCCTGTATGATTATATATATATATATGTATATGTACACACACACACACACACACACACACACACACACACACACACACATAGCCTATTTTTAAATGAATAAGGAATATCTAGACTCAACCTGTGGTTCTATTACAGGATGAAAAATACTATTCCAATGATAATTTCTTACTTTTTAACTCATAATCCATTTTTGGCAACCCTGGTAACTGTAATGTAAACCATTATAGTGGTAGATGGAATGGAATACTGGTCCAGAATTTTAAAGTTAAACCATCAGAGATTTAGGTGTTAGTTGCCTTCTAGGGGCATTGACTGATCACTAAAAGCAAATTTTTAATATTTTTAGAATTGTATTCCATAGTACCAAAATATGTGTTACTTTCTAAGCCCTATCTTTAGATTCCTAAATATGGAGTATACAAAGTATAACAGTATGTGCATTTTATTATTATAGATCTCAAGATAACATCAGCCTTTAGATTTTGAAAAAATAGAGTATAGATATGTGCCATGTGACATTAAGGAATGTGTAATTTATTATTCTTATTCACTAACTGGTTTGGTGCATATTATTGATGATTCTTGAATCTTCCTTTGTTTGAATGTGGTACCTGTACATAATATTAAAATCAAAAGATGCAAAGGGATATCCCATGAAGAGCAAGTCTCCTTTCTTCTCCTGTAACCCAGGATTCTCAGTGTTGATTCCCTGGCTTAGTGATACTGTCATAAGCACTGCTTGGCAAATTCCTCTTGGGCAATAGAAGCCTTGATGACAGATTCACCTCTCTGAATTTCCATCTTCTGAATCTTGGCCAAGCAATTCCTCACTCATTTTTAGCTCTTTTAATGCCTTTAAAATGTTATTTTTTTCTCATTATTTTGTCTAGGTTTTTTTTTTTTTTTTTTTTTTTTTAGTTTTCCTGAGGAGGAAAGTTAGTACAAATTACTTAATCTTTCACGGCAGAAGTGGAAGTTCATACATGTATTTAATCAAATCAACATGACAATTTAGGTCTTAGATTAAATGCTGTTTTGCTTTTAACTGTAAAAATTCTGTTATTTATGTACAAATTTTCCAGAACAATTGCTGTTTTCCTGGTATTGTCAAAACACATTATTACTTATAAACAGGAAGAATCATTACTAGTAATCCGAAATGTGTGAATGATTTAAAAACATTTATTTTGCCAATAAACATCCCACTTTTAATCTTTCCAAAACCAAACAGATGAATAAAACGTTGATTTGGCTTGACACTTTCTGTCCTTTTAATGGAAGGTTCAATGAAAATAGTTTTATTTTATAGTCTCTTAGGGAAGAGTTCTTTCTTTATGGCCCAGTGATTACTGTTTGTGGGAAAAATTGTTAGTTAGGCTTGAGAGGATGCTATTAGGGAGGTTGCTGTGACCTCAGCTGGTGGCTAGGGAAGCTGTTGCTAATAGTTCAAGAGCACTTTATTTTTCTTACTAATTGTATAACACCAGCAGCTTGGATAATATTACCCAAGGTCAAATATGGATCTCAAAAAATCATCTTTCACAATTATCAGTAATTCACGTCTTCGCTGTGAAACTGTAACTTGTTTTTGATGGGAAGTATGAAACAGAGCCTCTGAAAATGGAACCTGGCAACTGAAGACGTGTTGCTTGATATTATTTTTTCATTCCTTTTGAATGTATTTAGCTACTCCTTAGTGGCACCCAGTCTTTTCAGATTGAGATGTTTCACAAGTATGGTGGAGACCATATGTGCAGAAAAGTGGAGAAGCAAGTAGAAATGGATATACAGCCACCCTGGGTGCTGACCTGTTCCTGCACTGGACTCAGCTGGCTAGCAAGGGTGGGGAGCAGATGTAGGGGATGCAAACAGGGCTAGGACACGACAGAGAGCCATCGCTTAGGCTTACTGCTGCAGCAGCAGTGGCAGCATGAGCAGTTCACACCCAGATTTAGTAGGCTAACTGGGTACTCAGGAGCTCAGTGTTGGGACTGTTACCACATGGGAAAGCCACCCAGAATATAACTCTAGTCATTTCAACAGAGTTACTGTTTTTAGAAGCGTAAAATTCCAAAGAAACCCTACTAAATTACATTTTCCATCATAAGTCTTAAAAAAAGTTCATATCCTTAACCCAGCATTTCCATTTCTAGAATTTATTCTGAAGAAACAATGAGATGTTCAAACAGATTTATGTGAAAGGATATTTATCACAGTGTTATTTGGAATGAAAAAGAATGGAAGCCATGTAACTGTGCAACAATGGGGAACTGGCTAAGTGTTGGAATACAACATCATACTGTACATTAAAATAATGAGAAACCATGATATATTAAGTGAAAAACCAGATTACAAGACAATATGTTCACTATGATATCAATGTAAAAAAGAAATGTATTTATATGGAAATATACTAATATGACATTATGGGAGCTGTAATTTTTTTCTTTCCCTTAAGCTTTTCTATAGTTTCCAAATTTTCTACAATAAACATGCATTCCTCTTATAACTATAAATAAATATCAATACTTTCTAAAAGTTGGGCCAGGCATGGTGACTCACACCTGTAATCCCAGCACTTTGGGAGGCTGAGGCAGGTGGATCACCCGAGGTCAGGAGTTGGAGACCAGCCTGGCCAAACATGACGAAACCCTATCTCTTCTAAAAATACAAAAAAATTAGCTGGGCATGGTGGCACGTGCCTATAGTCCCAGCTACTCAGGAGGCTGAGGCAGGAGGATCGCTTGAACCCAGGAGGCAGAGGTTGCAGGGAGCTGAGATCACGCCACTGCACTTCAGCCTAGGCAACAGAGTAAGACTCTGTCTCCAAAAAAAAAAAAAAAAAAAAAAAAGTTATACTTGTTAGAAATGCGGTTTATTTCTAGTTTAATGGTTTGCATAATTCTTTTAAAAATTTAAAAGTTTTTTTCTTGATATGATAGAAATGATAGAAAATTAACTACTCGGGTAGTTGTTAACTTTTGCCAATTTTATTTCATAAGATTATCATCAGCTCTGCCTAATTGTGTGTGTATGTATATATATATATACCTAATTGTATACTAATTGTAATTAGGTATATATATATATATACCTAATTGTGTGTGTATGTGTGTATATATATATATATATACCTAATTGTATACTAATTGTAATTAGGTATATATATATATATACCTAATTGTGTGTGTGTGTGTATATATATATATATATACCTAATTGTGTATATATATATATCTAATTGTGTGTGTGTGTGTGTATATATATATATATATATATATATATATATGCACCCCACTCAAGTGAATTAGTCAAGTCAATGTTTTTTTTTTTCTAAGTATGAATAGACTCTAGTAAGAAGCAAGGAAGCACAGTTTCAAATTCCTTGCTGGTTAGCTCAAAAAAGCCTTTGCTTCTGATTAAAGTGAAACATTATACATTCAAATTTTGTGAATGATCTATTGGTAAGGCTAGTAATTAAAAACATTCATTTTAAACACATGCTTTTTCTGAGTTCTAACATGTTATCATATTATTAATTTTTTTAAAAAAAAGAGTTTTTAGGTTTTTAGCCTTTCGTTTTGGTAGTAAACTGATTGTTGATAGATACTAGAATCATCTTACCAGTATTTTGACCATACTGAAAAAATGACCTGTGAATCAGAAAAATCTGTGGAATTTGATATTATGGCAAAAACCGTTAAATTCTGAAAACAAACAAACCCAGATGTTGCTTTGTGAGAGTTCTATCTGCATCCCTATAAAATAACTTAGAGGGTATAGTATAGTACACTGTGGCAACTGAGTCTTATTTTTAGGGAAAGAAATTAGAGTCCAAATCAATGATTTTTGCCCTCCAGCTGGAAGGCACTTTCTGGAAATAGGCAGGGAATCAATGCTGAAAATAAGTGATTTCTTTTAAGTACTCATACAGTAAAATACAAAACTTGAGCTGCCTTCTGTATGAGAGTGAACAAGGGCTGCAGAGACTCTGATTTTTCCTAAGCCTCTACAGGGTCAAGAGGATTTGGGAGGCTGCCCACGTGGTGCCTACCAAGCATGCTCTGGAATATCCTCTGTGAGCAGCTTGTTTTCTTTAACTCTCACTCCAAAATAAGTGGTATTTCAGCTTTAGGGATAAATAAACTGCTTTTGAAATCTAAAAGTAGAGAAGGAAATGGCCTCCTTTGACCATCTGAGTGATGTGAGGTGTACTTAAGAGCTTGCCTGGTTGTTATGCGATATAGGCCCAGGGAGTATGGCTGCAGATTCTCTGCCATTAAGAAATTTCATTCTCCACAAGAAGGAAGGGGATTGATAAATGCACAGATGACTAATATAAGACAGAAGAAGGTCAGGTGCCATAAGAGAATCCCACACAAAATGAGGAGGAAGGATAGCATGTGATACCTGGAGGGAATCAGAGAAGGATTCCTGAGAAATGACAGCTGAAGTATATCTTGTAAGATAAAGTTTTTATTTGTTTGTTTGTTTTAACCGGATTAAGAAGCTAGAAATGAAATGAAGGATTATAATGAGACTTCATCTGTCTTTCAGGAATCCTTTCACCTGAATTTTCAAATGATCACATACCTTAAACCTAATACGATTTATGATGGAATTAATTTGAATTGACTGATTTTTTAAAAGCATTCTATTTCCATAGCTTATATGAAAGAAAATTGTTTGTCATTGACTTAGATTTGTTGTGTACCTAATAAAGCCTAGCTGGTTCACTGTCACCCCAGAAATGTTCTAATTAGCATCAAGTCTTGCATAAGATATTTTCCTGTCACTTCTGAATGCCTTGTAGATGGGTGAAATGTTACCTCTTAAATCATTTTTGATCTTCAGATGTAAGTAATAGTTTACATTGGTTAAAGTCAGGCACACTTTTTTTTATTATTGTTCATTGTTATCTCCTATTGTCAACAAGCCTTGGAAGTGCAATAAAGCAGGAGTGGCATGCTTTGGTGCCTGTGAGGGCTAGGCAGCTGGGAACTATGGCAAATAGAGAGTGCCTTCCTTCTTTGCAGGGGACAGAAACTTTTCAGCTCTAGCCAGCTGTCACCATGAGGGATCGGGGGCCAGTGTAGCCAGAGTTTCCAATGGTTTTAAGAGAAATGTAAAATCTGGATGATTATCTGAAATTTCTCTATTTTTAAATGTTGGTAACTAATTCATATTTTCAAAAAACATGGTGCTGGTCAAATAAAACCTGCCTATAGGATATGAACAGTGCAACAGCCACCTGTTTGCAACCTTTACTTTAAGACATACTCACTAGAAATTACGAAAATTCCTCACAGGCCCAGGCATAAAGAAAGATAACATTACAAACAATACCCCTAAACCTTTTATTATGGAATATTTCAAACACTGAAAATAAGAAAATAAACATAATTTAAAAGCTATTGGATCTCCCAAAAAACCCTTTAAGGACTGAGATACATATGACTGTGATCTGAGTCACATATGGTTCCAACTTGTTTTTCAGATTATAGACTAACTTGCTTTCTTAATTTTCTTGTTCAGTACAATGACTAGAAAGAATTAAACCAAGTCAAGGACAAAAACTTCTTGCCTTCTTAATTAATGACCCTTATGATAGATTAACTTCTTCCTCTTTGTTGTCCTGCTTTGCTTAGATCAGGTGACAGAAAACCCATGACTATTACATTCTGTAAAAAGTGTTAAATGTACCCTTCCCAAAAAGAAACATTCCCTATAACCAATCAAATTGCTGTAACTATGTGCCAGTCTTGTATGAAAAATGTTGTAATCCTGCTAAAAATTCCTCTGTCTCTGCCTGTATAACTGACACCTTAACTTCCCTACTTCAGAACACTGACTCCATTCCTTTGGAGTTGGTGTTTTCAGGTGGGCCATCCTCACGCTTTGCACTCTCCGTAAATTAGATTCTGACCATTTTGATTCTTTTAGGTTGACAAAAGCTAGAATATTATAATGAACCCCTTTGTACATACCAACCAGTTTAGACAATTATCAACTCATAGCTAGTCTTGTTTCATCCCACCCACTTCCCCCATTTACTCAGATTATTTTTAAGCAAATCCTAGATGTCATATAGTTTCATCTGTAAATATTTCAGCATGCATCTCTAAAACACAAGGACTCCTTAAAATATATAATTGCTATGCTACTTTCCCACCAACAAAAATTAACAATAATTTCTTAATGTCATTAAATATTCAATGTTCCAAAACCCCCTGCTAATTATCACAATTTTTTTCCATTTTCATTTGTCTAATAAGTATCAAAATACATTGCAGTGGTTGAAATGTCTTGATAAATCCCTTGTCATGTGTGAATGACCATGTTACTGGAAAGGGGACCTGATCCAGACCTGAAGAGAGTGTTCTTGGATCTCGTGCAAGAAAGAATTTGGAACAAGTCCACAGTGCAACATGAAAGCAAGTTTGTTAAGAAAATAAAGTGGTGAAAGAATAGCTACTCCATAGACAGAGTAGGGCATTTCTGAAAGAGGAGAAAAGCACCCACCTTGTTTATATATAGGATATATATATAAATGCTTGTTTATATATAGGATATATATATAAATGCTTGTTTATATATAGGATATATATATAAATGCTTGTTTATATATAGGATATATATATAAATGCTTGTTTATATATAGGATATATATATAAATGCTTGTTTATATATAGGATACATATATAAATGCTTGTTTATATATAGGATATATATATAAATGCTTGTTTATATATAGGATAACAACAACAACAACAAAATCATGGGGAGATGCACTCTACTACAAGGGTTTGTGATAAAGGATTAATTTTCTTAATTACTATATTTTTCAAGAATCGATATTATTAAAGCAAAATTAGGAATGCTTCTGTGCTAGAGATAACGGGATGTTAGGACCATTCCTGAGTCTGGGTCTGTTTAGTAAACGTTATCAATCTGTTTCCTTAACCGTAAACATCTAGAGGCTAGGAATACCTAACTTCCGGGGAATGCAGCCCAACAAGTCTTAGCCTCATTTTTTCTAGCCCTCACTCAAGATGAAGTCACTCTGGTTCAAATGAATGCTTCTGACAACCATGTATTTTAATAAAAATAAAAATTTCTAATAAAGAAGAGAAAACTAACAAACTTCTGTCCATAGGAGGAAACCCAGTGTTCTGATGATTTGGTGACTAGTGTGATATGTTTTCCAGGAACTAGGTAAGTACCAAATATCATGTAGATACTGACTCCATTACCCTATTATCTGAGTACTCTGAGTACTCTTCTTTTTTTTTTTTTTTTTTTTTTTTTTGAGACGGAGTCTCGCTCTGTTGCCCAGGCTGGAGTGCAGTGGCACAATCTCAGCTCACCGCATGCTCCACCTCTCAGGTTCATGCCATTTTCCTGCCTCAGCCTCCTGAGTAGCTGGGACTACAGGTGCCTGCCACCACACCCAGCTAATTTTTTGTATTTTTTTTTTTTTTTAGTAGAGACAGGGTTTCACCATGTTAGCCAGGATGGTCTCGATCTCCTGACCTCGTGATCCGCCCGCCTTGGCCTCCCAAAGTGCTGGGGTTACAGGCATGAGCCACTGCACCCAGCCTATCTGAGTACTCTTTAAGGAGTAATATTTTTCAAGTAAAAAAATCATAAAAATGATACATTAGGAAGACATCAGCAAAAATGATGGAGTAAGAATCTCCAAAAATTATCTTCTGTATAAAAACAATGAGCAAATTTGCAAAAATGGTCTCAATCAATTTTTTTAGAACTGTGAAATTAACCAAAGGCTTGCAGCAATCAGGAGTGTTCTCGGACCAAACTGAAGGTCAGGCTGCTATTTCTTGTGGCCCAATAACGAGATGCAGATGAACTGGGGGAGGAAGAGAGTTTTTATTTCTGCAACTGGTTATAGGGAGAAGGCCTGGAAATTATCACCAGACCAACCCAAAATTACAAAGTTTTCCAGAGCTTATATACCTCCTAAGCTATATGTCTATGTGTAAGTGTGCATTCATCTAAAGACTTAAGTGATTAACTTTTTTAACATATAACTAAGGTCTAAGTCCTGAATACCTTCCTCTGGAGCCTCAGTAAATTTACTTAATCTAAATGGGTCCAGGTACTGGAGTGATTACCCTTATCTTGTCTCCTGCTAAATCATGGAAGTTTGGGGATTCCTTCAGACCCCCAATAAACTTGTTTGTGGAGGCCTGGGCAGTTTCTTCAGACCCCCAATAAAACTTGTTCTTAAATGGGTCCTGTTAAGAATTCCTTTGTTATTTTGTTATGCTTTAAGGCCCAGGAAAGGTCTAGGCAAAACTCTTGATGGGCTTTTGTTACATCCCAGCCTTTGTATAAGGGCACTAGCTTTTAATATTTAACTTAACCACTCAGTACTGAAACAGTTGTTATGGAGGCCTGCATTAGTGAGACCTGGCCTACCACAAGGAGAGCATTAATTCTAAAAAGATGGCTGAATCGGGTAAAAATAGCAATCATGGTGCCATTTTCATTTGCCCTATTCCCATTCCCCCTTCTTCATTTCTGCAGAAGCTTTGAAAACCATCAGCCCTTAGTCATACAAACCAGCAGCCTGGCAGTCAATAAAAGAGCAGAAGGGGGTTGGTGAACTATTAAAGCCCCCTTCACAGAGAATTGTCATTATTTTACCTGTCTGAAGAGTCCCTGGAAGTTTCTATTTGCATGGCTTTTTTAAAATCTGAATCAGGAACTCAAGTGTAGAAAAATACTTATCACAGGGGCATTTGTTGAAAACAATTAAAAGCAATTGATTGACTTTGTGACTGCCTCAGGCAGTCAGTAACAGTTGGGGTAGACAATAGGCTAAACAGAAAGCTTAAAAGGAAAACTGGGCAATGAGATATCCACAGGGCCTTTGAAAAGCCCTGACATATTCTTAGGAATCTACAAGGCCACCTGCATGAATAGGGCTGTGTACATGCTGAAGAAAAACTTGATATTACTTCTAGATGGTGAGATTAAAAAAATAATAAGCAAACTGAGTAGGTCCCAAGCTCTCACATCTGGCCAGTTTTGAGATGGAACAAGCAGGAAGTGAAGGATAAGGCAGAATTGCCAATTACCCAATTGAATGTTGAAGGCATGCCCCAACACACACCCAGATCCCTTCTGCAAAAAGTGGCAGACTTATTGGTTCCAGAGCTTTAAATCTCTGTCTAGTCATTAGCTGACTACTAAGCTAACTGAGCAGAGACATCAGTAGCTATATATGACAAAGAATACAGCCTTTACAGCATTGGTTTTAAAAAGTCACTAAACAACTTGGAGAAGGAAGAAGAATCTCATTTTCAGAATTGCCACATTATATTATTTAAAATGTCAATTTTTCAATAAAAAGTTATGAGATATGCAAAGAAGAATACATGGACCATAGAGAGGAAAATAAAAATAACTCCAATAGAAACTGTTCCCAAGGAAGCCTGGATGTTGGACTTAGTAGATAAAGATTTTAAGACTGGGCATGGTGGCTCATGCCTGTAATCCCAGAAATGTGGAAGGCCAAGGCAGGAGGATAACTTGGGCCCTGGAGTTCCAGTTTGAGACCAGCCTAAGCAATATAGTGAGATCCCATCTCTACAAAAAAAAATTTGTTTTAATTAGCTGGATGTGGTGGTATGTGCCTGTGGTCCCAGTTATTCAAGAGGCTAAGGTGGGAGGATCACTTGAGCCTGGGAGGTCAAGGCTGCAGTGAGCTGTGATTGTACCACTGCACTCCAGCCTGGATAACAGATTGAGACTCTGCCTCAAAAAAAAAAAAAAAAAAGAAAAAAAAGATTTATGGGCAAAGAAGCAAAGCAAAGCAAAGAAGCAAAGCAAGCAATGTCTAAAGAATGAAAAAGGCCAGACATGGTGGCTCATGTCTGTAATCCCAGCACTTTGGGAGGCTGAGGCAGGTGGATCACGAGGTCAGGAGATTGAGACCATCTGGGCCAATATGGTGAAACCCTGTCTCTACTAAAAATACAAAAATTAGCTGGGTGTGGTGGTGCACACCTGTAATCCCAGCTACTTGGGAGGCTGAGGCAGGAGAATCACTTTAATTTGGGAGGTGGAGATTGCAGTGAGCTGAGATCACACCACCGTACTCCAGCCTGACGACAGAATGAGATGCTGTTTAAGAAAAAGAAAAAAAAGAAAAAAAAAAGAAAGAAAGTATGACTGATTGACTGATGTTTTGACAAATAGAAATATCAATAAAGAGATCAAATTTTGTTTAAGAAGAGAGAACCAAATAGAAATTCTAGAGTTGAAAATATAGAAACTGAAATAAAAATCCACTAGAGTGGCTCAACAGCAAACTTGAGCAGGCAGATGAAACAATCAGTGAACTTGATAGATTGAGATTATCCAATCTAAGGAACATAAAGAAAAAAGAATGAAGAAAAGTGAACAGTTTTTAGAGACCTGTAGGACACCATCAGTCATACAAACATATGCATAATGGGAGTCTCAAAAGAGAGGTGGGAAAGAGGGATAAAGAATATTTGAAGAAATAATGGCCAAAAACAGTTCAAGTTTGATGAAAAATATTTGTCTATGCACCCAAGACCTAAAATAACTCCAAATAAAATAAAACCAAAGAAATCCATACCTAGATACATGATAATCAAACTGTGTTGAATCTTTAAAGCAGCAAAAGAGAAGTGACTCATCACACACAAGGAATTCTAAATAAGATTAACACGTGATTTCTCACCAGAAATCACGGAGGCCAGAAGGCAGTGGGATGATATATTCAAAGTGCTGAGAGAAAAAGATTGTGAATCAAGAATTCCATATCTAGAAAAACTATCCTTCAAAAATGAATGAGAAAATAAGACATTCCTGTATAAACATATCCTGAGAGAATTCATTGCTTTAAAATCTGCCCTACAAAAAAATACTAAAGGGATTAATGCAGACTGAAATGAGAGGACAGTAAGCAATAACTCAAATCCACATGAAAAATAAAAAGCACTGGTGTGTTAGTTTCTGAGGGCTGCTGTAACAAATTACTACAAACTGGGTGGCTTAAAACAACAGAGATTTATTCTCTCACAGTTCTAGAGGCTAGAAATTCAAAATCTGGCAGGGACACATTTTTTCCAGGGCTCAAGGGAAGAACCCATTCCTTGCCTCTTCCAGTTTCTTATGGCTTGCCCAGAATTCCTGGGCTTATAGTTACATCAATCCAATCTCTGCCTTGTCTTCACATCACCCTTTCCTCTGCGTCTGTCTTCTCCTGTGTGTGTGTATTATAAGGACACTTGTTAGATTTAGGGCCCACCTGGATGATCTCATCTCAAAATCCTTAACTGTCTTACATCTTCAAAGATCTTTTGTTTTTTCTTTTTCAAATAAGGTAACATTTTCATAGGTTTTGGGGTTTGAGACATGGACATATTTGTAGGCGGCCACCATTTGCCCCTCTACAATCAGTAAAGGTAACTACATAGGTAAATAAAAAACACAGTGTAAGTATATTTTTGTAACTTTTTCCTCTTAACTAATTTAAAAGATAAGTGCATTAAACAATAATTATAAAATCTGTAATGATAGGCAAACAATGTAAAAAAAGGTGTAATTTATATGACAGTAACAGCACAAGGGGGGAGAAGAAACGGAACCATACAGGAGCAAAGTTTTTGTATATTTTTGAATTAAGTTAGCATTAATTTAAACTAGAGTTTTAAAAGTTAAGGTGTTAATTGTAATCCCCAGGGCTACTACTAAGAAAATAAGTTTTAAAATATGATAAAATAAGCAACAGGGGAATTAAAAGAAGTCAGTAATGGAGGAGTAGAAATCAAAAAGGCATAAGACATATAGAAAACAAATAGCAGAATGGTAGAAATAAGCTCTGCCTTATCAGTAATTACATTAAATGTAAATAAACACTTCAATTAAGAGGCAGAGATTGGCAGAAGACATTTTTAAAAATGATTTCTGTGTTTCTTACAAAAGACACATTTAGATTTAAGTACACAAATAAGTTGGCAGTAAAAGGATGGAAAAAGATATACCATGCAAACAGTAACCAAAAGAAAACTGGAACCACTATACCAATATCAGATACAATAAACCTTAAGACAAAAATTATCAGTAGAAAACAAGGATATTTGATAAGTATTATAAATCAATACACCAAAAAGGTATAAAAATTATAAACATATATGTACCCCAAAATAGACTTTAAAAGTGTATTAAGCAAATACTGATAAAAGTGAGGAAAGAAATAGACATTTCAACAACAATAATAGTTGGATAATTCAACATCCCACTTTCAATACTGGCAAGAAGACATACACAGAGATAAACAAGAGAATGAAAGACTTGAACAGCACTAAACCAACTAGACCTAACGAACCTCTCTAGAATACACCATGCCAAAACAGCAGAGCACATATCTTTTCAAGCACACATGGAACATTCTCCAGTATAGACATATGTTAGGCCATAAAGCAAGTATTAATACCTTTTAAAAGATTGGAATCATTCGAAGTATTTTTTGTAACTACAATGGAATGAAATTAGAAATCAATAACAGAAATGTAGGGAATTCACAAATTTGTCAAAATTAAACAACATATTTCCAAGTACCAATGAGTCAAAGAAGAAATCACAGAGAAAATGAGAAAATAATTCAAGATCAATGAAAACAAAACATGACAAATTAAAACATATGGCATGCAGTGAAAGCAATGCTTAGAGGGAGATTTACAGCTTCAAATGCCTTAAAAAGAAGGGAAGAAGCCAGGGGGAGTGGTACATTCCTGTAGTCCCAGCTACTTGAGAGGCTGAAGCAAGAGAATCATTTGAGCCCAGGAGTGAGAGGCCATAGTGCACTATTTTCATGCCTGTGAATAGCCACTGCACTCTAGCCTGGGCAACACAGTGAGACCCCACTTCTTAAAAAGAAGAAAAATGTCAAATCAATAACCTAATCTTCCACCTTGAGACACTAAAAGCAGCAGAGCAAACTAAATCCAAAGCAAGGAGAAAAAAGGAAGTAGCAAAGATAAGCATGGAAATAAACGAAACAGAGGACAAAAAAATAAAAATAAAGCTAAAACTAGGTTTTTTGAAAAGATTAATGCAATTCTTAAACTTTTAGTTAAATTTACCGAGAAAATATGGATTACAAGAAAAAACTATGAACAACTTTACGCCAACAAATTAGATAACCTAGATGAAATAAACCAATCCTTACAAAGATACAAACTACCAAAACTGACTCAAGACGAAGAAAATTGGAATAAATCTATAAAAAGGAAAGAGATTGAATTAGCAGTTGAAAATCTTCTTACAATTAAAAGCTCAGAATTAGATGGCTTCACTGATCTATTCTGCCAAACATTTAAAGAATTGATACCAATTCTTTACAAACTCTTTCAGAAAAGAGAATAGGAGAAAAAACATAGCTCATTCTATGAGACCAGTATAATCCAGATTCAAAAATCTTATTTTAACAAAATTACTAGCAAATGGAATCTAGAACATATAAAAAGGATCACACACCATAACCAGTTCAGATTTTATCCCAGGAATACAAGTTTGATTTAACATCTAAAGTTAATAAATGTAGTATAAAGGATAAAACCACATGATCATCTGAATAATTGCAGAAAATGCTTTTGACAAAATCTAACACCTTTCATAATTAAAATAGAGCAGTCAACAAGTGAAGGGTAGATGTGAACTTCCTCAACTTGATAAAGGGCATCTACAAAACACCCACAGCTAACATCATACTTAATGGGTAGAAAACTGAATGCTTTCCCCTTAAGATTAGAAGCAGGCAAAGATGTTCATTCCCACCACTTCTATTGAACATTGTACTGGAAGATCTATTCAGGGTAATTAGGCAAGATAAATAAATAAAAGGCATCCAGAACTGAAAGGAAGAAGTAAAACTACCTCTATTTGCAGATGACATCTTATATGTAGAAAATCCTAAGATCCTTCTCCCAGCACCACAAACACACACTATTAGAGATAGTAAATGAGTTTAGAAAGGTTGCAGAATGCAAGATAAATATACAAAATTCACTGTACTTTTTATACCCTAGCATTTAACCACCCAAAATTGAAATTAAAACAATTTCATGGCCGGGCATGGTGGCTCATGCCTGTAATCACAGCACTTTGAGAGGCTGAGGCAGGTGGATCACCTGAGGTCGGGAGTTCGAGACCAGCCTGACCAACACGGAGAAACCCCATCTCTACTAAAAATACAAAATTAGCTGGGCGTGGTGGCACATGCCTGTAGTCCCAGCTACTCGGGAGGCTGAGGCAGGAGAATTGCCTGAACCTGGGAGGCAGAAGTTGCAGTGAGCTGAGATCACGCCACTGCACTCCAGCCTGGCGACAGAGCGAGACTCCGTCTCAAAAAAAAAAAAAAAAAAAAACAAACCCAGAAAACCAAAAAAACCCAATTTCACTTACAATAGTATCAAAAATAATAAAATAGGTGCCAGGCACAGTGGTTCATGCCTGTAATCCCAGCACTTTGGGAGGCTGAGGTGGGTGGATCACATGAGCTTAGGAGTTCATGATCAGCCTGAACATGGCAACATGGCAAAACCCCATCTCTACAAAAAAGTACAAAAATTATCCAGGTGTGGTGGCACATGGCATGCCTGTAGTCCCAGCTACCCAGGAGGCTGAGGTGGGAGGATCATTTGAGCCCAGGAGGTCAAGGCTGCAGTGAATCAAGATCCTGACACTGTGTTCCAGTCTGGGTGACAGAGTGAGCCCCTATCTAGTAATAATAATAATAATAATAATAGTTAACAAAATAAGAGTAAGACTTGTAATCTGGAAACTTTAAGATATTGTTGAAAAAAATTAAAGAAAACCTAAATAAATGGAAAGACATCCAATGTTCATAAGTATCTTTAAGACTTAATATTAAGCTGGCAATACTTCTCCAATTGATCTGCAGATTCAACACAATCCCTATTAAATCTCAGTTGGCTTTTTGGCAGAAATTGATAACCTAATCCTTAAACTTCATATGGAAATTCAAAGAACCCAAAATAATCTTTGTTTTTTGAGACAGAGTCTTGCTCTGTCACCCAGGCTGGAGTGCAAGGGTGTGATCACAGCCCACTGCAGTCTCAACCTCACTGGTTTAAGTGATCCTCCCACCTTGGCCTCTCAAGTAGCTGGGACTATATGTATACACCATCATGCCCAGCTAATATTTTTCTATTTTTTGGAGAGACAGGCTCTTTGTTACCCAGGCTGGTCTCGAAATCCTGGCCTCAAGTGATCTTCCCACCTTGGCCTCCCAATGTGTTGGGATTACAGGCATGAGCCACTGCACCCATTCCAACATAATCTTGAAAAAGAACAAGGTTGGGGGGCTCACATGTCTCAGTTTCAAAATTTATTACAAGGCAAGAGCAATCAAAATAGTGTAGTACTGGCATAAGGATAAACATATAGATCAATGGAATCGAATTGAGAGTAAAAAATAAACTCATGTATCTGTGATCAATTGATTTTGACAAGCGTGTCAAACAATCCAATGACAGAATTGTCTTTTCAATAATGGTGTTATATATTCACATGCAAAAGAATAAATTGGACCCCTAACTTATGTCATATAAAAAAATTAACTCGAATCAAAGACCTAAATGTAAGAGCTAAAACTATAAAACTCTTAGAATAAAACGTAGGTGTACATCTTCACGATCAGGAATTTGGCAACGGTTTCTTTGTGACACCTAAAGAACAGGTAAACAAAAAAGGTAAATTAGAGTTCATAAAAATTAAAAACTTTCATGTATCAAAGGAAAGTATGAAGAAAATAAAAAGTTAACCCACAGAATGGGAGAAAATTTTTGCAAATCATGTATTTGATGAGGGTCTAGTGTCCAGAATATGTAAAGAACTCAACAATAAAGACAAGTACCCCAATTTAAAATGGGCAAATGATCTAAATAGACATTTCTTCAAAGAAGACATGCAAATAGCCAATAAGTACATGAAAGAATGCATATTATTAGTCATTAGGGAGATGCAAATCAAAACAAGAAGATACCACTTCTCATACAATGAGAAGGCTATAATAAAGAAAGACAATAACAAGTGTTGACAAGGATGTGGAGAAATTGGAACCCTCATATGTTGCTAGCAGGAATATAAAATGATGCATTCACTTTGGAGAACAGTTTGGCAGTTTCTCAAACAGTTTAACATAGTTACCATATGACCCAGCAATTTCACTCCTAGGTATGTACCCAAGAGAAATGAAAATATGTGTCCATACAAAAACTTGCACTTTAATGTTTATTGCAGCATTATTTACAATATCCAAAATATAGAAACAACCCAAATGTCTATCACCTGCTGAATGGATAAGTAATGTGGTATAGCCATATAAGTGAATATTATGTATCCATAAAAAGAAATGAAATACTGATATGTATACTATGACATGGATGAACTCAAAAACTTCGTTAAGTAAAAGAAGCCAGACACAAAGAACCAAATATTGTATGATTACATCTACAAGAAACGTCCAGAATAAGCAAATGCACAGTGACAGAAAGTAGATTACGAAGTGCCAAAGGCTTGGGGGAGGAGAAAATAGGGACTGATTCAGAGCTCCTTTTTGGAGCAGTGAAAATTGATACAGGGTTTCTTTTCAGAGCAGTAAAAATGTTCTAGAATTACATTGTGGTGATGGTTGTCCTTTGTGAATGTAATAAAAACCACTGAATTGTACACTTTAAAGTGTTACTTTTATGCTACCTGACATATGTTTTTTAAAAATGTAAAACATTAAAGACAGTGTTATTAAAAAAATACAAAAATCTTGTCTGCTCAGGGGAGCTTCTTTATGACCCCTTATGCAGCTTTTGAAGACTGTAAATAGGGTTTGCCTATTCATATAACTTCAAAAGTCAGATGTATTTAATCTAGAAATAAGTTTGTTACCGGTGGAAGGTATCTGAGTTACCTGTGTTGAATCTGTACGAGTCTCAGCAACCTCAATTCTTGCCTCCTCAGAAGAAAGAATTTGACTGAGGGGCATAAGGCAGAAAAAGAGACCGAGGCAAGTTTCAGAGCAGGAGTGGAAGTTTATTTTAAAAGGCTTTAGAACAGGAAATAAAGGAAAAGTACATTTGGAAGACACCCAAGTAGGCACGTGAATGTTAAGTGTGGTGTTTAACTGTGATCCTAGGATTTTTATAGGCTGGCCCACTTCTAGCATCTTGCACCCCTTTCCCATGATTCTTCCCTTAGGGCAGGCTGCCTGCGTGTGCAGGGCCCCCCCCTTTTTTTTTTTTTTGAGAAAGTCTTGCTCTGTTGCCCAGGCTGGAGAGCAGTGGCACGACCTCGGCTCACTGCAAGCTCCGCCTTCCGGGTTCACGCCATTCTCCTGCTTCAGCCTCCCGAGAAGCTGGGACTACAGGTGCCCACCACCACGCCTGGATAATTTTTTGTGTTTTTTTTTTTTTTTTTTTTTTTTAGTAGAGATGGGGTTTCACAGTGTTGGCCAGGATGGTCTCAATCTCATGACCTCGTGATCCGCCCGCCTCGGCCTCCCAAGCAGGGCCCTTCATACCCTTGGGAGGTGAGCACGTGCAATGTGTTTAGGAAGTTGTACACATGCCAGTCTGAGGCTTTCTTCCCTTTTCCGGTGACGTGGTCCTGGAAGGTCATAGTCCACCATTTTGTCTCTTACTGCACATGCCTAGGCAGTTGCTTCTCTCTGGCATGTGCATTCAATTAACACTTGAGCACAGCAGGTGTGCATCATCAGGAAATGGCCTCTCCCTGGCACTGGCTGCCAATTTATCACTTTCAGAGAGGCAGTGTGATAATTGCCAAACCATCACCCAACATTCCTAGTGGGTGGGGAGAGCCCTCTCCTGCCCCGCTCATGCCTAACTACCTGTAACAAGTTTAATTTGGGGAAATTTTGAAGATTTGTAAGTGTGAAAGGAAAATGAATCTCAGGACCCCAAAACCACTAAGCCAAAGGGAAAAGTCAAGCTGGGAACTGTGTCAGGCAAACCTGCCTCCCATTTTATTCCTAAATAAGATAGCTACAGATATTAGAAAAGCTAAATACATTTCTCATAATTTTTCCGCAAGGCAATTCCTTGTGGGCTCCAAGATCTTTACCCTAAAACAGTTCTGTTTAATTTCACTCTGGCAATGTAAATTAATAGCTTCTCTTCACAGATATGGGACAAAGATTAGAACTCAAAGTCATCACTGCTCACCTGAGACAAATGCATGTCTGATTGCCTCCTCTGCCCTATTGTTTACATGATCTCTGTTTACATGATCTTATGTAAAAATACAGATTCAGGGAGCAACGTGAAGGCGTGAGTGACTGTTCTTCTACCCCCCACCCCCATATTTAAATTGTGTATTCAGTGAAAGGCTGATCAAAGACTCAAAAGGATGCAACTGTTTGTCTCTTATCTACCCACACATTAAAACAATTTCTTCCTCTTCCACAATATCCACCCTTTCCTTCTTAAATATTGAAACCCTCAAAATCATCTTTAGAGAGAGGCACAGACCTGCCTCCTGGGCATGCAGGTCTCTGGCAGAATAAACTCTAATTGATCGAGACCTGTCTCAGATACTGTTGGTTTACATAAGTATTATTTTACTTTTCATTTTAGATTGGAAGGCAGGAGAAGTTTTCAGTTTGTTGTTGTTTATCAGTAATGATCATTAAAGGATATTGATGTAAACATGATGGGTCAGGGATGCAGGTCAGGGTGATGTATGGGATTAATTTTATTGCTGTGATGGAAAAGTGTAAAATAAAGATTCTGTGATGGGGAAGTGAAAAGAAAGTAATACGTCAACTAGAGAAATTTTGAAAAATGTGAGAAGTATTCTTATTGTATAACATGACAATATGTCATGGGGCAAACTTACCATTTACTACTAAGGCCATGTCTAGACAGCCACTACATAAACTTTGTTCATTTGTTTTATTGTGGTAAAATACATAAACATAAATCTTACTATCTTAACCATTTTAAAATATACAGCTCATTGATATTAAGTATATTCATATTGTTGTACAGCCATCGCCACCATTGATCTCCAGAACTCTTTTCATCTTGCAAAACTAAACTCTGTACCCATTAAATAATAACTACTCAGTCTCCCCTCTCCCCAACCACTACAAACCACCATTCTACTTTCTGTCTCTGTAATTTGGACTACCCTAGGTACTTCACATAAGTGGAATCATATACAATATTTGTATTTTCATGACTGGCTTATTTTACTTCAGTATAATGTCCTCAAATTTCATCCATGTACTAGCACATGTTAGAGTTTCCTTCCTTTTTAAAGCTGAATAAGATTCCATTATATGTATATATCACACTTTGCTTATCCATTCATCTGATGGACACGGGTTGCTTCCCAAGTGTCCAATGCTGTCCATTATTGTGAATAATGCTGCTATAAATGTAGAGGTGCAAATATGTCTTCAAGATCCTGTTTTCAGTTCTTTTGGGTACAGTAGTTCCCCTTTATCCATGGTTTTCTCTCCACAGTTTCCATTAATTATGGTATAGCACAATAAGATATTTTGAGAGAGAGCAAGAGACCACATTCACATAACTTTAATCGTAGTATAATGTTATACTTGTTCTATTTTATTGTCAGTTATTGTTGTTAATCTATTACTGTGCCTAATTTAGAAATTCAACTTTATGGTAGGTACATTTGTATATGAAAAAAACATAGTACATACAGGGATCAGTACTCTCCACAGTTTCAGGCATCCACTGGGTGTCTTGGAAGGTGTCCTCCATGGATAAGGGAGAATTACTGTATATACTCAGAAGCAAAATTGCTGGATCATATAGTAATTATATTTTAATTTTTTGAGAAACTGCACCATACTGTTTTCTATAGTGGCTATACCATCTTACCAACAGTGCACAGATGTTCACATTTCTCTGAATTGTTGCCAACACTTGTTTAATTTCTGCTTTAAACATTTTTGATAATAGCCATCCTAATGGTTGTGAATTGATATCTCATTTTTCTTTTGATTTGCATTTCCCTAATGATTAGTGAGGTTGAGCATCTTTTTATGTGCTTATTGCCAGTCACATATCTTTGGCGAAATGTCTAATTCAAGTCATTTGCCCATTTATGAACCTGACTGTTTTGTTGTTGTTGAGCTCTAGGAATTCTCTTTACATTCTGGATATAAATCTCTTATCAGATATATAACTTACAAATATTTTATCTCATTCTGTAGAATACTTTCTCACTCTGCTGATAGTGTCTTTTAATGTACGAAAGTTTTAAATTTTCATGAAGTCCAGTTTGTCTATTTTTCTTTTGTTCCCTATGCCTTTATATCATCTCTGAGAAATCATTGCCAAATCCATTTCTATGGAGATTTTCCCCTATATTTTCTTCTAAGAGTTTTATAGTTTTAGATCTTATGTTTAGGTCTTTGATTCATTTTGAGTTCATTTTTGTATATGATATTAGGTAAGAGTCTAACTTCAATTTTTTCCACGTGGATATACAACAATTTTCCCAGCAACATTTGTTGAAAAGACTGCCCCTTCCCACGAAATGGTCTTGGCATCCTTGTTGAAAATCATTTGACTATATTGCAAGGGTTTTTTTGGGGACTGTCTATTCTATTCTATACTGTTGGTCTGTATTTGTTTTTATGACAGTACCACACTGTTTTGATTACTTTAGATTTGGAGTAAGTTTTTTTCTCAATTTTTTTGTTATGGTAAAATACATGTAACATAAAATTTACCATCTTAACCATTTTTAAGTGCACAGTTTGTGTAGTTAAGTTTTGAAATCAGAAAATGTAAGTATTCCACTTTCGTGAATCTATTTTCAAGATTAT
Source organism: Homo sapiens (assembly GCF_000001405.40). Taxonomy (NCBI): domain Eukaryota; kingdom Metazoa; phylum Chordata; class Mammalia; order Primates; family Hominidae; genus Homo; species Homo sapiens. The sequence goes on from NC_000003.12 coordinate 53,916,788, forward strand.
TTTTGGCTATCTATGATCCCTTTCGATTCCATACAAATTTTAGAATTTTTTTCTATTTCTGCAGAAAAATTGGTATTTTGATAGGGATTGCATTGAATCTGCAGATTCCTCTGGCTAGTATTGGCATCCTAACAATATGAAGTATTTCAATTTATGAACATAGGATGTCTTTCCATATCTTTATGTCTTCTTTAATGTCTTTCAGCAATCTTTTGTAGTTTTCATTGTACAATTCTTTCACCTCCTCAGTTAATTCTTAAGTATTTCATCCTTTTTGATGCTATTATAAATGAAGTTGTTTTCTTAATTTCCTTTTGATATTATTTATTGTTAATGTATAGAAATATTACTGATTTGTGTTGACTTTGTATCCTGCTACTTTGCTGAATTTACTTATTAGTTCTAACGGGGTTTTTTTTGGTGTATAACTGTGAAATCTTTAGGGGTTTCTACATACAAGATCATGTCATCTCCAAACAGATAAAATTTTACTTCTTCCTTTCCAAATTGCATGCTTATTTTTTTCCTAGTTGCATTGGCTAGGATTTCCAGTACTGCAGTATATATTAAATAAAAGTGGCAAAAAGTGAGCATCTTGCCTTGTTCTTGATCTTAGAGGAAAAGATTTCAATCTTTCACCATTTAGTATGATGTTAGCTGTGGGTTTTTCTTTTTTCTTTTTTGAGACAGAGTCTCACTCTGTTGTCCAGGCTGGAGTGCAGTGGCACGATCTTGGCTCACTGCAAGCTCCACCTCCCAGGTTCACACCGTTCTCCTGCCTCAGCCTCCCAAGTAGCTGGGACTACAGGCGCCCGCCACCACGCCCAGCTAATTTTTTTGTGTTTTTAGTAGAGACGGGGTTTCACCATGTTAGCCAGGCTGGTCTCCATCTCCTGACCTTGTGATCCGCCTAACTCAGCCTCCCAAAGTGCTGGGATTACAGGCGTGAGCCACTGCGCCCAGCCAGCTGTGGGTTTTTCATACACAGTTTTTATCATGTTGAAGTAGTGCTACAGACTGAATGTTTGTAGTTCCCCCAAAATTCATATGTTGAAATCCTAATCGCCAATATGATGGTATTTAATTTCCACAAATTTGTCTGTTTTCCAATTTTCCTTCCATTATTGATTTTTAACTTCATCCCATTGTGCTCAGAGAAGACACTTTGTATGGTATCTGTGTTTTAAAATCTATTGAGACTTAATTTGTGGCCAAACATAAGGTATTTTGGGAAAATGTTTTTGCACTTGAGAAGAATGTATATTCTGTTGTTGTTGAATAAAGTGTTCTGTATATGTCTGTTAGACATAGTTGATTGATTATGTTGTTCAAGTCTTCTATTACTTATTTTCTGTCGGTTTTATCCGTCATTGAGAGTGAGGTATTGAAGTCTCCAACTATTATTGTAGAACTGTCTATTTCTCCTTTCAATTCGGTCAGTTTTTAATTTATGTATTTTGATGGTCTGTTATTTGTTTTGCAAAAGTTTATAACTGTTATATCTTCTTTCCATATTGAGCCTTTTATTAATATATAATATCCTTCTTTATCTCTCTTGTAATCTTTTTTTGATTTATAGTCTATTTTGTCTGATATTAGCATATTCACCACATCTACTTTCTTTAGGTTATTATTTGCATGGAATATCCTTTTTCATCAACCTAATTGTGTCTTTGGAACCAATGAGCCTCTTGTAGACAGCATATAGTTAAACCATTTTTTAATCCATTCTGTCAATCTCTGTCTTTCGACTGGAAGATTTAATCTATTTACATTTAAAGTAATTACTGATAAGAAATAACTTACTTCTGTTATTTTGCTATTTGTTTTCCATATGCCATATAATAGGTTTTTTTGTGTCTCATTTCCTGCATTACTGCTCTCTTTTGTGCTTAGTTGATTTTTTTTGTAGCAAAATGTTTAAATTCCTTTTTCATTTCCTTTTGTGTATATGCTTTAGCTATTTTTTTCTTTGTGATTACCATGGAGATTACATTTAATATCCAAAAGTTGAATTTACATCTGGTTAAATTTAATAACATATATAAACTCTGCTCCTTTAGAAGCTCTGTTCCCATCATTTTCAGCTGTTCATGTTACAGGAATCCATCTTTATACTTTATGTGTTGAAAACCTTCAGCTAATAATTTTTAATGCATTCATATCTTAAATTATATAGAAAACAAAATGTACAGTTACAAACTAAAGTTACAACAATACTAGCTTTTAGACTAATAATTTTTTAAAAATGTATTTTAAAAACTCTCATAAATTACCTGGAAAACAAAAAGTAGTGTTACACACCATTGTTACAATAATACTAGCTTTTGTAATTGCCTGTTTATTTGCCTTTACTGATATCTTTTTTTTTTTTTCAATATGGCTTTAAGTTACTGCCTTTTCTTTTCAACCTGCAGAACACCCTTTAACATTTCTTTTCTTTTCTTTTTTTCACTCCTTAGGTCAGTACCTTTAGGATTTCGTGCAGGGAAGTTTTAGTGATAACAAACTCCTTCAGTTTTTATTTGTAGGGAATGTCATAATTTCTCCCTTACTTCTGAAGGACAGTTTTGCCACATGTAGGATTCTTGGTTGACAGGTTTTTGTTGTTGTTTTTTGTTTATTTTTGCTTATAGCCCTTGAATATATCAACCCACTGTCTTCTGGCTTCCAAAGCTTCTGAAAAGAAATCTGATGTTGGCTGGGCATGATGGTTCACACCTGTAATCCCAGCACTTTGGGTAGCTGAGTAGGGCAGATCACTTGAGGTCAGGAGTTTGAGACCAGCCTGGCGAACATGGCAAAACCCTGTCTCTACTAAAAATACAAAAAAAAAAAAAAAAAAAAAAATTAGCCGGGTGTTGTGACACATGCCTGTAATCCCAGCTACTTGGGAGGCTGAAGCAGGAAAATTGCTTAAACCCGGGAAGCAGAAGTTGCAGTGAGCCAAGATCGTGCCACTGCACTCCAGAAAAAGAAAAAAAAATTGATTTTAATCTTATTAGGAATCCCTTGTATGAGACAAGTTGCTTCTCTCTCACTGCTTTCAAGATTCTCTTTTTGTTTTGGCTTTGGACAGTTTGATTATAATATGTCTTGGTATGGGTCTCTTTGCGTTCATCCTATTTGGAGTTTATTGAGCTTGGATATTTACATTCATGTCTTTCATCAAATTTGGAAATTTTTTGGTCTGCACAAATGTTTGTGGCTAAATTAATTAGTTTCTCCTTCTTCTTTCCTTCCCTCCTTTCCTTTATTGATGGCCAATGGCCAAAAACTCCTTTGTTACCAATTTTTTTTTGCAAGTTTTTGTTTTATTTGTAGCTTATGTTTCATGGCTTAAGTGGCACCATGCCTCTTAAGTGGTGATTAAAGGAAGAAATCTATCTGTCATCTGGTCTCATTTAAATAGCCTGTAGAAAATATTTTGGCTATATTTCACCCTCAAGGCTCTACAAAATAAAGATTCAATAGGCCATTGCATTCAGATGATTCATGTTGTGTTGGAGACATAAAGTGTCTTGTAGTCATTTGGAACTTGCTTGATTCCATGGGATGTAATCACTATTGAGCAGATTCATTATTAAGGCTCTGATAGAATAAAATTCAAATTAGCACATTTATTGCACATCTACTGTTATGTGAGGCACTATAGCTAGCTCAAAACTGATTTTGCTGAACCTAATTATGTTTGTAAGTAGGCGCCAAAGAGAAAAGAGTAAAAGAAAAATTTGGAATGTCTTATCTTGAAATGTATTATTTCACTAAAGAAAGTTTCAATAGTTTGTTGTTGTTGTTTCTGAGACAGAGTCTCACTCTGTTGCCCAGGCTGGAGTGCAGTGGCACTCGGCTCACTGCAACCTCTGCCTCCCGGGTTGAAGCAATTCTCCTGCCGCAGCCTCCTGAGTAGCTGGGATTATAGGCATCCACCACCATACCCAACTAATTTTTGTATTTTCAATAGAGACAGAGTTTCACCATGTTGGCCAGGCTGGTCTTGAACTCCTGGGCTCATGTGATCTGCCCATGTTGGCCCCCCAAAGTACTAGGATTATAGTCATGAGCCACCATGCCTGATCAAGTTTCGACAGTTTTAAAATTACTTGTTATGGGTTGAATTCTGTCCACTGTTTCCCTCTTGTCCCCTTCAATTCATATGTTGAAGTGCTAACCCCTAGTACCTCAGAATGTTGCCATATTTAATGAGAGGGTCTTTACAGCTGGGTATGGTGGCTCACACCTGTAATCCCAGCACTTTTGGAGGCCAAGGCCAGCAGATCACTTGAGTCCAGGAGTTCAAGACCAGCCTGGGCAAAATGGTGGAACCCTGTCTCTACCAGAAATACAAAAAATGAGCCAGGCCCAGTGGCTCCTGCAGTGGCTGGCCAGCTACTTGGGAGGCTGAGGCAGGAGGATCCCTTGAGCCCAGGTGGTTGAGGCTGCAGTGAGCTGAGATTGTGCCACTGCACTCCCGCCTGGGTGACAGGAGTGAGTGAAACCCTGTCTCAAAAAATAAGCAAATAAATAAATAAATACATAAAAGAGAGGGTCTTTACAAAATTAATTAGTTAATGTGAAGTCATTAGGGTGGGCCCTAACCCAGTATAATTGGTGTCTTGATGAAAAGGGAAATTTTGGGCACAGAGACATGCATAAATAAAGAGAAGATGATGTGAAGAGACACAGGGAGAAGACAGCCATCTACAGGCCAAACGAAGAGAGGCCTGGAACAGACTGTTCATTCACAGCCCTTAGAAGGAACCAACTCTGCCAATATTTTGACTTTTGACTTCCTCTGTCTAGAACTGAGACAATTAATTTTTGTTATTTAAGCCACCCAATGTGTGCTCTAGCAAACTAATATATTATTGTATAATTTTATTTATTTATTTTTCTTGTTTTTTAAAAATATATTAATTGTGTAATTTTTTAGGTAAACCAACTCTTTTTTTTTGATAGCTTTTTTTTTTTTATTATACTTTAAGTTTTAGGGTACATGTGCACATTGTGCAGGTTAGTTACATATGTATACATGTGCCATGCTGGTGCGCTGCACCCACTAACTGGTCATCTAGCATTAGGTATATCTCCCAATGCTATCCCTCCCCCCTCCCCCCACCCCACAACAGTCCCCAGAGTGTGATATTCCCCTTCCTGTGTCCATGTGATCTCATTGTTCAATTCCCATCTATGAGTGAGAATATGCAGTGTTTGGTTTTTTGTTCTTGTGATAGTTTACTGAGAATGATGATGTCCAATTTCATCCATGTCCCTACAAAGGACATGAACTCATCAATTTTTATGGCTGCATAGTATTCCATGGTGTATATGTGCCACATTTTCTTAATCCAGTCTATCATTGTTGGACATTTGGGTTGGTTCCAAGTCTTTGCTATTGTGAATAATGCCGCAATAAACATACGTGTGCATGTGTCTTTATAGCAGCATGATTTATAGTCCTTTGGGTATATACCCAGTAATGGGATGGCTGGGTCAAATGGTATTTCTAGTTCTAGATCCCTGAGGAATCCCCACACTGACTTCCACGATGGTTGAACTAGTTTACAGTCCCACCAACAGTGTCAAAGTGTTCCTGTTTCTCCACATCCTCACCAGCACCTGTTGTTTCCTGACTTTTTAATGATTGCCATTCTAACTAGTGTGAGGTGGTATCTCATTGTGGTTTTGATTTGCATTTCTCTGATGGCCAGTGATGATGAGCATTTTTTCATGTGTTTTTTGGCTGCATAAATGTCTTCTTTTGAGAAGTGTCTGTTCATGTCCTTCGCCCACTTTTTGATGGGGTTGTTTGTTTTTCTCTTGTAAATTTGTTTGAGTTCATTGTAGATTCTGGATATTAGCCCTTTGTCAGATGAGTAGGTTGCGAAAATTTTCTCCCATTTTGTAGGTTGCCTGTTCACTCTGATGGTAGTTTCTTTTGCTGTGCAGAAGCTCTTTAGTTTAATTAGATCCCATTTGTCAATTTTGTCTTTTGTTGCCATTGCTTTTGGTGTTTTAGACATGAAGACCTTGCCCGTGCCTATGTCCTGAATGGTAATGCCTAGGTTTTCTTCTAGGGTTTTTATGGTTTTAGGTCTAACGTTTAAGTCTTTAATCCATCTTGAATTGATTTTTGTATAAGGTGTAAGGAAGGGATCCAGTTTCAGCTTTCTCCATATGGCTAGCCAGTTTTCCCAGCACCATTTATTAAGTAGGGAATCCTTTCCCCATTGCTTGTTTTTCTCAGGTTTGTCAAAGATCAGATAGTTGTAGATATGCGGCGCTATTTCTGAGGGCTCTGTTCTGTTCCATTGATCTATATCTCTGTTTTGGTACCAGTACCATGCTGTTTTGGTTACTGTAGCCTTCTGGTATAGTTTGAAGTTAGGTAGTGTGATGCCTCCAGCTTTGTTCTTTTGGCTTAGGATTGACTTGGCGATGCGGGCTCTTTTTTGGTTCCATATGAACTTTAAAGTAGTTTTTTCCAATTCTGTGAAGAAAGGCATTGGTAGCTTGATGGGGATGGCATTGAATCTTTAAATTACCTTGGGCAGTATGGCCATTCTCACGATATTGATTCTTCCTACCCATGAGCATGGAATGTTCTTCCATTTGTTTGTATCCTCTTTATTTCCTTGAGCAGTGGTTTGTAGTTCTCCTTGAAGAGGTCCTTCACATCCCTTGTAAGTTGGATTCCTAGGTATTTTATTCTCTTTGAAGCAATTGTGAATGGGAGTTCACTCATGATTTGGCTCTCTGTTTGTCTGTTGTTGGTGTATAAGAAAGCTTGTGATTTTTGTACATTGATTTTGTATCCTGAGACTTTGCTGAAGTTGCTTATCAGCTGAAGGAGATTTTGGGCTGAGACAATGGGGTTTTCTAGATATACAATCATGTCGTCTGCAAACAGGGACAATTTGATTTCCTCTTTTCCTAATTGAATACCCTTTATTTCCTTCTCCTGCCTAATTGCCCTGGCCAGAACTTCCAACACTATGTTGAATAGGAGTGGTGAGAGAGGGCATCCCTGTCTTGTGCCAGTTTTCAAAGGGAATGCTTCCAGTTTTTGCCCATTCAGTATGATATTGGCTGTGGGTTTGTCATAGATAGCTCTTATTATTTTGAAATATGTCCCATCAATACCTAATTTATTGAGAGTTTTTAGCATGAAGGGTTGTTGAATTTTGTCAAAGGCTTTTTCTGCATCTATTGAGATAATCATGTGGTTTTTGTCTTTGGCTCTGTTTATATGCTGGATTACATTTATTGATTTGCGTATATTGAACCAGCCTTGCATCCCAGGGATGAAGCCCACTTGATCATGGTGGATAAGCTTTTTGATGTGCTGCTGGATTCGTTTTGCCAGTATTTGATTGAGGAATTTGCATCAATGTTCATCAAGGATATTGGTCTAAAATTCTCTTTTTTGGTTGTGTCTCTGCCTGGCTTTGGTATCAGAATGATGCTGGCCTCATAAAATGAGTTAGGGAGGATTCCCTCTTTTTCTATTGATTGGAATAGTTTCAGAAGGAATGGTACCAGTTCCTCCTTGTAGCTCTGGTAGAATTTGGCTGTGAATCCATCTGGTCCTGGACTCTTTTTGGTTGGTAAGCTATTGATTATTGCCACAATTTCAGATCCTGTTATTGGTCTATTCAGAGATTCAACTTCTTCCTGGTTTAGTCTTGGGAGGGTGTATGTGTCGAGGAATTTATCCATTTCTTCTAGATTTTCTAGTTTATTTGCGTAGAGGTGTTTGTAGTATTTTCTGATGGTAGTTTATATTTCTGTGGGATCAGTGGTGATATCCCCTTTATCATTTTTTATTGCGTCTATCTGATTCTTCTCTCTTTTCTTCTTTATTAGTCTTGCTAGCGGTCTATCAATTTTGTTGATCCTTTCAAAAAACCAGCTCCTGGATTGATTAATTTTTTGAAGGGTTTTTTGTGTCTCTATTTCCTTCAGTTCTGCTCTGATCTTAGTTATTTCTTGCCTTCTGCTAGCTTTTGAATGTGTTTCCTCTTGCTTTTCTAGTTCTTTTAATTGTGATGTTAGGGTGTCAATTTTGGATCTTTCCTGCTTTCTCTTGTGGGCATTTAGTGCTATAAATTTCCCTCTACACACTGCTTTGAATGCGTCCCAGAGATTCTGGTATGTTGTGTCTTTGTTCTCATTGGTTTCAAAGAACATCTTTATTTCTGCCTTCATTTCGTTCTGTACCCAGTAGTCATTCAGGAGCAGGTTGTTCAGTTTCCATGTAGTTGAGCGGTTCTGAGTGAGATTCTTAATCCTGAGTTCTAGTTTGATTGCACTGTGGTCTGAGAGATAGTTTGTTATAATTTCTGTTCTTTTACATTTGCTGAGGAGAGCTTTACTTCCAAGTATGTGGTCAATTTTGGAATAGGTGTGGTGTGGTGCTGAAAAAAATGTATATTCTGTTGATTTGGGGTGGAGAGTTCTGTAGATGTCTATTAGGTCTGCTTGGTGCAGAGCTGAGTTCAATTCCTGGGTATCCTTGTTGACTTTCTGTCTCGTTGATCTGTCTAATGTTGACAGTGGGGTGTTAAAGTCTCCCATTATTAATGTGTGGGAGTCTAAGTCTCTTTGTAGGTCACTCAGGACTTGCTTTATGAATCTGGGTGCTCCTGTATTGGGTGCATATATATTTAGGATAGTTAGCTCTTCTTGTTGAATTGATCCCTTTACCATTATGTAATGGCCTTCTTTGTCTCTTTTGATCTTTGTTGGTTTAAAGTCTGTTTTATCAGAGACTAGGATTGCAACCCCTGCCTTTTTTTGTTTTCCATTTGCTTGGTAGATCTTCGTCCGTCCTTTTATTTTGAGCCTATGTGTGTCTCTGCACGTGAGATGGGTTTCCTGAATACAGCACATTGATGGGTCTTGACTCTTATCCAATTTGCCAGTCTGTGTCTTTTAATTGGAGCATTTAGTCCATTTACATTTAAAGTTAATATTGTTATGTGTGAATTTGATCCTGTCATTATGATGTTAGCTGGTTATTTTGCTCATTAGTTGATGCAGTTTCTTCCTAGTCTCGATGTTCTTTACATTTTAGCATGATTTTGCAGTGGCTGGTACCCGTTTTTCCTTTCCATGTTTAGCGCTTCCTTCAGGAGCTCTTTTGGGGCAGGCCTGGTGGTGACAAAATCTCTCAGCATTTGCTTGTCTGTAAAGTATTTTATTTCTCCTTCGCTTATGAAGCTTAGTTTGGCTGGATATGAAATTCTGGGTTGAAAATTCTTTTCTTTAAGAATGTTGAATATTGGCCCCCACTCTCTTCTGGCTTGTAGGGTTTCTGCCGAGAGATCCGCTGTTAGTCTGATGGGCTTCCCTTTGAGGGTAACCCGACCTTTCTCTCTGGCTGCCCTTAACATTTTTTCCTTCATTTCAACTTTGGTGAATCTGACAATTATGTGTCTTGGAGTTGCTCTTCTCGAGGAGTATCTTTGTGGCGTTCTCTGTATTTCCTGAATCTGAACGTTGGCCTGCCTTGCTAGATTGGGGAAGTTCTCCTGGATAATATCCTGCAGAGTGTTTTCCAACTTGGTTCCATTCTCCCCATCACTTTCAGGTACACCGATCAGATGTAGATTTGGTCTTTTCACATAGTCCCATATTTCTTGGAGGCTTTGCTCATTTCTTTTTATTCTTTTTTCTCTGAACTTCCCTTCTTGCTTCATTTCATTCATTTCATCTTCCATTGCTGATACCCTTTCTTCCAGTTGATCGCATCGGCTCCTGAGGCTTCTGCATTCTTCACATAGTTCTCGAGCCTTGGTTTTCAGCTCCATCAGCTCCTTTAAGCACTTCTCTGTATTGGTTATTCTAGTTATACATTCTTCTAAATTTTTTTCAAAGTTTTCAACTTCTTTGCCTTTGGTTTGAATGTCCTCCCATAGCTCAGAGTAATTTGATTGTCTGAAGCCTTCTTCTCTCAGCTCGTCAAAGTCATTCTCCATCCAGCTTTGTTCCATTGCTGGTGAGGAACTGCGTTCCTTTGGAGGAGGAGAGGCGCTCTGCTTTTTAGAGTTTCCAGTTTTTCTGTTCTGTTTTTTCCCCATCTTTGTGGTTTTATCTACTTTTGGTCTTTGATGATGGTGATGTACAGATGGGTTTTTGGTGTGGATGTCCTTTCTGTTTGTTAGTTTTCCTTCTAACAGACAGGACCCTCAGCTGTAGGTCTGTTGGAATACCCTGCCGTGTGAGGTGTCAGTGTGCCCCTGCTGGGGGGTGCCTCCCAGTTAGGCTGCTTGGGGGTCAGGGGTCAGGGACCCACTTGAGGAGGCAGTCTGCCCCTTCTCAGATCTCCAGCTGCGTGCTGGGAGAACCATTGCTCTCTTCAAAGCTGTCAGACAGGGACATTTAAGTCTGCAAGCTGTCAGACAGGGACATTTAAGTCTGCAGAGGTTACTGCTGTCTTTTTGTTTGTCTGTGCCCTGCCCCCAGAGGTGGAGCCTACAGAGGCAGGCAGGCCTCCTTGAGCTGTGGTGGGCTCCACCCAGTTCGAGCTTCCAGGCTGCTTTGTTTACCTAAGCAAGCCTGGGCAATGGCGGGCGCCCCTCCCCCAGCCTTGTTGCCGTCTTGCAGTTTGATCTCAGACTGCTGTGCTAGCAATCAGCGAGACTCCGTGGGCGTAGGACCCTCCGAGCCAGGTGCAGGATATAATCTCGTGGTGCACCGTTTTTTAAGCCGGTCGGAAAAGCGCAGTATTTGGGTGGGAGTGACCCGATTTTCCAGGAGCGTCCGTCACCCCTTTCTTTGACTCAGAAAGGGAACTCCCTGACCCCTTGCGCTTCCCAAGTGAGGCAATGCCTCGCCCTGCTTCGGCTTGCGCACGGTGCGCACACCCACTGACCTGCGCCCACTCTCTGGCACTCCCTAGTGAGATGAACCCGGTACCTCAGATGGAAATGCAGAAATCACCCGTCTTCTCCGTCGCTCACGCTGGGAGCTGTAGACTGGAGCTGTTCCTATTCGGCCATCTTGGCTCCTCCCTCCATCGGTAAACCAACTCTTTAACAAAGGTATAGAAATGTGAATATCTAGTGATTTTTTTTTATTTTAGCAGTGTTAAATTTCTTAAGAATTTATATATTATGTCCATGTCATGCATCTTTTATTAATGGAGTTCCAATTTCATGGAATGAGGAAATAAATATTGGACTTGCCTCATTTCTTCCTATTATTTAAAATGAGCCCTGCAATGTTATGCTCTCAGCTAGGTTTTCACTTTCATGTATCTTGTTGAAAAGAAAGCTCACTTTTGATGTTATTCTACTTAGGACTCATCAAAGGTTTCAGGGCATCTGTATTTCAGGATTCTCTGCAGAACCACCTACAACATAGCCGAGGTCTAAAAGTCATCTTACTCACAGTGCCTTGCAGACTGATTTGTAGGTTGCTGAATGTGGCTAAATTGAAAACTGCCCCATTTGAAAGGAAATAGATGTCATCAATCCTTCTAGAATATTAAGAACTATAGGATAGAAAGCTCACAAAAAAATAATGACTGCCTAGAAAATCACCTGTAGAGTGGCAGTACCTGTAACTCTGAAGTTTAATAATCTATTTGGCATGTTTGCTATGGAATCACTTGCTTTTGAAAGCCTCTTTTTACATCAAGGCCTGTGTGGGAATTTGCATAGACAGAGAAGCCTGCCACCCTTGTGGTATGATACTTTTACCAAATTGTGGCCCATATTTTATTATATTTATCTGAGCAGAATAGACACACAGCCTAGAAGAAATCAGCCAGTTCCCACTAATTGGAAGGCTCACATGGTCCGCTGTTGTAGTGAGCTTTCAATTCTCCTATTTCCAGGTTCTTTAGTGGAATTAGGCTGTGCAATCTTTTGGTATATCTGAGTGTCTTGCATTCTTTAACTCAGAGGTACTCTCTGTATTTGTGGAGATGGGAGTGGGTGAGCTTGTCAAATTCTTTCAAATTTATTGAGATTATTATCAAAGTGCAAAGGAAACTTGTGGGAGGACTTGCAGTTTCTATGCAATAACTAAGAAAATGAAATCTTACGTTGGATGAGGTTTCTAGGAGGCTTTATTGCAGCTGAGGAACAGGAAATGTGGATTCTGTTTTACATGTGGATGGATGACTGTAGGGACACAGATACAGGTTGATATCTCTTAGGAGGATGTGGAGCTGGCCTAGGAGGCAAATGGAGAGCCTTCACATTTTAGCCTATATGCTTCAATGTGGTTTGCTTTTTTTTGAAAAGCGGAATATTTGTGCAATGTAATTTAAAATCAGTGAAGATAAAAATGTAAACCCTGAACTAAAGTGAAAACAAACCTGAAAATACTTAGGTAATTAACACCAAATGTTTTGGATGTTTTTGGAAAATGCTATGTGGGAGTGCAGTGATGAATAAAAACATAATTTTCTTGTTTTTTCCTTTCTGACCCTCATGTGGCACTTTAAAAAAAAGCTGTTTTCACAATCCACAAAAAATAAAGTAGCCTGCATTTGTTGAACATCTACCTAATGTATCGGGCACTGTGTCAAGTGTGTTACACTGTCTTCATCTTAAATCCTCACCACAATGTTAAGGGGGAAAAAGTGTGAATCTTAGGGAGCTAACCACCTAGGTATCATCTACAGCTATTGTATCAAATACATTATTGTGGGGAATGCATTGTAAATTCTGAACTTCACAAAACACCCCTTGGAGTTACTATTTTTTTCATTAGATTTCCGTCAAAATGATGAACTGTTCAAGTAGAAAGAAACAGAATTGACCTCTTTTAGTCATTTTGTTACTGCTAGAAATTAAATCTCTGATGGTTACGTTGTGATGTATCTCAATATACCTTCAGAGATAGCCAGTTTTGGAATCTCGGCTTGAAGATTATATGCCAGGCTAGAAGAAACAAACTGTCAAGGTGTATCCAGAAGTGAATTTAGTAACATATGGTATTCTGAAATAGACTGAGCTATCTCCCACATGGCAAATTCTTCAGATAAGTGATGTCTAAGCATCAGAGTTTTTAAAGATTTGCTCTTTCTATTGGAAATCTTTCAAAATTGTACATCATGCCTCACGATACATGGTATGCTACTTGTAATTTCACCTTGATAACACAGGTTTATTATTACAAACATCCATTACTGTTTTGTGCTAGAATGTGAAATAATGTGATTGATTTAGAAGGCTCGTTTAAAGTGTACTTCCTATTGGAAATGGTTCTCTTCAAAATAGTTGTCTTATGTGGTTTTATGCTATTCTAAAAATGCTGTGACTGTGTACAACATATTTGGAACTGTTCCTTACAAATGTCCTGCTTAGCCTTAGACATATTAGTTCAGATTTCCTTAGTGATGAAACTATCTCATTTTTTTAGTGTAAATTTGGTTTTTGGAAATACATTGTAGTTACTTGGAACCAAGACTAATATAGATACATAGGTATCCATGGACTTACTATCTGAGATCAGAAACAACATGTGATTATTAAGTAAGGAAAGTAATTTATCACTTGCCCTTGGCTTTTGTATTTGCACTTGGCTCTGCTTTTGATATCTATATTTGAGATGTCCCTTCATATAAAAAAAAATTAGGTACATTTGGTTGGGCGCGGTGGCTCACACCTGTAATCCCAGCACTTTGGGAGGCCAAGGTGGGCAGATCACGAGATCAGGAGGTTAAGACTATCCTGGCTAACACGGTGAAACCCCATCTCAACTAAAAATACAAAAAATTAGCCAGGTGTGGTAGCATGCACCTGTGGTCCCAGCTACTCAGCAGGTTGAGGCAGGAGAATCACTTGAATCCAGGAAGTGGAGGCTGCAGTGGGTGGAGACCGCACCACTGCACTCCAGCCTGGGCGACAGAGCGAGACTCTGTCTCAAAATAATCAATCAATCAATCAATCAGTTACGTACATTTCCTTTCGTTCTAGAACAGAAGAACAATGGATATTCTTACTGATAAGCTAGATATGGGACTTTGAGGACATAGACGAGTAGAGAATTTTCAGGAGGTTTTGGTTTGTGTTTTGTGATCTAACCTATCCTTTTCAAAAGACCTTCAATAAAGATTCATATGTTTTCCTCAACACTTTATTATGTAATTTTTCAAGCATAAGAGACATTGAAATGATTTTATAGCCAGTCCCATTTATCTACCCTCTAGTTTCTACTGTTAACATTTTATTATACTTGATTTATATCTCCATCAATACATCTCTACACTCATCCATCAATATTTAATTTTTAAAATTCATTTTAACTTTCCAACTTTATTCTTTTTCAAGATTTCTATGGATAATCTAGGTCCTTTCCATTTCTAAATAAATTTTAGAATCAGCTTGTTAGTTTCTACCCAAAAAGCTTGCTGAAATTTCTATTGAAATGGCTTTAAATCTGTAGATCGATTTGGGGAGAATTAACATGCTAGTAAGATAGAGACATCCAGTATTACTGGATGAATGCATCTTTGTTTGTTAAGATTGTCTTTAAATTCTCTCAGAATGTTTTATAGTTTTCAGCATAGAGATCTTACATGTTTTTTGTTAATTTTACCCCTAAGTATCTTGGTTTTTAGAAAAGTATTGCAAATGAAATTGTTTTTAATTTTTTTTCAAATTTTTTTCCAGACCTGTCAGCAAGAAGGTGTTTTTTGTTTGTTTGTTTGTTTGTTTTGTTTGTTTGTTTGTTGCGACAAGGTCTCAATCTGTCGCCCAGGCTGGCTGAAGTACAGTGGTGTGATCATGGCTCTCTGAAACCTCAACTTCCTGGGCTCAAACAATCCTCCTGCCTCAGCCTCCCAACTAGCTGGGATTACAGGCACATGCCACCATACCTGGCTAATTAAAAAAAAAAAATTGTTTGTAGAGATGGGGTCTCACTTTGTTGCCCAGGCTGATCTTGAACTCCTGGGTTCAAGAAATCCTCCCACCTTTGCCTCCCAAAATGTTGGGATCACAGGTGCAAGCCACCGTGCCCTGCCCTGTTTGTTTATGTATCTCTCTATATATACAATTAATTTTTGTATACTAACCTTGCATACTATAACTTTGCTAAATTCACTTAGTGCTAGCAGTCATTCTGTAGATTTCATAGGATTTCCTATGTAAACAAGCATGTCATCTCTAAATAGAGACAGTTGTAGCTTTTGCCTTTCTATTTCTTTTTCTTTGCCTCATTGCACTGACTAAGGCCTCCAGTACATTGGTGAAAAGATGTAATGAGAGGGGGCAAGTATGTATATATTAAATCGGAGTTATCAGAAAACAAGTTGGAAAGTTATTCCTCTCTGTCTAGTTTTTTTAAAAGGTTGTGTAACATTTATATTATTTCTTACTTAAACATTTCATACACCTCACAAGCGAAACCATCTGAGCCTTGAATTTTCTTTATGGGAAAGTTTTTGGAAATAAACTCAACTTCTTTAGGAAACATAAAGCTATTTAATAATTTCTGTTATATTTTTTGACCATTTTGAAAAGTTGCATTTTTAAGGGAATTTTATTTCATCTAAGTTGTCAAATTAGCATAAATTTGTTCATAACTTTTTCTTATCATATTTTAACGTCTTCTTAATATTAGTGCTTGGCATTTTTTATTTTCTTTTGATTAGTCTGGCTATAGGTTTATCCATTTTGTTGATCTTCTCAAAGAACCATATTCCTCCTTTGTTAGTTTTCTCCACTGTTTATCTGTTTTCTGTTTCAACAATATTTGCCTTTCTCTCTGTTATTTTCTATTTACTCTTCTTTCCTAGTTTCTTAAGTTGGAAACTTTGAGTTTTAGATTTTTATTACTCTCTAATATAAGCATTTAAAGCTATGTTTCCCTCTAGCATTGAATTAATTCCATTGGAATTAAATAGTAAATTCTGAGGCTGGGCACGGTGGCTTACGCCTGTAATCCCAGCACTTTGGGAGGCCGAGGCAGGCAGATCGCAAGGTCAGGAGTTTGAGACCAGCCTGGCCAACACAGTGAAACCCCATCTCTACTAAAAATACAAAAATTAGCTGGGTGTGGTGATGCGCGTCTGTAGTCCCAGCTACTCAGGAGGCTGAGGTGGGAGAACCGCTTGAACCCGGGAGGCAGAGGTTGTAGTGAGCTGAGACCATGCCATTGCACTCCAGCCTGGGTGACAGAGTGAGACTCTGTCTAAAAAAAAAAAAAATTCTGTACGATTTAAATAATTTTAAATGTGTTGAGACTTCTTTATGGCCCTATATATGTTCTATCTTGATGAAGGTATCAGGTGCATTTATAAAGAATATGTACTCTGTAGTTGTTGGGTTTAGTGTCTTTTAAATATCAACAGAAGAGAATGTTGGTGAAATCTTCTATGCCTTTACTGATTTTTTTTTGTCCCGTTACTCTATAAATTGCTAAGATTGAGTTGTTAAATTCTTGATTTTTGTTTTGTTTTGTTTTGTTTTTGAGATGAAGTCTTGCTCTGTCACCCAGGTTGGAGTGCAGCGGTGTGTTCCTGGCTCACTGCAACCTCTGTCTTCTAAGTTCAAGTGATTCTCCTGCCTCAGCCTCCCAAGTAGCTGGGATTACAGGCATGCGCCACCACACACGGCCAGTTTTTGTATTTTTAGTAGAGATGAGGTCTCACCATGTTGGCCAGGCTTGTCTCGAACCCCTGACCTGAAGTGATCCACCTGCCTCAGCCTCCCAAAGTGCTGGGATTACAGGCATGAGCCACCACGACCAGCCTGGGAAATTCTTGAACTATGATTCTGGAATTGTATATTTCTCCCTTTAATTCTGTAATTTTTAGCTTCATGTATTTTGAAAATATATTATTAGGCATATACATATTTATGATTATGTCATTCTGATGTATTAACCTTTTTAGCATTACAAAAGTTCACTTTTTAATCTCTGATAATACTTTTTTTCTCAAAGTCTATTTTATCTAGTATTAATCTAGTATCTATTGTAGCCCTCTTTATTTCTTTTTCTTTTTGCCTTCTTGTACTTACTATTGCATGGTATATCTTTTTCTATTCCTGTACTTTCAATGTATCTGCATCTTTACATTTAAAGTGCTTCTCTTGTAGACAGCATATAGTTGAGAATTGCATTTTTATGCATTCTGACATCTCTGCCTTTTAATTGGTGTGTTTAGGCCAGCACTAACTAACAGAACTTTCTATACTGATAGAAATATTCTATATCTGTACTCTGCAATAGGGCAGCTATTAGTCACACGTAACTATTGAACAATTAGAATGTGGCTAGTGTGACTGAGGAACTGAAGTCTTAATCTTATTTAATTATAGTTACTTTTAATTAAATTTATGGAGCCACAAGTGGCTAGTAGCTACCATTTTGGATAGTGAAGGTTTAGGTCATTAACATTTAATGCAACTTTTATTATGGTTGAATGTATGTCTACTATTTTGCTATTTGTTTTCTTTTGGTTCCCCCTGTTTTTTATTCCTCTGGTTCTCCTTTCTTACTTTTTTGTTTGTTTGTTTGTGAGATGGAGTTTCGCTGCTTTGCCCAGGCTGGAGTGCAATGGCGCCATCTCAGCTCACTGCAACCTCCACCTCCCGGGTTCAAACAATTCTCCTGCCTCAGCCTCCTGAGTAGCTGGGATTACAGGCATGCACCACCATGCTGGCTAGTTTTTTGTGTTTCTAGTAGAGACTGGTGGAGGCGGGGGGTTCACCATGTTGCGCAGGCTGTTCTTGAACTCCTGACCTCAGATGATCCAACTGCCTTGGCCTCCCAAAGTGCTGGGATTACAGGTATAAGCCACCGCGCCTGGCCCTTTCTTACCTTTTAAAAATTATCTGGATACTTTTTATAATGCCAATTTAATTTTCATTCGCTTTATAGCTTTATCTCTCTGCATTATTATTATATTTTACTGTTTGTTCTAGGGATTACAGTATACATCCCTAACTTTGAAGTCTACTTTGAGTTAATATTGTGCCACTTCTCTTAAAATATAGAAACCTGCAACTGTATAAGTCTATATATGTTACATATTCCACTGTAAAATTTTATGATTTTTGTTTTAGTCACTTTTAAGAAAGAGGGAAAAAAGTCTTTTATATCATCTACATGTCTACCATTTTTTGGTCATTTATTTCTTCCTGCACTTCACATTTCATATGGTATCATTTCCCCTCAGCCTGAAGAATTTCCTTTAGCATTTCTTTTTTTTTTTTTTTTTGAGATGGAGTCTTGCTCTGTCGCCCAGGCTGGAGTGCAGTGGTGTGATCTCAGCTCACTGCAAGCTCCTCCTCCCAGGTTCACACCATTCTCCTGCCTCAGCCTCCCGAGCAGCTGGGACTACAGGTGCCCGCCACTACGCCTGGCTAATTTTTTGTATTTTTAGTAGAGATGGGGTCTCACCGTGTTAGCCAGTATGGTCTCGATCTCCTGACCTCATGATCCGCCCACCTTGGCCTCCCAAAGTGCTGGGATTACAGGCGTGAGTCACTGCGCCTGGCCTCCTTTAGCATTTCTTGAAGTACATGTCTACTAGCAATGAATTGTCTCAGGTTTCATTTATCTAATAATGTCTTTATTTTGCCTTCATTTTTAAAGGATATTTTTACTGGATATAGATTTCTGGGTTGACAGGGTTTTTTCTTACAGCATTTAAATTATGTTCTATCATGTTCCAACCTCCATTATTTGTGATGAGAAGTCCATGATCATAAATTGTTGCTTTGTCTTACTGCTTTAAGATTTTCTGTATCCTTGATTTTCAGCAGTGTGAGTAAATGTATGTAGGTGTGGTGTTTTCAAAAAAATATTTGTTCCTGCTTGGAGTTTGCAGGATCTTCTTGAACCTATACACTTATTTCATTCACCAAATTTGAGGAAATTTTGACTGTTACTTCTTCAAATGTTTTTTTTTCTGCCCTATTCTCTTTCCTCATCTTCTAAAACTCCAATTACACATATGTTAGACCTTTTGATATTATCACACAGTTCCTTGTGACTCTGAGTACTTTTTTAAATCTTTATCTCTCTGTTATTTAGGTTAGATATTTCTTTTATTCTCTCATCCTTTTCACTTAAACTTTAAAAAAATTCATTCTGTGGCTGGGCATGGTGGCTCATGCCTGTAATCCCAGCACTTCGGGAGGTTGAGGTGGGCAGATCACTTGAATTCAGGAGTTCGAGACCAGCCTGGGTAACATGGTGAAACCCTGTCTCTACTAAAAATACAAAAATCAGCTGGGCATGTTGGCACACGCCTATAGTCCTAGCTACTCAGGAGGCTGAGGTGGGAGAATTGCTTGAACCTGAGAGGTGGAGGCTGCAGTGAGCCAAGATTGTGCCACTGCACTCCAGCCTGGGCAACAGAGCAAGAGTCCGTCTAAAAAATAATTAATAAAAAAATTCATTCTGCTGTTAAACACAATGAATTTTTTTTTACTTCAGATATTTTTACTTCTAGAATTTCTGTTTGATTATTTTTTAATGATTTTTGCTTCTCTGCTGAGATCCTCCATTTATCTTTGATTTGAAGCGTATTTTTTTTCTTCCTTGAATGAAGTTATAATAGCTGCTTTAAAATCTTTCTCTGCTAACTCCAATATCTGGGTCACATCAAGATTGTTCTTTTCAGGCTCTGGGCTGAGCTGGGCTTAGCTCCTCACTATGGGTTAATCTCAGATCTGTTCCATATGTGTTCATTCTGAGGCCCAGGATAAGGGGGCAGTTACTACTCAGCGAAAGCTCTTTTCATGCCCATGACAGTGAGAAAAGAGGATAAGCCCAAGCATGTAATTATATTTCAAGTCTTTACTTGCTTTATTTATTTATTTATTGAGACAAGGTCTCCACCCAGGCTGGAGTTTAATGGTGCAATCATGGCTTACTGCAGCCTTTACCTCCTGGGCTCAAGTGATTCTCCTATCTCAGCCTCTCAAGTAGCTGGACTATAGGTGTACACCAACATACCTAGCTCATTTAAATTTTTTTTTTTTTTTTTTTTTTTTTTTTTGTAGCGACACAGTCTCACTATGTTGCCTAGGCTAGTCTCTTAACTCCTGGGCTCAAGTAATCCTCCTGTCTTGGCCTCGCAAAGTGCTGGGATTATAGGTATGAGCCACCGCACCCAGCCCATTTTGCCTCTTTTAGGTCTGGGTTCAAACATGTTATGAAATGGTTGCTAAGTGCAGATGATTTAAGTTCTTGAGTTTTCTGGCTTTCTTGTCAAATGTCCTGGGAACCTTCTCCAGGAAGACTTGTGAGACATCTGTTTGTGAGACCATCATGTCTATTCCTCAGTCGCCTAAAGTAGGAGGGGGCGGGCTTTTCTGATTTGATTTTATTAAAAAAGGGCTCAGTTGAGTAGTTTGGACATGGCAAAATGTACTGAGGAAGATTTTTTAAAAATTACCCCGGCGTACTTAAAGCCAGAACCTGAGCAAGACTATAGGGGTATGTGACACAACAATAAATAAATATTTGGCCTTTGTCCCTGGGTTCCTGGTACACAGCTCCTAAAATCCTTGGACTCTCTGCAGTGATAAGAGTGTATTTTTCTTGGTGATGAGATTACTGGTGGCTGGGGGTCCCTAGATAACTGCAGGACGAAGGCTGGCCACCAGAAACACCAAAGTGTGATTAGAGGGTTGGAACTTTTTCAGCCCCAGCCCCAGATCTCCAGGCAGGGGAAGGCAGCTGGAGATTGAGTTCAATCACCAATGGCTAATGACTTAATCAATCATGCCAAATAATGGAACCTTCATAAAGCCCCTAAACAATGGGGGTCAGAGAGCTTCCAGGTTGATGAGTACATCTAGTATGGGAGGTTGGCACACGCCAACTCTGTGAGACAGAACTCTTGTGCTCGGGACCCTCCTGAATCTTTCCTTATATACCTTTTCATCTTGCTGTTCGTTTGTATCCTTTATAATAAGCCAGCAATAGTGAGTAGAGCACTCTCTTGAGTTCTGTGAGTCATTGTAGCAGATTATCAAACATAAGGAGGGAGTTGTAGAATTCCCTTGAATTTATAGTCGGTCAGTCAGAAGTACCAGTGCAACTGGAATTTGAAGTGGGGGCAGTGTTGTGGGATGGAGCTCTTAACTTGTGGGATCTGATGCTAACTCCAGTAGAGAGTGTCAGAATTGAATTGAGTTGTAGGCACCCAGCTGATGGTGGAAGGTTGGAGAAGTGGTGTTGGAAAAGACATCATGCATTTGGTGTCAGAAGTGTTGTCAATGTAAACAGTTGGAAGGGTGACAAAGGTGTCTTGAATTCTTCCTACCTTTCTTTGCATTTAATTCCCATCTCTCTTCTCTCAGGCCCTAATCTTCTCTCTGCAACTGCGTTTGATCCATTTTCATCAGGGTCTAGATCTCAGCTAGTTGCTGCAGCCATACAAGAAACTCTAGAGTCATGTAACTTGATCCAGTATACAACTTCACCATCTGGATTCCTTAATAAATAGTCAGTTGATCTCAGCTTTAATTCACCTTCCTTCCTTAGAATGTTAGCAAGGCCTAAACATTACCCAGGTGAGGGTCATTTGCACTTAGTTTATATCATTAAGGGTTGCCGAAAGTTGTCAAGTTCCAAAGGAATGAGCTACAAAATGGCGAAAATCTGGGCATTGATACAGACAAGAAAGGAAACATTTGTGGGGTAGAAAAGTCTTTTCACTTTCCTTAGTGTCAGACTAGGCTGTTCCCTATCCTGCACATCCTTAAGCCACCCTGGACAACCCTGCTACTACTTGCCTTAAGGGACATAGTCATTTAAGACTTGAATGGTCATCTTCAGGCTTCTCTCAGGACTGAAAACAAATGTCATCGATATAGAGGAAGTGTTTTGGATAGAACAGGGTTTATTAATTTCTTACCTCTCCGCCACATTCAGGTCACAACGGTTTTAAAAGGAAACAAAGCTAAACTTATTATCAGCAATGGTGGAGACATGAAGGAGCTTTTACACTGGAACTGGTGGCTCTACCCACTCAAAAGTGAAGGTTATCTTCAGGGAAGTAGAATCACCCAACATACCATTTTTTCAGGTGCCTGCCTGGGTGCTATGCTTCTTCTCCCACTAGGTGTCACCACAGTACACAGTAAAGAAGGGAAATGAAAGGCTGCATCTGAAAAGCTTCTAGACTAGAGAAATGGTTGCGTTTAGGTTAGCAGCAAATTGGGCATAATTAGTTTATTTAATAAACTGTATCTTTAAGATATGAAAATCTCATATAATCAGGCTAGAAAGTAAATCACCTCATTCATTCACTCTCTTAAAATGCTATCAGTCCTGGAACCCAAACAGAGAGGAGCTTAAAGTCATTTGCCCTATCTGTAAAACACGCGGCTGGATTAAATCAGCTGATGACCCTGCACAGCTGAGTGGATCTCACCCCTCAGGATAGTAAATCTCTTTGTTGAGAGGTCGGATTACTGCTAGATCTCTTTATCACCAGAGCTGAGCTCTCGCGGCTGCTGAGGATTAGACATGATCCTCCTCCATCCACACCACTTTAGCATCCTTCCTCCCACAGGCCCCTTTGTGGTCACTCTTCTGTGAAGGTGAAGATAAGATGCCGGAGATAACGAAGGAGGGAATGTGGCAGCCTTTCCAGCATCTCATTTCCAACACCCCAGTTGACAAGCTGTCCCATCAGCAGTGAAAAAGATCCTTATTCTCTGAACATCCAGCCTCCGGGGGCCAGGCCTCTGTATATCAACTCCATCTCAAATCTAATTTAGGATTTAGGGATGCTTGGTGGAAGGCGAAGCACAGCTAATCTGACGTATCACACAGGGTGAGTGATGTGCACTTGTGGATAGTATCTAAATCCAATGATGCGCAGCTCCACGGCGCTGATCCTTTCCATCTTCATGACAGACCCCCAGTGTGCCACCGTCTAACTTCCTGTGGATAATAGTTACATCTGGGAGTCAGGAAGCTGGTGGCTCAGGATCCCCTCTTGTGTTCTGTTCTTTGACAAAGACAAGATGCCACTGACATCTGGCCTTCCTTTTGGTGCAAGGTTTAAAGTTTCATTTCAGATAGGTCAGCAGAGATGGCTGTAAAACTGTCCTGAGAGTTTGTAAGCTCTCAGAGAGAGAATTGGAAGTTAGCCACCATCATTAGCATCAAGCAGGATTTATAAATTAATCCTCTGCATCCAACTCAGGGTGGGTCTCACATTTTTTTTACCCTACATAGAACACCTCCCTACATACCTCTAAATGAAATCAACCAGGCTTGCTGCATACAGTTGTGTACAACACTAGGAGGTGCCATTTATATAATTGCCCACAGAACCATAGGCAGTGCCTGGGTAGCACTCCAACATATAAACCAGATAAAAGCAGCGTTCTGTTAACATAAAAATGTACATTCCAATTTTGAAATTTTATTTAACAGCCAATCAAGGGAAATACCTTTTTGGTGAAAATAAAAATTTGAAATCATGAGTTATCGTTGAAAGTTGCCCTTTTATCAGTGTTTGCATCTGAGATTATGCAGTTAAGCAAGTGGAATCTTAGGAACACTCTTTTTTCTTTTTTCTTTTTTTTTTCTGGAGACAGATTCTTGCTCTGTTGCCCAGGCTGGAGTGCAGAGGTGTGATTTCAGCTCACTGCCACCTCCACCTCCTGGTTTCAAGTGATTCTTGTGCCTCAACTCCCCGAATAGCTGGGATTACAGGCATGCGCCACCATGCCTGGCTAATTTTTGTATTTTTAGTAGAGATGGCGTTTCACCATATTGGCCAGGCTGGTCTTGAACTCCTGGGCTCAAGTGATCTGCCGGCCTCATCCTCCCAAAGTGCTGGGATTACAGGTGTGAGCCACTGTGGCTGGCTTAGGAACACTTTAATCAAACAGATCCAGACACTCATAAATGCACAGTTTAGAAATGGGATAGTCTTTGTGGAGGGGAAGAAGGCAATATCTATCAAATGCACATTCTGTTTAACCCAGCAATTCTACCTCTATGATGTTATCAGATCTATTCTCAACTATGAAAAATGATCTGTAGACTGAGTTATTTATTGCTGCATTGTTTGTGCAGCAAAATACTGGAAACAACCTAAATGTCCGATAGAGGACAGATTACACAATGGAATACTTGGCAGTTCTCATAGGAAAGAGAAAGCTCTCTATTGTTAATATGAAATGGTCTCCAGACCCTGGGCTCCATGAACAGAGCAAGGTGCAGAAATGTGTGAATAATATGCACACCTTGAGTGTATGTGTAGGGGGGTGGTGTGTATATTGATCTATCTGTTTGCAAATGCATAAGAAACCTCTGGACAGATACCCAAGAAACTAATAGCACTGCTTGCTTCCAGGACGAGATACCGACTGGTATGGTCAAGGACAGGGGACACTTATTGGATAAGATATCTTTTGTACCTTTTGAATTTTGAATCACATGAATATATTATCTATCCAAATAACAATAATAATATGGTAGTCTCCACTTCTCTGAGGGGGATATGTTTCAAGTCCCCCAGTGGATGCCCGAGACCCGGCATAGTACCGAACCCGACTTACACTTTTTTTTTTTTTAATCTGATAATCGAGGCAGCTACTAAGTGACTAATGGGCAGGGAACATATTCAGTGAGGATGTGCTGGACAAAAAGCGATGATTCACATCCTGGGAGGGAGGAAGTGAGATGGATTTCATCCCACTACTCAGAATGGCCTGCAATTTAAAACTTATGAATTATTTCTGGAATTTTCCATTTAATATTTTCAGACCATGGTTAACCATGAATAGCTGAAACCATGGAAAGTGAAACCTCAGATAAGGAGGGACTACTGTAATAATAATAATGATAAAAATTAATAACCAGATCCCCCCACCAAAAAGAAAAACCATCCTGAACAGATGAAAATCACGGTAGCAATCTAAAATACGAAATACTCACGGTGTAGCTGGCCCATGGCTAATTTCCTTTGGTGTTGCAGCTACATACCAGGATCAGCTCACTACGGCTAAGACAGTGTCATACTTATTGGCTGTGTGACCTAGGGCAAATTTACTTAACTTCTCTGTGCCTCAGTTCTCTTTTCAGTAAATGATGATAAATCCTACTTCAAAAGGTTATTGACAAGACTGGATGAGTTAGTACCTGTTAAGTTGAAATGTTTAAAAAGAACACAACAGAACAAAACCCCCGCTGAGCCCTGGCATTAATTGTGGTGCACATGGGCTACAGCAGTATGATTGATAAGTAAGAGAATATAAGTATAGCCTTTGACACACAGTAGGCACTTAATAAACATTAACTCCCTCCCCACTCATACTTAATTGGGCTGTCAGGGCTTCATAGACCCTTTCTGAGCAGACTAGAAACTAATTTGCTACTGAGTGTATTTGTGATCTCTACATTTCAGTCTGCAGGTGGACCCTTTGAGCTGTCTTAGACTGGGTCAGGGTGCTTTTAAAATGAAGAATCTGTTTGGCTCCGTTATTTTCATGTCGGTTTCTTAGGTTTGTCTAAGTAAACATTTTCATATATTTTGGTCCACATTTTTTATGGATTAAATTGTTGCAGTGGAAATGCATCGTGATGTGAAATGCGAAACTTGTCGCTATGACTTCAGGCATAAATTAAGGAAAGGCATGAGGCAATTATATGAATAATTCTTATAAATACAGAAACAAAACAAAAAATTAATTGCCAACATTTTTAGCATGTTAGGGGTCTTGCCAAACACTTTACAAGCCTTAGCTTTAACTCTTTGTGTGAGTTATCATGATCAGCTCCCGTTTACACACGGAAGCAGGCAAGTTGCCCAAGGTTACAAGGTAGTAAATGGCACAGATGGGATTGAAATCCAAACCTGGATAATTTCAGGCCCCAAGTTTTGTATATATATCTATCATCTTCTCTGAGGCAGATCATTACAAAACCAAATTTATAAGCCTTAAACAGAAATTGCTAATTGATTTTATGATACAGTTTTCCAATTGAGGAAGCGACTGTAGTTTGTTTCATGTTAATATATGTTAGGGTCCTTATAAGCATTGTCTTAAAATAATTCTTACATTAACTCTCTGAGTTAGGGATTGTCCTCATCCTTCAGGTAAGAAACCAAGACTCAGAGAAGTTAGGTAACTTGCTCAAGGTCACACAACAAGTGAGGAAGAAAGAAGGCATTTAAGCCCAGGTCTGTCTACTTCCGTGGGGCTCAGACCTGTAGTTCTATAAGAATGTCTCTTCAGAACCTTTTCTTATTTCTTTCTCAACTCCCCCTGCTGGGGCATGAGTTGAAAGGAAGTTCTATGCAAGGGCCTCAAAAGTGGTCTCATGGATTCTGTTTCTCCTGGTCAAATACCCATGTAACTCAAAATAAAAAACACTTTCACATTAAGATGAGATAAATCTCTGTCTCTCTGTATCTAAATTCTATCTACTTTCTCTCTATCTGATAAAATATTTCTCATTAGAATATGCATTTGTGGGTGGGGTGTGGTGGCTCATGGCTATAGTACCAATGCTTTGAGAGGCCAAGGAGGGAGGCTCTCTTGAGGCCAGGAGTTTGAGACCACCCTGGGCAACATAGTGAGGCCCTGTCTCTTGAAAAAAAAAAAAAGAATATGCACTTGGGCATGATTCCTATAACAACACAATTATGTCTGTAGTTCCTTATCATCTGAGTTATTGGTGCTGACGGGATGGAGAGAGCTTGGAGGGGTGGTTGGACCTCTCATTTCCAGACTGAGTTTGGCCATTTGCTGGCTCTGGGATTCTGTATCTGTAGAATGAAGACAACTGGGTCTTCATTCAGAGACAACGAAGCTAGATTGTGGCCCCTGGCAAAGGTGGAGCTCTTCTCCACATATGAGGACTGAGTGCCTACCATGTGTCAAGCACACCAACAACTAATAACACATGAGAACTCTGAGACTCTGAGAAGTTTGATCACTTCATCCAAAGGCCCCAAAGCCAGTAAGTGGCAAAGTGAAGATTCAAACCCAGGCCACCTTGGCTTAAGACCTTGCACCATCACCACTTAGCTCAACAGTCCTGATGCAAATAGAACTACCCATCCTTATACTGCTCAGAGAGAGGCCATTCTCTCTGCAAATACATTCATATGCATGGAGAAAGCAAAAATTGGATTCTACGACTTGTACTATTTGGTAGTTTTTTTCTCTTAACAATATGCTCTAAAGTTTATCTTCATTTTTAAGGGGAAGCCTCTTCGTTCCCTGTTGCTGCATTCTCCCTGCAGGGCTAGGCAGACTGAGGGATGAGATGCTAGGAGGTACACAAAGGCGGCCTGGGCTCACTGTTAAAAATACTTAAAGTGCCAGGGCCTTTAAATGACCCCCAAAGAGCCAGATCCTCTTCAGCAAAAGGAGAAAAAGACCAGAATTTTCTTGGCTGTGTTGTGTAGCTTCCATTAGCTAAACTGTCATCAAGAACAATGCTGAGTCAGGACGTGAATTATCTTTTTCTCTGCCTGGGTTCTTGCCTTTGGCTTGCTGCCATTCTCTGTGTGCTACAAGGCATGAAGACAGGTCTCCACCTCATCTATCTCTCACAAAAGGTGATAGAGGCTGTGTATATTTTGATGGGTCATAATACAGCATGTGGGTTAGGAGAATGCGTTCAAGTCCTGGCTCCAACATTGTTGAGCTGTGTGTCCTTGAGCATATTATTTAATTCAGAGCCTTGGTTTCTTCCTCTGTAAATACAGATTCTGAGACTGCTTCCCTCATACGACTGTTGTCAAGGTGCAATGAGATAGGCACGGAAGTTGCTTAGCACAGTGCCTAACACTGGCCCCATACAAGGCTGTGGGGAATTCTGTGTTTGTTCTCTTGGGGCCTCATGGAGTCATGTTGCTTTTCCCAAGTCATATGGTGAGGCTACCTTGGAGCTGTTTCTAGACATGCCTCAGCACACAGGGCCTTGGGAACTCTGGGTCTTACCACGTACTGGGCTCCTACCGGGCTCCCAGGAGGGTGGGGCAGGGGGCAGGAACAGGGAAATAGCTCTCCCTTTTTCAAATGCCAAAAAATTGTCTGTGTGAGAAGTTAATCCTCCCCTTCACCAGGAATTTGGTCCAGAAAGGGAAGGTTCAGGGCCCCTTCGCAGGGATGGATCAATATCTATGATTTTTTTCCCCCTGTTTCCCACTGCCTTTTTTCCATGAAGCCCATGAAATTTTTATCTAGCCTGGGATGGAGAAGGGACAGCTGTTGGACAGGAAAGCTATCCCCTACTGTACATTCTTGCAAATCTTCTAATTAATGCAAGGAGAAGCTTTTGTAATTAAAAAGCTAGTCATTGACCCCTCTATTTATTGTGCTCTATTTTAAAATAGTATCCTGCCACCGTGGCATGGCTTTATTTTGTGGAAAATGCTAAGCAACTCCATATCTTTGGTTGCCTGGCTAATATCTGTACAGGTTGGCTGTTTTAGACTCCTGTGTGGGCACCATGAGGGGCCTGTGGGCCCCTTAGTGTTTGGCACTGGCACTCCGCCTGTCTAATGACAGCATCTTACCAAAGACACATTCTCTCTGAGTTGTTGAATATGATTTTCAAGGTCGTTGATGATAGTTTTTGTGCACAGGAGAGATTATTCAGAAGTACCTTTGATTTTTAAATTGGTCTTTGATTTATTAGTTAGAATTTAAAGAAAATCTTTTGTATTTTTAAGCTTTTAAGTTTAGATTACAAATCTTATTATTTTATTTATAAGCCTAGCAAGTTATAAGTCACTTCTAAGGAGGCTTTGATTAATGTTTGGTCCCATTTAAAAACTTGGTTAAACTACTTTTAAACTGCTTTTATAAATTTAATATATTCAATTTCCTTTTAGGTACTATAATTGTCTGACTTAACAAAACCTTCCCGAACACTTAAATAACTTATAAATCTAATATATTAGACTTAGAAATATGGTAAACTTTTAGTTCTTTTAACGTATTCAATTCTGTAATAAACCTATTAAATCTGAACTTAACATCACAAGTCTACATCAATTACATATTTAAAATTAGAATCAAAAGAATAACCTCTTATTCCATTAGGCTCAATTCTCTTAAACATTATATAAGTACATAAAACATCACCAAACATGCATAGAGTTCTTCACCTGAAAATATTAATGCTACATATTTTGAAACCACCCAATTGTCCCATAGAACTGATGTTTGTGGTTTCTTTTGAATAAACATAGAAATTGACCCTCCCACTTTTGAAACTTGCAAAAGTTACATTTGTCTTATCTGAGTTCCTTTCTCAGAAAACCAACCATCAGGCCTCCCAGATAACATCAAGGAACTGAAACTTACCAGATTACCACATCTGGACAATGAGAGGCCAGACCCCTCACCTGTCATGATTGCCTAGCCCACCACCTGCTTCCTGTTGACCAATTCCTCTTCCTTACCTCTCCCTAATTCCTGTTTTCCCACATGGTTACATTTTCTCCCTGCTATTTTAGTCAGTCAGGGAGACAGATTTAAGACTGATCTCCCATCCCCTTGGCTGCAGCTCCTGATTAAAGCCTTCTTCCCTGGCAATATTTGTTGTTTCAGTGATTGGCTTTCTGTGTGGTGAGCAGCAGGACCTAGATCAAACCCCTGGTGTTTCACTAATAATTTGAGATTCTTAAACATTTCTATGTTGATTTTTAAACCAGCCTGGAATTAAAAGATGCTGATGCACCAAGAAATAACCATGCTATCCTGGACAATCTTCCTCATCTTTTCTTTTTTCCTTTATATGTTTGCTCCCCAACCAACCTGACTACATCTCAGTTGCCACCAACTGCCCCTGTGAATTCAATTAAAGTTGCTCTCTTACTGCCCTTGTGAATTCAATTAAAGTTGCTCTCTTAGGGTTTCTGCTTTCTTGCCTGCCTTCCTTTCTTTCTCTTTCCTTTTCTTTTTTTCTCTTCTCTTCTCTTCTTCTCTTCTCTCTTTTCTTTTCTTTCTTTTTTGAGATGGAGCCTCGCTCTGTTTCCCAGGCTGGAGTGCAGTGGCGCCATCTTGGCTCACTGCAAGCTCCGCCTCCCGGGGTCATGCCGTTCTCCTGTCTCAGCCTCCTGAGTAGCTGGGACTACAGGTGCCTGCCACCATGCTCAGCTAATTTTTCATAATTTTTTTAGTAGAGAAGGGGTTTCACCGTGTTAGCCAGGATGGTCTCGATCTCCTGACCTCTTGATCCGCCCACCTCAGCCTCCCAAAGTGCTGGGATTGCAGGCATGAGCCACCACATCCAGCCAGGGTTTGTGTTTTCTTTACCTATGAAAATTGGATGGGCCTGGTGTGGTGGCTCACACCTATAGTCCCAGCACTTTGGGAGGCTGAGGCTGGTGGATTGCTTGAGCCCAGGACTTCAAGACCAGCCTAGGCAACATGGTGAAACCCTGACTCAACAAAAAATACAAAAATTAGCTGAGTGTGGTGGTCTATGCCTATGGTCCCAGCTCCTTGGGAGGTTGAGGTGGGAGGATCACTTGGGCCCCAAAGACGGAGGTTGCAGTGAGCCAAGATCATGCCACTGCACTGCAGCCTGAGTGACAGAGGGAGACCCTGTTTCAAAAACAAACAAACACACCAAAAAAAACCTGGAAGAGATTAGGTTAGGTGATCTCTAAAGTCTTAGCCATAAAATTCTGGAATTCATATTTTTCTGTTTATTCACAAACATAATTTTCCATTTAGATTTATGAGAATGAACAAAATTGCTAAAAAACAACACTTACTTTGCTTGTAAAGCTACCAATACAGAGAATGCTCACTATTGCACATATTATGTTTGCAGTCTGCTCCTGTTGCAAAGATTCTAATGATGTTTGGGCTTCTTGACCTCAGAATACAAGCAGTCAAGAAGTCACATCTGGAAACATCTACGGTGTTTTAAAGCCAGGAGGATATAGTTGTAAAGTACATGTTCCAGTTTATTTTGAAAATTGTGTCCCTGATTGATGGGTTTTGTCATTGCTACTCCTTCTGAGAATGGACTGAATTATCCTCTCTATGCCTGCCATTTTATGCCTAGTTTCTGAAATAGTATATTGAGTAAAAAATAAATGGAAGGTGGTATGCATAACAGTAAAGGGTGGGAGCTTGAATTAGACCCCCTTTTGTTCAAATACAGATTCACTCCTTAAAAGCATTGTGACTTTGATGAACAACTTTATGCCAACAAATTGGATAACTCACATGAAAGGGGCAAATTTCTAGAAAGACACAAGCAACTGAAATTTACTCAAGAAGAAATTAAAAATCTGATAGACCTTTCAAAAGCAAAGATAATAAATTAATACTTAACAATCTTCACACAAAGAAAAGCCCAGGGTCTGGTGATTTCACTGGTGAATTTTATCAAACATTTAAATAAGAGATTATACCAGTACTGCAAATTTTTTTTTCTGAAAATACAGAGTGAAATACTTCCCCATGCATTCTATCAGGCCAGTGTTACCCTGATGCCAAAACCAGGAGAAGACATCATAAGAAAGGAAAACTATAGACCTGTATCCCTTATGAATATAGATGTAAAAATTCTCAAAAAAATTAGCCAACTGAATCCAGTAATATACTCCAAAAATTATACACCTTGACCAAGTAGGATTTAACCTAGGAATGCAAGGTTGGTTTAACATCCAAATATCAACTAATGTAATACACCAAATACAACATAATCGTCTCAATAGATAGAGAAAAACCATATACCAGTATCTAACACCCATTCATGATTTTAAAAAAGTTATTAAACTAGAAGGACATTTCCATAACCTGGTAAACAGCATCTATGAAAAAACCCATGATGAACAATATACTTAATGGTAAAAGACTGAATGCTTTCCCCCTGACATTAGGACCAAGGCAACTTGGTTGCCTTGCTGTCCTTGCTGCCACCTCTTTTATTCAGAATTGTACTGGTGGTTCTAGACAGTGAAATCAGGAATGAAAAAGAAATAAAAGGCATCCAGATTAGAAAGGAAAAAGTAAAATTGTTTTTGTTCACAGAGGATCCTATATATAGAATTCATGATTCTATATGTAGAATACTATAAGGAATACACACACACACACCCTGTTAGAACTAATAAACAAATATAGTAAGGTCACAGGATACAAGATCACTATACAGAAACCAGCTGTATTTGTATGAGCAATGAACAGTCCAAAAATGAAATTAAGGTTATAATTTCAGGCTGGGCATGGTGGTTTATGCTTGTAATTCCAGCACATTAGGAGGCTAAGGTGGGAGGATCACTTGAGCCCAGGAGTTTGAAACCAGCCTGGACAACAGAAGGAGACCTTGTCTTTACCAAAAGTAGAAAAAAAATTAGCCAGGTGTCATGGTGCACCTGTATGGTCTCACCTACTTGGGAGACTGAAGTAAGGGTATCACTTGAGCTCAGGAGGTCAAGGCTGCAGTAAGCCGTGATTGCACCACTGCACTCCAGCCTGGGTGACAGAGCAAGCCCCTGCCAAAAAAAAAAAAAAAAAGAAAAGAAAAAAAAGAAAAAAGAATATAATTCCGTTCACGGTAGTATCAAAAATACTTAGGAATAAAATTTTTAAAAGAAGTGTAAGGCTATACACTGAAAATTTCAAAGCTTTGCTGAGGGAAATTAGAGAGGATTTAAGTAAATGGAGAGACATTCCATG